>NC_000024.10:26064722-26673214 GCF_000001405.40 Homo sapiens
GTGCAAAGGGTCAGGGAATTCCCTCCCTAGTCAAAGAAAGGGGTGACAGATGGCACCTGGAAAATCAGGTCACTCCCACCCTAATACTGCACTTTTCCAATGGTCTTAGCAAATGGCATACCAGAAGATTATATCCTGTGCCTGGCTCAGAGGGTCTTATGCCCAAGGAGCCTCACTCATTGCTAGCACAGCAGTCTGAGATTAAACTCCAAGGGGGCAGCGAGGCTGGGGAAGGGACACCCATGATTGCTGAGGCTTGAGTAGGTAAATAAAGAGGCTGGGAACCTCGAACTGGGTGGAGCCCACCGCAACTCAAGGAGGCCTGCTTGCCTGTGTAGACTCCATCTCTGTGGGCAAGGCATAACCAAACAAAAGGCAGCAGAAATCTCTGCTGACTTAAATGTCCCTATCTGACAGCTTGAAGAGAGTAGTGGTTCTCCCAGCATGCAGCTGGAGATCTGAGAATGGAAAGACTGCATCTTCAAGTGGGTCCCTGACCCCCAAGTAGCCTAACTGGGCGACATCCCCCACTGGGGGCTGACTGACACCTCATACAGCAGGGTACTCCTCTGAAACAAAACTTCCAGAGGAACGATCAGGCAGCAATATTTGCTCTTCACCAATATCCGCTGTTCTGCAGCCTCTGCTGCTGATATTCAGGCCAACAGGGTCTGGAGTGGTCATCCAGCAAATTCCAACTGACCTGCAGCTGAGGGTCCTGACTGTTAGAAGGGAAACTAACAAACAGAAAGGACATCCACACCAAAACCCCATCTGTATGTCACCATCATCAAAGACCAAAGGTAGACAAAACCACAAAGATGGGGGAAAAAACAGAGCAGAAAAACTGGAAACTCTAAAAATCAGAGCACCTCTCCTCCTCCAAAGGAATGCAGCTCCTCACCAGCAATGGAACAAAGCTGAATGGAGAATGACTTTGGCCAATTGAGACAAGAAGTCTTCAGACAATCAAACTACTCCAAGCTAAATGAGAAAGTTCAAACCCATGGCAAAGAAGTTAAAATCCTTAACAAAAAAATTAGACGAATGGCTAACTAGAATAACCAATGCAGAGAAGTCCTTCAAGGACCTGATGGAACTGAAAACCAAGGCAAGAGAACTATGTGATGAATGCACAAGCCTCAGTAGCAGATCAGTTGGAATTTGCTGGATGACCACTGCTGTATGAGATACAGCTACTACTGGATCTGCACTGAATCTGCTACTGGATCAACTGGAAGAAAGGGTCTCAGTGATGGAAGATGAAATGAATGAAGTGGAGAAGAGAAGTTTAGAGAAAAAGGAATAAAAAGAAACAAAGAAAGCCTCCAAGAAATATGGGAATATGTGAAAAGACCAAATCTACATCTGATTTGTGTACCTGAAAGTGACGGGGAGAATGGAACCAAGTTGGAAAACACTCTGCAGGATATTATCCAGGAGAACTTCCCCAATCTAGCAAGGCAGGCCAATATTCAAATTCAGGAAATACAGAGAACACCACAAAGATACTCCTCAAGAAGAGCAACTCCAAGACACATAATTGGCAGATTCACCAAAGTTGAAAACAAGGAAAAAATGTTAAGGACAGTCAGAGAGAAAGGTTGGGTTACCCACAAAGGGAAGCCCAACACACTAACAGCTGATCTCTCAGCATAAACTCTACAAGCCAGAAGAGAGTGGGGGCCAATATTCAACATTCTTAAAGAAATGAATTTTCAACCCAGAATTTCATATCCAGCCAAACGAAGCTTCATAAGTGAAGGAGAAATAAAATCCTTTACAAAGAAGCAAATGCTGAGAGATTTTGTCACCACCAGGCCTGCCCCAAAACAGCTCTTGAAGGAAGCACTAAACATGGAAAGGAACAACCAGTACCAGCCACTGCAAAAACATACCAAATTGTAAAGACCATTGAGGCTAGAAAGAAACTGCATCAACTAACAAGAAAAATAATCAGCTAATATCATAATGAAAGGATCAAATTCACACAAAACAAAACAAAAGCCAAAATGGACAAATGGGATCTAAAGAAACTAAAGAGCTTCTGCACAGCAAAAGAAACTACCATCAGAGTGAGCAGGCAACCTACAGAATGGGAGAAAATTTTTGCAATCTACTTATCTGACAAAGGGCTAATATCCAGAAGCCACAATGAACTCCAACAAATTTACAAGGAAAAAAAAAAAAAAAAACCCATCAAAAAGTGGACTAAGGATATGAAGAGACACTTCTTAAAAGAAGACATTTATGCAGCCAAAAGACACATGAAAAAATGCTCATCATCACTAGCCATCAGAGAAATGTAAATCAAAACCTCAATGAGATACCATCTCACACTAGTTAGAATGGCAATCATTAAAAATCAGGAAACAACAGATGCTGGAGAGGATGTGGAGAAATAGGAACACTTTTACACTGTTGGTGGGACTGTGAACTAGTTCAACCATTGTGAATGTCAGTGTGGCAAGTCCTCAGGGATCTAGAACTAGAAATACCATTTGACCCAGCCATCCCTATTACTGGGTATATACACAAAAGATTACAAAACATGCTGCTATAAAGACACATGCACACGTATGTTTATTGTGGCACTGTTCACAATAGCAAAGACTTGGAACCAACCCAAGTGTCCAACAGTGATAGACTAGATCAAGAAAATGTAGCACATATACAACATGGAATACTATGCAGCCATAAAAAAATGTTGAATTCATGTCCTTTGTGGGGACATGCATGAAGCTGGAAACCATCATTCTCAGCAAACTATCACAAGGAGAAATACCCAAACACCACATATTCTCACTCATAGGTGGGAACTGAACGATGAGAACACAGGGACACAGGAAGAGGAAAATGACACACATTAAGAAATACACCTCCCTAGCTACAAGTTTCATTTGAATAACTTGATTTCCATAAATAATGCCAATGCACTTACACCAGTTAAAATGTACCAATATCTGGATCTCTGACTCATTGAAAAATTACTGAGCCAAGTAAAAACTCCAACAAATATATTTCTCTACATACAATTTAGCCCGGAATAACTTGAATTCTATCAATAATGCCAGCCCACATACACCACTTAAAGTCTGCTAATGTCTAGATTTCACATTGTCTGCCTGGTCCCAAGAATGTGCCTAACTAGCATAGCTTTTCCTTCATATATTAAATAACTTTTTTTTTTTTTTGTATTGAGCAGCAATCTTTTAATCTCAGGGAGAAAGCAAAGTCTGTCTCTGTAGGGGTTTTGCTTTGTGGATTACTCTCTAGCATTAAGAAGAGAACCTGTACGTCAGGTGCTTATTTGTTTGGATTCTTTTAAAACAAGAAAGAGCATAAATATATTGAATCCTGGATGTCTACTTTAAAATCATCTATCAAATATCTTTCTTAAACAGTAGAGAGTACTTGACGGTTATTTCTGTTTAACAGCTTCTGCAAAAGAAGAATTATCTAGCCCCAACTATAATTCTTGAAAACCTGGTATTTGCTTGGCTTCTTTATTACAAGATTCTAGCAACTTTTGTATCATAAGACACATTCATTTTCTTAATCCAGTCTATCATTGTTGGACATTTGGGTTGGTTCCAAGTCTTTGCTATTGTGAATAATGCCGCAATAAACATACGTGTACATGTGTCTTTATAGCAGCATGATTTATAGTCCTTTGGGTATATACCCAGTAATGGGATGGCTGGGTCAAATGGTATTTCCAGTTCTAGATCCCTGAGGAATCGCCACACTGACTTCCACAATGGTTGAACTAGTTTACAGTCCCACCAACAGTGTAAAAGTGTTCCTATTTCTCCACATCCTTTCCAGCACCTGTTGTTTCCTGACTTTTTAATGATTGTCATTCTAACTGGTGTGAGATGGTATCTCATTGTGGTTTAGATTTGCATTTCTCTGATGGCCAGTGATGATGAGCATTTTTTCATGTGTTTTTTGGCTGCATATGGCACATATACACCATGGAATACTATGCAGCCATAAAAAATGATGAGTTCATGTCCTTTGTAGGGACATGGATGAAATTGGAAATCATCATTCTCAGTAAACTATCACAAGAACAAAAAACCAAACACTGCATATTCTCACTCATAGGTGGGAATTGAACAATGAGATCACATGGACACACGAAGGGGAATATCACACTCTGGGGGCTGTTGAGGGGTGGGGCGAGTGGGGAGGGATAGCATTGGGAGATATACCTAACGCTAGATGACGAGTTAGTGGGTGCAGCGCACCAGCATGGCACATGTATACGTATGTAACTAACCTGCACAATGTGCACATGTACCCTAAAACTTAAAGTATAATAATAAAAAAAGAAAAATGTTCACACACACACACACACACAAAAAGACACATTCAGTATCTGTCTTATAAAAACGTTATGCATAATGTGTATGCATAATGTGGTGTGCCAATATACATATGTTGATGTGTATTGTGTATGCCTTCCAGCTGTAGTGAAATTTAGCTCTTCACCAATCATCAGTGACTGAATTTTCTTTCTTGGGACCCCAGAAACTTAGACTGTCTACAGTTTCATTTGCTATATTAGCGTTGCACAGAAATTATTAAAATGTAATGAGAAAGAAAAGGGGAGAAATATAAACTCTATGGTTTAGCTTCTAATCATAAATCAACATAATTGACTTCACCCCATTTATCTCAACTTGAACAACCAAATTTTTCAAAAGCTTCTTAACATCTCTGATTTATAAAAAACACAGATTGGGTTAAGAAACCTTGAAAATATAATATCAGAAAGTTCTACATGTACGCCTTTCTTTACAATTTTCAGAAGATATAGTCCAACGCTATCAATTTTTTATAGGCACCTGAGACTCTAGATATTAAAATACTTAGATTTTAGAATATTTATCTTCATTTCTAGCATCTAACCACTAGATGCTAAAAGCAACCTTAAGAATTCCACTCCCAGTCATGAATCAGGCTTAGAGTAAAATCTATTGATCTATAGAAAACCCTAGAAAATCACAAGGAATGTGTGTCAGCTCCATGAGCTCATCAATAATTGTTCCCCTTCCACACTATGCTTCAGCCACGGTGATCTTGCCATTTTTCCTAACACGATAAGCAGGCTTATGCCAGGAGTCTTTACACTTTTTGATCCTACTGCATAATTACAGGCTTATTCTCTTGTTCTTTCATTTAGGTATTGACAGTCTCCATGTAAGCAAATTATTTTATAAGTTTTTTATATACAACCAAAACGTACTTGGTAATATAGAATCCTGCCTAATGTATTTTATATGGAATTGATAACCTCACTTAAGAACAAAGCAAAAGCAAAACAAAGCCGGCTTTATACTATTACCACCTAATATTCAGGAATCCAAATTAGTAGATTGACTTATTTTACTCAACGTTAGTAACAGGTAAAATTATAAATCTTCTAAATATAAATAAACTCATGTGAAAATACAATTATCGCTTCATAAATAACAAGTAATTAAAAAAATTGTCTAGACCTTGGAAACCAATAATTATTTATATCAACCAATCAAAGAGTTAATCAAGAAAGACAAGTTGAAACCGCTGGGAAATTTTTTGCGGTCTTTGCATTCAACCATCCAGGCACAGATGACGTTTCAAAAGTTAAATTCCACATTCGCAAAGTGAGGCTGGGATTTCTGATCTAGGAAGGTGTGAAGAATAATGTCTGTGCTAATTTATTGAGTTTGTTCTACCCTTTAGGGGTTACATAAATTATTGATGAGGCACACTTATCTCTGTTTTGTCTGATGCAGAACTGATTTATAGTTAAAAATGTTAAGCACAGGTAACTAACATTTAAGTCCTGGGAGCAAAGGATACCGTTGATGTATAAAATAGACAACGTGTAAAATAAAGTAAAAGATGAATAGATCTTTATTTCAAAAAAAATCTTGACTTTCAAAAGTATTAAAATAACCTGAGGTATTTAAAAACTTAGTTACATAAACATAACAGAAGATATTTTCAAAAATGCGCAAAACTCTAAGCATTAATTCAGAAAATTAGCTATAATTTTAATGTGAGAAGAAAGTGAAGGCTAACGCAGAATTTTAAGCTATCTCCCTACATGATAAAGGGGAGTGTTAATACAGACCCAATTTTAAAAATTGATATTTTTATATTACACTCTGTCAAAACGCTGTTGGAATTCCAGCTAAGCCTTAAACAACAAAGGGCACATCTTGAATAAATAAAGAATACCTGACTATCAGAGTTAACATGTTATAATATTTTAAATATAGCATTCTAAAAAATAAAAGCACAAAAAATCCCACAAATTTATGGCTAATGTGAAGTAAAAACACAAACTGAAACTGTCCTAAACTTTTTAGACAAAAACTTTAAACCTGCAGTTTTAAGTATGAACAAATAAAAAATGACAGATGAAAGATAAAAGATCAACATGGGAATATCAGTGAGATTGGAACAGGAATTAAAAGAAATTAAAGAATGTGTAAGCAGAAACTCAGTTGTATGTAAGAAAACCAATCACCCCTTATTCAGCCTGTGACCCAGGAAATAATCAGCTATATGTATGTTATGACCCTAAGTGCTTACCCTGTGAATTCTGGTTTGAGGTACATATTAAATCAGAGGGAGAAAAAGAAGGAGAGTTTATAGGTCAACATGAAGAAGCCCCTCCCTCCTATAAAGGGCCTATTCTCTTGTACTTTGATGCCTGCCAGGCTGGGGATGATCATAATCTTAAAACAAAACAAAACAAAACAGAAACAGAAGCAGTCCGCGGTGGTTTGACACAAGAAAGGTTTAACAGCAGCAGTCTCAAATATCTAGATGGAGACCACAAATCGGATACCCAGACTGTAACATTCAGTGATCTATACTAACACAGCTCCTTAAAGCCAGAGCTACCTTTTTGGTCTAAAGGATGCACAGCACTATTACAAGTTGATAGACAAGGAGCTGGCTCTGGAATTCTGCTACTAACTGTCAAAAAGGCTAGAAGTAAGCATTTTGATCAGTCAATGCCTGAGCTTTCCCCATCAACCAAAAATGTGTTTGTTCAACTAGCTGAAAACATAGCTGGCGGCTGAGGAATTTCCTCATGCTATGTAAGTGTAGGAACTAATACGGGGGACCAGTGGCCATGGGGGGGCAAAGGAATTAATGCCACAAGATAACTTCACTTCGCCAAACCCTACCAATAAAGCCAGCAGTCTCAGCCAGTGTTTGCTTGTTGCAAATCTCCATAATTGGAAAGTCTTGTATTGCCTGATGGGAAAAGGCAGAATGCTTAAAAGGTAACTTAACTCTTTGTTCAGGGCTCAGTCCTTCAGAGGTTAATCTGAGTGGGCCGGTGCATCTACATAATAAGTATCCTCCTCAACCCCATCGGTCCCTCTGACTCCTTAAAAAAGTCCTTCCAGAAGACAAATTAAAAAAGAAAACCTGAAAAATCTAGAGATAAGAAGCACAATTACTTGGATTAAAAAAAAACTATTAAATAACTTTAACAACAGATTGAGCTTCAGTAAATCTGAAGACATAAAAATTGAAACAGCCTAAAATGAGAGCAAATATCTTTGTGTCTTGTCAATGAAAATACTTTAAAATTTCCTATTCTGGAGTGTTCTGAAGAAGAAATAAGAAACCACTTGAAAAGAAAGGTTGGTGGAAATTTTACAGAAGTGCTGATTTTTCACCAACTGTTTCCTGTTCTACTTTCCAGCCCCTTTGTATCTCCATCTTATAAATTGGGCAAATAATATTTTTCTTTCAGAATAGTGTTAAAAACTCAGGTGAAATGGCTATTGAAGAGCTAATACTGGAAGACCAGGTTAGAGTAAGAAAAGAGTTATTGGTCCTTCAAACTTCAGAGGGATATGACACATGTACTGTAAAACAGGAGCTAATCTTATTCTAAAGAGTTCTTAGCTTTGGCACTAACACTATTGCTCATGGCCTTATAAATGTTTGTTATCAAATCTATCTAATTAAACCCTGTATGTGGTGTCTTTGAGTAATCATCTTGATTTTTTTCTTGACCTATTTTCTCTTAAAAGGTTTTTTTTAACTCAGAAAGGGCAACATCATTAATCAGTAGAGAAATACAAATCAGAATCACAATGAGATACCACCTCAGGCCTGTCAGAATGGTGACTATTAAAACGTCAAGAAATAACAGATGCTGGAAAGTCTGTGGAGAGACAGGAAGACTTCTAAACTGTTGGTGGGAAAGTAAATTAGTGTCCACACTGTGGAAGACAGCGTGGTAATTTGTTCAAGGATCTAGAAACAACATTGACCGAGCAATGTCATTACTGGCTATCTACCCCCAAAATACAAATGTTTCATATTTGAAAGATACCTGCACGTGTATGTTTATTGCAGTACAATTAACAGCAGCAAACACATAGAATCAACTCAAATGCCGACTTTACTCAGAGAACATTATCAACTAGATACATAAAATGTAGTACATATACACAATGAAATACTTTGCAGCTTCAAAAAGCAATTAGATCATGTCTCTTGCAAGGACATGGATAAAGATGGAACCATCATCCTCAGCAAAGTAACACAGGAACAGAAAACCAAACACTACATTTCCTCACTCATGAGTCAGAGCTGAACACTGAGAACACCTGACACAGAAAAAGAAACCACACTGGGGGTGGAGCCAAGATTGTGAATAGGAACAGCTCCAGCCTGCAGCTCCCAGTGTGAGTGAAGCAGAAGATGGGTGATTTCTACATTTCCAACCGAGGTACTGGGTTCATCTCACTGGGGAGTGTCGGAAAGTGGGTGAAGCAAGAGTAAACACATTCAGAAGCTAGCAGAAGGCAATAAATAACTAAGATCAGAGCAGAACTGAAGGAAATAGAGACACAAAAACCCTTCAAAAAATCAATGAATCCAGGAGCTGGTTTTTTGAAAACATCAACAAAATTGATAGACATCTTGCAAGACTAATAAAGAAGAAAAGAGAAAAGAATCAAACAGATGCAATAAAAAATGAAAAAGGGGATATCACTACGATCCAACAGAAATACAAACTACCATCAGAGAATACTGTAAACACCTCTATGCAAATCAACTAGAAAATCTAGAAGAAATGGATAAATTCCTTGACACATACCCCCTCCCAAGACTAAACCAGGAAGAAGTTGAATCTCTGAAGAGACCAATAAGAGGCTCTGAAATTCAGGCAATAATTAATAGCTTACCAAACAAAAAAAGTCCAGAACAAGATGGATTCACAGCCAAATTCTACCAGAGGTACAAGGAAGAGATGGTACCTTTCCTTCCGAAAGTATTCCAATCAATAGAAAAAGAGGGAATCCTCCCTAACTCATTTTATGAGGCCAGCATCATCCTGATACCAAAGCCTGGCAGAGACACAACAAAAAAAGAGAATTTTAGACCAATAACCCTGATGAACATCGATGCAAAAATCCTCAATAAAATATTGGCAAACCAAATCCAGCAGCACATCAAAAAGTGTATCCACCATGATCAAGTGGGCTTCATCTCTGGAATGCAAGGCTGGTTCAACATACACAAATCAATAAACATAATCCAGCATATAAAGAGAACCAATAACAAAAACCATATGATTATCTCAATAGATGCAAAAAAGGCCTTTCACAAAATTCAACAATGCTTCATGCTAAAAATTCTCAATAAATTAGGTATTGATGGGAATATCTCAAAATAATAAGAGCTATCTATGACAAACCCACAGCCAATATCATACTAAATGGGCAAAAACTGGAAGCATTCCCTTTGAAAACTGGCACAAGACAGGGATACCCCCTCTCACCACTCCTATTCAATATAGTGTTGGAAGTTCTGGCCAGGGCAATCAGGCAGAAGGAAAAAATGGTATTTAATTAGGAAAAGTGGAAGTCAAATTGTCCCTGTTTGCAAATGACATGATTGCATATCTAGAAAACCCCATTGTCTCAGCCCAAAATCTCCTTAAGCTGATAGACTTCAGCAGAGTCTCAGGATTCAAAATCAATGTGCAAAAATCACAAGCATTCTTAGACACCAATAACAGACAAATAGAGAGCCAAATCATGAGTGAACTCCCATTCACAATGGCTTCCAAGAGAATAAAATACCTAGGAATCCAACTTACAAGGGACGTGAAGGACCTCTTCAAGGAGAACCACAAACCACTGCTTAATGAATTAAAAGAGGATACAAACAAATGGAAGAACATTCCATGCTCATAGGTAGGAAGAATCAATATCGTGAAAATGGCCATACTGCCCAAGGTAATTTATAGATTCAATGCCATCCCCATCAAGCTACCAATGACTTTCTTCACAGAATTGGAAAAAACTACTTTAAAGTTCATATGGGACCCAAAAAGAGCCCGCATTTCCAAGTCAATCCTAAGCCAAAAGAACAAAGCTGGAGGCATCACGCTACCTGACTTCAAACTATACTACAAGGCTACAGTAACCAAAACAACATGGTACTGGTACCAAAACAGAGATATAGACCAATGGAACAGAACAGAGCCCTCAGAAATAATGCCACATATCTACAACCATCTGATATTTGACAAACCTGACAAAAACAAGAAATGGGGAAAGGATTCCCTATTTAATAAATGGTGCTGGGAAAACTGGCTAGCCATATGCAGAAAGCTGAAACTGGATCTCTTCCTTACACCTTATACAAAAATTAATTCTAGATGGATTAAAGACTTAAATGTTAGACCTAAAACCATAAAAACCCTAGAAGAAAATGTAGGCAATACCATTCAGGACATAGGCATGGGCAAGAACTTCATGTCTAAAACACCAAAAGCAATGGCAACAAAAGCCAAAATTGACAAATGGGATCTAATTTAACTAGAGAGCATCTGCACAGCAAAAGAAACTACCGTCAGAGAGAACAGGCAACCTACAGAATGGGAGAAAATTTTTGCAATCTACTTATCTGACAAAGGGCTAATATCCAGAAGCCACAATGAAATCCAACATATTTACAAGAAAAAAAGAAACAACCTCATCAAAACGTGGACGAAGGATACGAACAGACACTTCTTAAAAGAAGACATTTATGCAGCCAAAAGACACATGAAAAAATACTCATCATCACTGGCCATCAGAGAAATGTAAATCAAAACCACAATGAGATACCATCTCACACCTGCTAGAATGGCAATCATTAAAAGTCAGGAAACAACAGGTGCTGGAGAGGATATGGAGAAATAGGAACACTTTTACACTGTTGGTGGGACTGTGAACTAGTTCAACCATTGTGAATGTCAGTGTGGCAAGTCCTCAGGGATCTAGAACTAGAAATACCATTTGACCCAGCCATCCCTATTACTGGGTATACACACAAAAGATTACAAAACATGCTGCTATAAAGACACATGTACACGTATGTTTATTGCGGCAGTATTCACAATAGCAAAGACTTGGAACCAACCCAAATGTCCAACAATGATAGACTGGATCAAGAAAATGTGGCACATATACACCATGGAATACTATGCAGCCATACAACATGTTGAATTCATGTCCTTTGTAGGGCCATGCATGAAGCTGGAAACCATCATTCTCAGCAAACTATCGCAAGGACAAAAACCCAAACACCGCATGTTCTCACTCACAGGTGGGAATTGACCAATGAGAATACACAGACACAGGAAGAGGAACATCACACACTGGGGCCTGTTGTTGGGTGGGGAGAGAGGGGAGGGATAACATTAGGAGATATACCTAATGTTAAATGATGAGTTAATGAGTGCAGCACACCAACATGGCACATGTATACATATGTAACTAACCTGCACATTTTGCACATGTACCCTAAACCTTCAAGTATAATAAAAAAAGAAAAAATAAATAAATAAAAATACAAAAATTAGTCAAGCATGGTGGTGTGTGTGTAGTCCCAGCTATTCAGGAGGCTGAGGCAGGAGAATTCCTTCATCCCAGGAGGCACTGGCTGCGGTAAGGTGAGACTGCACCCCAGCCTGGGTGACAGAGCAAGACTCTGTCTCAAAAAAAGATAAAAACTTTGGAAATATGACTGGTGTTGATGGAAACAGAGTATGAGTGAGGCTGATATGGGGAAACAGGAGGATTTATTTAGGTGCACCAGCTCAGTGAGCTTATATCCAAAAAGGCTGAGTATTGAATAAAGACTGAGCAGGGTTTTTATGAGCAAACTTACAGAAGCAGACCTAAAGCAACTAATTATACAATGAACAGTTATGTAATTTACAGCATAATTGTTGACTTGCATAACTTCTTGCCTTGCATAGCTGGGTTTTGCAGCTAGGTTGAAAGAGAAACAGGAACATACAGATTTTACGAAATACAAGCATTGGTAAACATAGTCATAATTAATGCTTCAGAGAAGGAGAGACAGTAAAGTAATTTGCTTTCCTTTTGAACTTTGCTTCAGTGTAGGGTATTTGTGACCCATTCCCTTGGCCTCAACTTTTTAGACAGTGTTATTTTATAACTGTCTTGGAGTGAGATAGCTACACAGAGAAAAACATGTTTTCTTTTCATTTGAACCCTTGTCTTGCCAAATTTTTCTGTTTTTTTAAAAAATCATTTTATAGGATAAATTTAATCGAAGGCATTAGTATCATTTTATTCTTTATGGGAAAGCATGTTTTCTTCTTTTGGCACAGGTTGACATTTAGTTAGAGCTATTAACTGAGTAGCAGTGGGCCTGGCTATGTTGTTTTGGGGCTATGTAGTATGAGTAGAGGGTGGGCATCATTTTTTGGGTGCTTTTTTATATCAAGGTTATGTGGGGAAAGTGTTAGCTTTCCTGTTTCTTTTGGCTTTTGACTTCCCTGCCTTTTGGTGTTCCAGATAATGCACTATTGCCACTTTTTCTGGAGCATATACAGCTGCTAAGAGCTGTAGGATTTTTTCTGTCCACTTTATTTATTTGCCTCCAGTTGTCAAGAAATTTTCTTTTTATATATAGTTCTATGAACATGTAGTGTGGTAAAAGCATATTTAGAATGTGTTTAAATATTGACCTTTTTTTCTTTTGCAGCAAAAGGGCTCTTGTTCGGTCTATTAATTTTGCCTTTTGGTCTCATGTTCCAGTAGGCAAAGATTGAGCTTCTATCATTGAGTTTAATGTTACCACTGCATACTCGGCTTGTTGGATTTTTTTCTAGCTCAAAACTCTTTCAGTTATGAAGTATTCAACATCTGGGTTTTTGAGGGATTGATCTGTAAGATCTCCTGGTTCAGCAAATACGTGATCCACTGTTTAGACACAGTTATGGAGGGGAGCATCAAATTTGACTGGGAGCAGGGTGGTTGGGCTTAAGTTGTTTGCTGTATTTTAAGTAATGTAAGGGTTTTCATATAGAAGTCCTTGGTACTGCGTTATTCTCAGATTTGACAACTAATGATGGCTTATTTGTTCATCAAAGTTTTGACTGAGTGTGGCACATGGACTGTTAGCTGCTGTCTCAAAGTAAGTGTGTTATCCTCTTGCATTAGCAAGGCAGTGGTGGCTAATGCCTTAAGGCAAGGAGGCCATCCTAGTGCCACAGAGTCTAATTGTTTAGATTAGTATTTGACTGGACAATGCTATAATTTTATAATTTCAGTTAAGAACCACATAGCCATTTCTTTTCATTTATGCAGGTACAGAAAGAAAGGCTAAGTTACATTTGGCAGACCAAAGGCTGGGACTTGAGTTAAGGGTTTTTTTGATTTTTTTAAATGATATTTGCTGTTTAGTTTGCCAGAGGAGGGTTTCGTTTTTACCCCTTTTGTAATATTATATAATGGCTTAGCCATCAGTGAAAAATTTATGATTTAGATATGGTGGAATTTTTCTTCTTTTAAGAATTTTTTAATGTAATGCCTAGTGGTTTGTGTCAGGAGTGTACAAACGGCCTGTTTCTGCTTATGGCCAAGCTGGCATTCCACATGGCTTACTATGAAACCTACATATTTGACATTTTTATGAATAATTGGTCCTTTTTTAAAAGATAATTTTAGCCTGTTTTTCATAGGAGATGGAGGAGGTCTTGAGTTTTTTGATAACAGTCCTCCTGGGTTGGGGCTGCTAGAGGAAGGTCATCCACATACTGCAACAAGGCACAGTTAACATTTGGCAGGTTGTAGGCTTCAAGGTCAGTGCTTCCCTAAAGACTGTAGGAGAGTCTTTGAACTTGCGGGAGCCTGGCCCAGGTGAGTTGAACAACTTATTTGTTTTATTGAAATGCAAATATAGGGTGACTAACTGGGGCTAAGCAGATATAAAAGAATACATTCTTTAAATTTAGGACTGCAAATCAGGTAGCACTTGCTGGAATGAGATTTATTAAAATACACATGTTCCAAAAGTGGAGTGTTTTAGAGCAATTGACATCGAACTAAGACTTCATGTTGGTAAGGCCAGTTTAAATATTTACAGATACCTGGAATAGCTTCTCAGGGGACTGGGTACTGATGAACCCAAATCGGAGTTTCTTTTGGTTTTAACATGACTACCACCTGTGCATGATGTACAGCTAATCCAAGTAGGTTGCCTTTAACCCATACTCCAGAAATGTTATTAACTAAGTGAAATAATTTTTTTTTATCCCACCTGCAATTCTAATTTGCTGCTTGCACTTTCTTTGTATAAAGTTTCCATTCCTTAGCCTGCAGGATGATAAGGGTTAGCACCATGCTTTTTTGGAGAGTCAGAAAAAAAGTTGTTTTTTTTTTTTTTGCAGCTGAAATGTAATTGGTGCTTTCAGTTTTTGGAGTAATTTTTTTTTTTCTTAACAAGGGAACTGGACAATTCAGGAGGTATAGGAATTTATGTTGAACTTCCCATCCTTTGATGACACACCTCCTTACCAGAACAGCTTTTTTCTCTGAGATTCCTGTGGCTTTTATAATAGTTTTATAGCTTCAGATAGTGGCCCTATGGGTTGAGTCAGTATTGAATGTGTAGCCCTGGTGTTTACATAAAGTCCATCAGCTGGCCTTCAACTTTTAATGTGACCATGGGCCAATGGAGTTGTAATAAGAAAAAGCCTGGTCTGTCCTAGTACCCATATCCTTTAGTGCCAGCCAGCCTGTTTAGATTCGTATTTGATTTTCCCACAGTGAGGCAGCCCTTAGCTGGACTCTTTTATACCACAGTCCTGATTATACTTTTTATTACCTTCTGGACATTTATTCTTTCAGTATTTTTCTTTTGCATCACACACATTGTTTTCTCTCTAGCCTCGGCTGGCTTTTAAATTTTTGACTAAATTGACATCTTTCACATGCACGTGCACATCCACATTCTTGTATATTGCTAGTCATTTTTTTAATGAGAGCTGCTGCTAAGAGATTGGCCTTTTTTAAACCTCTGATTTGCTTTTTTTTTTTTTCTTTGCTTCCTGGTGATGGTTAACCTACATTTTGGTGGCCATTTCTGTAAGCTGGGTTGTATTCGTGCCTGCAAAACCATGTACTTTTTGCAGCTGGTGCATTGGCTTCTAGCCCTTGATGGGATGCCTGAGTTATCCTCTGGCACTCCTCCATGTTGAACAATGTTAAGATAAGTTATCTTCAATTTAGCCAGGTTGGATTGTGTGTTAGAAAGGTGGACTGTGTTAGATTTATGAGAGCTTGGGGCTTTTCCTTGTAGGAGTTAGTGTGTTGATTTACATTTAGGAGATTAGTGGTTGAAAAGGGCTGATAGAGGAAGGTTTGCTGCCCCCCACACCAGGATGTGGCACTGGTCATTATAACAGATGAGTCCTTGCATTTCCCTGAGAGGTATTTACATAGCTTGACCATGATCAGATTTGAGGCAGCCTGGTTCACTATCCTGAATTCCATCACTGGCCTCTCAAGGCTCCAATTCTTCCCTCTGGGGTGAAACCTGGGGTGTACTGGCAATGGAACCTAGCTCCTGGGGGGCTGTTTGCCTCAGCAAAGGGAGGTAGGCTATGAAAAATGGAGGAGAATTTTTTTTTCCTTTTGTAGTTTTTTAAAACTGGGTTTCCTTTCTGTCCTTGGGACTTTCCTTTTAACTCAGTGTTTGCTGGTGAAGCTGCTTCTATTTTCACTTTTGGCTCGGCCTGCGCTACAAGTGTTTTGCAATAAGCTGTGAAGCAGGGCTGGATTCATGTTGTTCTTGTTTGTATTATATTTAATTATGAGTTAATATAAGAAAATTGGTCTGGGTACCCTGGCTATACTCAGACCCCTGTCATTACCTCAAACTCATGACCAATTCTTTCTATGTGTATAGTTTTTTGGGTCACCTATTTAATACCAAAAGGGGGCCATTTTAGTTTACAGAGAGCTTTTTACCTTTGCAGGGTTAGCTTAATTTTATAGTTTCCTGTAAACCCTTTCTTAAAGTTTTTTTTAGCATATATTTGAATGATGTATATTGTGACAACTCTCTTCCCATTTCTTTTCAGTTATGATGCAGTGTACTCGTGCTCACTTTTTACCTTTGTTTCCAGCCAGTTAGACCATCTCCTATTATGGGGGTTTTTAGATACTACTTAGCTTTGGAGAGTTTCTTAAGCCCAACACAATTGCTGAAGTTGTGGGGTAGCTTCTTTTAGCCATATGTGGATCACCACTAGTCTTGATCAGCCCCACACTTGGCTTGGAACACATTCTTCACTAAGAGACTTGTGGTTCCTCACTTTATGGCCGATTAGCCTAGTTAGGCCTCACCACTCACACATCATCCTTCTACCAGTTCTCATGTTCCTGGTTGGGGTGGCGAGTCACTTTCACCACCTCCAGTTTCCTTCTGAGCTGATTTAGTGAGCCACTGTCACATGCTGTGTTGGTTGAGGTGTAAGTTTCTTCTGAATTGGTGAACCACTCTTGCGGCCTGCAGCACCTCTGGGTTGGATTACCGGTTATAACCTAGGAGGTGATTAGGCTCCCTTTTGGTCCTTGTGGGATGTGTCCTGCCTTGGGTCCCAATACCTTACTGTGGTTTCTGAAGTGAGCTGTTCCTGGAATCGTCCTATAACCCATTAGGTACCATTGCACTGCTTGGTAGGGGCACGAGGTCACAAAATGGCTGATCTCCCCTCCAGGCTGAAGTTCTCCCAGTGGTGCTCCTTGGGTCACAGGACTCCTGAGACCCAGGGCTTAAGCCCCAGGGGCAAAGGAGACAGGAAACCTGTCATCTCCACTCCTGGCTGACTGGCCAATAATGTTGTGGGAAGCAGAGGACCACAGAGATTAATATGGGGAAATAGGAGGATGTATTTAGGTGCCCTGGCTCAGCAGACTTATATCCAAAAATGCTGAGCATTGAACAAAGACTGAGGGGGATATTTGTAAGCCAAATTACAAAAGCAGAACTACAGAAGCTAATTTGACAATGACAGGTTACATAATTTATAGCATAACTGTTGAGTTAGCATAACTTTAGCCTTGCATAGCTTGTAGCCTTGTAGCTGCATTGAAAAGACAAAAAAAAAAACAGTAAGCTTCAAATCTTACTAAATACAAGCATTGGGAAACATAGTCATAATTAATGTTTCAGAGAAGAAGAGACGTTATAGATATTTATTTTTCTTTTCTTTTCAGTGCAGACACTGAAGCTTGAGCCTGGAATTGTGGAGCCAGTTCTCTCTGCTGTGGGGCCCATGTATGGGTAGAAGTCTCCTCATGACTCAAATCACAGCCTTGGTAACCCACTAGTCCAGTTCCTAAAAACACCCACTCCTTAGTGTTTCAAGAATCATGCTCTAGAGTCCACTGCCACATTTGAATTTATTGCAATGTTATGGAAATGAGAATTTTATCTAGGCCTGGCACTGTGGCTTACACCTGTCATCTCAGCACTTTTGGAGGCAGAGCTGGGCAGTTTAACTGAGGTCAGGAGCTTGAGACTAGCCTGGCCAACATAGTGTAGTACCATTTCTACTAAATATACAAAAATTAGCCGAGTGTTGTGGCCTACTCCAGTCATCCAGGCTACCTGGGAGGCTGAGGCAGGAGAAACACTTGAACTCAGGAGGCAGAGGTTGCAATGAGTGGAGATCATGTCTCTGCACTCCAGTCTGGGTGACAGAGTAAGACTCTGCCCTCACTCACCAAAAAACAAAAACATAAACAAAAACAAAAAACAAAAATGTATCTGTTTATATTTCAATGCCAAAATATTTTAAATGACTTTTTAATGATGTGTATAATTTTTCCAAGTTTAGAAATAAACTCCATTTGTTTGCTTTCACATATTTTGTACATTTGTTTTTATCTTAATAAACTGAGTCTATTGACAGAACTATGAAGATGCTTATTTATACCATATCTCATGTTCTACATGTACAGTTTAGCAAATATGCATTATCCACTTATTTGCTAAAAGCCATCCTTTTTTCTCTTCATAATTTAGATGATTCTCAAATATCACACATCATTTTGCAATCTGATTCTAACTTCTATACTGCCAAATGGTCTGCAAAATTAACCTAAAAAAAAAAAAAAAAACAAACAAAATAAGTGAAGGCTGACAGAGTAAGTAACGTGATTCAGCTGAAGCTAGTCAATCAGAAAGTTGTACTTACCGAAACTTTTGGTCTGGAGGGTTGGAGAGGCTGTGCCTTGACTCAGTGGGTGATTGCTGGGGCATTCTGTCAGAACAAGGACTGGGGAACCCACATGTAATCTGTCCAGACCTAAGGTTCAGAAGGAACCAAGGCAAGAATATTACCAGGTGCATGAAGATACCAAGCGGTTTCTAAAGAGCTCTATTAGTTCAAAAATAAATTGTTATCCTTGCAAATAGCAAATTATGATGCATAAGATCCACAAAACTAATGATTCAAACACCTAAGTTAATTGCACTGGCAATAATAAAATGCATGAAAGTAACAGGCAGCAAAGGAAAGACAGCTCTTAGTATCTAAACACCTCTGTGTGTAAAGGAGACACTAGACCTTGCCAGTCTGTCCTGCTGACTCTCACAGCAACCCTCTATCATGGGTGGAGAGATGGAGGGTAGCTACCCAACTCCAGAGCAGCACACAACGCTTTGTCCAGGTGGCTAACCTTCCAGATACATTTCACTTTAAGGTTCTTTTTGCTTTCGGAAAAGGGGTAGAGAAGACTTGTCTGGAGGAAATGCCACTGTGTAGCCTCAACACTGCACTGCCCATGAGTGCTTCCAGGTGCCAGTCCTTTAATCTTTAAGTTTTTTTCACTTGAGGCTGCTCAGAGACAACTCTGTCCTCTGCAAATATATGGCTTTCTAGAGAACTGGAAGTAATGTTTTTGAAAGCTTTCAGCAAGTGCAGAGATGGTGAGCTCTTTGCTGGTAGTGGGCTTTTGGTATGATGTTAACGACTCTCAGATAGCAACTTCTGAAAGCCTTTTCCAAGGGTCTGTCCTCTTACTTAAGCTCTTTGCCTCTTGCTTAAGCTCTTTGACCCTTGCTTAGTATTAACTACAAACTCAAGGTCAGAATTGGAAGGACTACCCTCCACAGCTCCATTTGGAAAATTTGGGATCCTTGATGTTACCATACCTCTTTTCTGTTTAAGAGAATCGTTCAAGAAATCCTGATGTATAGCACCATTGCAAGGCACCATATTGCCACTTATTAATCCACTGACAGAATGATGGATCAGATGCTGCTTTGGATTACAGTACACTTTATTCTCTAGGGCTGCAGAGTACAAAATGCTAATTTCAAAAGTGAGTGGACACAGAAGAGAAGAAAATTCATGTAATTGAGAATATTATTGTTTTGAAAAGTTGAAGAGAGCAATAATAAGGACAAACTTCCACATTAAACAGTTTCTGATGCCATGGTAGTGATAACCACTAATATTTATTGAGGGCTTATTGTACCAGCTACAGCTTCATGTGTCTTTTGTAACACAGTACAACTTCAGAATCCATTATGCACAATTTCCACATCCCCACAGCTCTGAAAATTGAAAATTTATTCATAACTTAGGGGCATAGCCTAGCCAGACATGAACTCATTTGGTTAAATACTATGACCTGAAATGACGTGAACCCATATATTATCTTTATTTGCCCCGGCATGAATATTCATACAGTTGACTGGAAAATAACTAATGCATTTCACTACAGCAGGTACTACAGAATTCACATGCTGTGGATTTCGTGTGCTGTGAAATCCACAGCATACGGCATGAGTTTCAGACAAAAAGTAAGAACCTGCATTCACAAAAACACTGTGGTCAAGGAATTCTCACAGCTTCCGTTTTATAGATGGGAGACTAAAGCTTATTGACCCTGGGTCACACCGTTAGCAGGTTCAAGAGCTACTGCACTTTCCTAAGGCAAAGCCAGTGCCTGTGTCTCACTGTCCTGAAATGCCTTCCAATGAAGCTGTGAGAAAGAAGCTTGCCCTCCTCATTGCATGCAAGTGCAAAAGTTCTATTCCCATTCAACTATTTTTATTAACATGAGACTATGGTTTCAGCTGTGAGAAGTTTCACAAACAGAACTGAAAGGAAAATGAGACCAGAAAGGAGAAGAAATGTGTAAAGAGTTAAAAATAAGTCAAGTGCTGGTAGAAGAGAGCAAGGAACTTATGAGGAAAAAGTGCAAAGGGGAACGAGGAAGGCTCAGAACAAGTTTGAGAAACCAGTTAACTGGTAACACAAACACACTTTCTTTGAGCTTGAAAGCAACTGAAGAAGAAAGCATCTAAGCTTCAATATCCTTATTATGAAGTAGGAAGGGGCACAGATGTATCCACAGTGAACACACAATAATAAAATCATACCAATCATACCAATCACCACTTATTGAGTGTTTTCTTATGTCCCAGGCACTGCGTTGTAACCCATCTCCTTTCATCACTTTCATCATGGCTCAATAGGCATTATTTTCCCCATTAAAAATGAGGAAACTGAGGCCCAATGAAGTTAAGGTAACATGTCCAAGATTAAACAACTAACTTCAAAACAGGGATCCAAAAGAACAGTTGTCTGATTCTGAGAGCAATGTTCTCTTTGCTAAACTGCCTTGCTCCTCCTGTGTGTGCATATATCTATCAAGGAATCCATAAAATTACTGAACTGCTGTTAACATTGAGGTAACAAATAGAAAAGAAATTTCTAAGATAAACCTGGAGACTTCTATGTCACCACCACGCCTTTCCCATTTGAGACACAAGGCTCTCCCAAGCCATGAGGCACCTATGAAACAAGTGACTTTTGCTGATGATCCAGATGGTATTACCAAAGTGGATAGGGAGTTTTACTTCTAAGATGACACACGTTTCTGTGGCTTTTCCTCTAACATAACAATTACTTAATATTCAATAAATTAGGGTCATTACATTTTCACAAGCATCAGAAGCTTTACACACAGAAAAATATTCATAGATTTAAAATGTCTCTAACCTGTCTGAGTTTGCTTCAGTTGCAATACAAAATCGGTCACCTGAATACTTAACTTTTTACGGAAGTTTGTAATCTAGTATCTGGGCCTTCAGCCACCCAGAATGCTCATTCTGAAAAGATTCAGAATCAGAAAAGAAATTATTGCAAAACAAATCACGGCTTGCTTCACAAGGAGACGTTTTCTTATCCTGTTTGTACTCTTTTAATTGAGAATATTTATGCCAGTAAACAACAGGGTCCCTATTTTAAAAATGACAAACAGAACACAAACTAGGTGGGTTTAACAGATTTCACCATCTTTTTCAGTCATATCAAAACATTCTAGGGCATGTGGGCAGAAGACACGGTGAATGTTTGTAATCCTTAGGGTGAGAATCCAGAGATAACAGTGGAAAAAATCTGGCACTCTGAAAATTTTACATTTAGGTGTGTTTGCTTTCTTCTCCATGTTATTGCTATTATGAATATAAGATCATATTATCACTAGAGAATTTTCTCAGATGACAAAGAGAAACTTTACTATATTTGGGGGAGTAATGTTTGATATTAAAATAAATCTGATTTGCACAGGTGTGACTTGGGCCAAGTTTACATACTGAAGAAGTGTATTTGTATCAAAGTGGAACTGGCAAGGAGCAAGACTCACTGCATCTTGCAGTTGTACTGCAGAGCTGGCCTGTGATTTTTGAACTCCTCATGCTCAGCTATGATAGCATTTCCTGCTTTCTGCAGTTCTTTCTGAAATACCACAATTTCATGAGCCAGTGGAGCCAGATATAAGAAGGCCAAAAGAAATCCTAGTCATTATCTACCTTAAGTTTTCTTATTTCATTTAACAGAAACATTTAAACAGCTTTTACATTGTTGTTTCTTTTCTTGGTACTCATGCAATAAATATAATATTAATTCTATTTAATGATCTCAGAGTAGTCCTAACACTCAAATTTCAGAACAAAAGTATTTAGTGCATTTTATTGCAAACGTTATTACTCTTGGAGTCCTACTCCAAGTAAAAGAACTCTTTCAAATCCTCAGATTAACCTAAATAGCTGTTTCTCTCCTATACCATGAAGAGAAGGAGCTCTCTGTCTGGTCTACCTGTTGATGACATCCCCAACATCCAAAATAATCTGTGCATCTGTCAGCAGCAGTTGGGATCCAGGCAGAAAGCAGATGGCTCCTACAGACAAAGTCATCTAAGAGTCCTTTAATAAAGGGTGACTTATGCAGCATGCCCACAAATGTTGGGGAAGTTCCCTTACATAGTAACAGGGCCACTCTATGAGCACTGACTACTCTAAGGAAAGTTAAAGGCTCTAGGTATTACCTCCCTCTGCTGGCAATCTGGAAGGCCATGGAGAGGTAAAAACTACATTTATTTTGTATGTATCCTGAGAAAGAGGAAATAGCAGTAGAGGAAATTGAGGTAGGGAAGTGATAAACTCTCTGCCAAAATGTTGTTCCTTATTTTTTTTTCTGTCTCTCTTGATTAACTTACTTTTTCATTATTGCCAAAAGAAGAGTAAGGTAGGCAGAGGTTAGAATCAAACAAATCAAATCTAAAGAAGGGAGAAAACAATATTAAAGAATATGGAGGCACATTTTTTAATGAACGAAGATTCCTGGCATATCTATTTTTGTCAATTAACAAAACATTCCCAGTTGAAAATAAGGCTTATTGCACAAACTACAGACAGATGAGCTTTCAGTCAATCCCAGGTAAGATCTGAAGAATGAAATATTTGTGAGCACTTAAAAAAGGTGAATAACACAAAAGAAATAATTTCACCCAATGCAAATAAAGTCAGACTACCATACTTTCTTTGTTGAGCATAGAGCTGGTAAAAGCTGCAGGTGTAGAACTCAGTTCTGGACATATGGAACTCAGTTACTGGACATAAACAAACAAAACTATCAGAACTGAAGGATTGAAATTAACTGCAAAATGTATGATCTGTTCAAGTATTGGTGGCCTCTCAAAATTTTCTGTCTGGTCTTACTGTAAGCTGGTGATAGCATCTCAGTCTCTTTTTCATCTTAATATTTAATATGTCAAAAGCAAAACCCTAGTGTTTTTTCCTCTTAATTTGTATTTTCTAATTATAGGTGATATCACCTTTATAAAGAAGAACTCTACTTGGCAATAAACATTAGAATATTGTGATTATATATATATATATATATATATATATATATATATATCACGGTTACTGTGTATACATATATACTATATATGCATATATATAGTAATTTTTTTACTCTCATAATTCTGAGTTTCAAAAATAAACATGCATACTTAAAATTCAAAAGCTTCAACCCAGTGCTTCAGCACTACTTCTCTTCCTCTTAGCAAATCCATGGCTTTTACTTAAAGTTGCCTTTGGCCATAAATTTCTTTTATGTCAATCTACATAGAAAATTATTAATTTTTCGCAAGAAAACTGATGAAAGCCAAACTGATGTAAATGAATATACTGTTTTCTAAATTCCACAAAGCAACAATTTCACCTTCAAGAGACTCCAACTTGGCTGGTTACTGTGGCTCACAACTGTTATCTTAGCACTTTGGGAGGCCAATGTGGTAGGATCACCTGAGGTCAGGAGTTCAAGGCCAGCCTGTGTAGCATTGTAAAACCACATCTCTAACAAAATGCAAAAATTAGCCAGGCATCATGGCGGGAACCTGTAGTTTCTGCTACTCAGGAGGCTGAGGCAAGGGAATCACCTGAACCTGGGAGACAAAGGTGGTTGTGGTGACCTGATAATTACCATGGAACTCCAGCCATGGTGACAGAGTGAGACTCCATCTAAAAAAAAAAAAAAATTCCAGACTTGAGTTTGAATTTTTTCAACCTATTGGAAAGCAAAGTTTCAAACTTATACAACTAGATATTCTAGCTGCATACAAATTGACTCTCCTAATTACTATTTACCTGTATTTTCATATGTTCCTAACATCCCTTATGTAATATATGCTACTTAGTGCTTTAAAATCTCCAGTCCTTTATCTAAAAAAGATTTTTTGACAGGTTCCTGCCCTATTGCCTAGGCTGTAGTGCACTGGCGTGGTCTTGACCCACTACAACCTCTGCCTCCTGGCCTCAAGGGATCCTCCTACCTCAGCCCCCCGAGTAGCTGGGACTACAAGCACACACCACCAAGTCCGGCTAATTTTTTGTGTTTTTTATAGAGATGGGCTTTGTCAAGCTGCTCAGACTGCTCTTGAACCTCTGGGTTCAAATGACATGCCCACCTCAGCCTCTCAAAATGCTGGGACTGCAGGCATAAGCCACCACACCTGGTCCCGTTAACTAAAAATTGATGAGTTCTTCAGGAAGAACCATTGAACAAAATGTGCATTCAGCAATAAAACTGCAAAAGAATATAATCCCACAGTTTTTAGTGATGGTGCTCTCTGTATGTTTCAGTTCATGGGTCATTCTGACTCAGAGTTAGCAAGCTCTTATGAACTCCTAAATGAATGGGCCATCCTTCCATTTATGTTTTCACAGAGCAAGAATTTACTACTTAACACATATCAAGCAGCATACTGGGAACAAGTTATACAAATGTAGACAGATATAGTCACTGTCTCTAAAGACCTCACAATTTAATCAGGGAGAAATAATCACAATAAGGTATAACTTCATAACTGAGGTAAATAAAGACTGCATGCAGGAACGAGACCTAAATCATTTGCTCAGTGGGAGTCAGGGAAGATATCACCAGGGTGACAGTCCAGCTGTGTCTTGAAAGACAGTATGGTTTTATCAGGAAGAGAAAAGGATTGACATTCCAGGTGAGGAAATACAGCCATGGCGGTTTGTGTGAGGATGACAATCTTCCTCAAAGCCTTCAGAAACTCACAGTTAAATAAACAGGAATCTAGCCAGTCCCGTATCTTGCAGATGAAGTTATTAGTCTAAACACAATCCAAACATCTCAAAAAACTGTGCTTCCAACACTCATTTTTATAGCTGGAGCAAGCCCAATTCCTATCAATGCTATATAAAATTGTAAAGGGTGTGCACTTAACATTAAACAAGTAGGTCTCATTGAGAAGCCCCAAGCAAGACTTAATGCTAGGGTAAAGCCTTGCTACTTTTAACATCTGGCAGCAGCAGTTCACGATGTAGGCCAAAAATACTGCTGTAAATCCAGTGTGGTCTAAGACATACACTTAGAAACAGAATATGATTTCTTAAAAAATAGATTCAATCCCACTTGCTGAAATAGACTCCCTGCCACTCCTCATCCTCACTTTCTCTTGTCCAGTTACTTCCCAGATGACCAGATCAAATGGCCACATGGATGACCTTTGCAGCCCTGGTGACTCCTTCACCCCAGGGACCTTGAACTTTGTTCATTTCCATGACTCCATCCAATGGCAGCACAGTGCATTTGCTTTCCAGTATCCACCTGAAACCTAATCCTGCAATTCTGTACTCTTGGACAATTGTTATAATTCCACCTGCCAGTCTCTCCAGATCTAGTCCTTGATCCCTGAGACCGCTAATCCACCCTCCCTTTCCCCCTGGGTTAGCTGCCACTTGCCCCCTCCTCTGCTTCCCTTCACTATGCAAGATAAGCCCAGAATCTTCAGTTAAATAGGCTGCCATTCTCACATCAAATAAGGTAGGCTCTGCAAACCTCCAATCCTTAAACATCTTCATCTTTCCACCCTCACTGAAAGGTGAAGAAGAGATGGATGCTTAGAATTCCTCCACGGACCTACCAAAAGTAAAAATAAAAATAAAAAATAAACTCCCCTCCAAGCACATGGTTTGGGCTTACTTAATTTCAGGCTCCCCCAACTACAGCTGGGCCCTCAATACAGGTGATCAGTCCTCTGTGCCTTAAAGAGCTGTTCTTCCGTTACACACTTGAGCTGCTCTGTACCTCTGAGCTGCTCCTAAAACCCATGATCTAACCCTCTAATCTGCCTGAGAAGATGGAGCTTATTTAGAGTGTGCTTCTCATTATCCCAACTTGACTGTTTACCTCTGACATTCTTCCTTTTCTACTTGTCCCAGAGGAAGCAAATGTGTTTACGTTTCAAGGCCCATTCTCCTTTTTCTTTGCAATGTTGACCCCAGTTCCTATTGCTCTTCTGGGGCCTTGTTACCTCAATTGTATCATCTCATTCCTGGATCTTGAGCCAACCTACTAATAGCTGCAGGAAATAGGTACACAGTAAAATATTTGTAAATACCACCTGTTGGGAACAGTCCCCCAAAATCTGGCCATAAACTGGCCCCAAACTGGCCATAAATAAAATCTCTGCAGCACTGTGACATGTTCATGATGGCCATAACACCCACACTGGAAGGTTGTGGGTTTACCAGAATGAGGGCAAAAAACACCTGGCCCGCCCTTGGTGGAAAACTGCTTAATGGCATTCTTAAACCACAAACAATAGCATGAGCAATCTGTGCCTTAAGGACATGCCCCTGCTGCAGATAAATAGCCAAACCCATCCCTTTATTTTGGCTCATCCCTTCATTTCCCATAAGGGATACTTTCAATTAATCGAATATCTATAGAAACAATTCTAATGACTGGCTTGCTGTTAGTAAATAAGTGGGCAAATCTCTGTTCAGGGCCGTCAGCTCTGAAGGCTGTGAGACCCCTGATTTCCCACTTTACACTTCTATATTTGTGTGTGTGTGTGTGTGTGTGTGTGTGTGTGTGTGTGTGTGTGGTTTAATTCCTCTAGCACTGCTGGGTTAGGGTTTTCCCCAGCTGAGCTGGTCTCGGCAAGGGGCACCCATACGCAAGGGGTTGAATCCAGGTCAAAGGATCACTGGAGTGATGGTTGGAGAATGTGGAACCAGCTGGAGGACACCCAAGTACTCTTAAAGCAATCCCCTTGGTGAGTAAGAAGGGGAGTTCAGAAGCATCAGGGTAACAATGGGACAAGTGCGGGCTGTGGTTAGTTCCACCTTGGAACTTTTTCACACTGATGATGGGGAGGAAGGAGAGTATAACGAAGTAACACAGGAGGTTTCAGAGCAGGTTTATTTGCCAACTAAAGCTAAAGCGGCAAAGGAGGGAGAGGTTCATCCCTACCCTTCTGCACCCCCTCATTATTATACTGAAGAAAAAGGCCCTCCAGATCTTTCTTTTCCAGAGGACCCTGGGTGAAAACTTTTTGCCCCAGTGAGTGTTCAAGCAGCGCCTTGAGTGCTCTCAGTTCTATACAGGCAGTAATTCAGCAAGCTAGAAGAGAGGGTGATTTAGAGGCTTGGCAGTACTCTGTTAGAATACAACCCCCAGATCAGCAGGGAAATATTTGAGGCTTTTCCTTTTAAATTACTCAAGAATTTAAACAAGCTATTCATACTAAAAAAGAATGTAGAAAAAATCAGTGAGTCAGGCTGCCAGATAGCAGGAAAAAGTAACTGCTGAGTCTGAAATGTGTCCAAAATGTAAAAAAGGAAAACATTGAGCTAGTCAGTGTCACTCTAAGTTTGATAAAGATGGGAACCCAATTTCAGGAAATGCCATGAGGTGCCAGCCCATCCCGGCCCCCACTCCAGACTGGGGCATTTCCAGCTCAGGCCATTCCTTCACCTCTGTACAATATCTGTCCCCTGCCACAGCCAGTAGTGTGGCAGTAGATTTATGCTGCACAAAAGCTGTGAGCCTTCCGCCTGGGGAACACCCACATAAGGTCCCAACAGGAGTCTGTGGACCCTTGCCAGTGGGAACAATAGGATCACTTTTAGGAAGGTCTAGTTTAAGTTTAAAAGAGGTACAAATACATACAGGAGTCATTGATTCAGACTACAATGGGGAAATTCAAATTGTTATATCTACTTCTGTTCGCTGGAAAGCAGAGCCAGGAGAGTGTATAGCACAGCTCCTGATTGTGCTGTATTTGGGAATGGGAAAAAGTGAAATTAAATGAAGAGGAGGATTTGGAAGCACAAATAAACAAGGCAAAGCAGCTTATTGGGTAAATCAAATTACTGATAATTGTTCTACCTGTGAAATAAGTATTCAGGAAAATAAATTTAAAGGTTTGGTAGTTACAGGAGCAGATATTTCAAACATTTCTCTTCAGCACTGGCCGTCTGCATGGCCAATTCATTGTACATGAAACTGACTAATGAATGGACTCTTTTTAAAAGAACACAATAAGCATGTATTTTCTATTTCTCCGTTACTTTTTTTAAAATTGGAAATTAATGTGGGATTTTATTCATATCCTTCTATTTTTCTTTTCCTTTAGCTAATATTAATTTTTTGTCTCCTAGATGACAGGCAGTCATATATTGTAGGTATCACAATGAACAAAAGACAGTGAGACAATTTGTAAGCTTTAATGAAGCTTATAGTCTTTATCAGTCAGGGTCTTAGCAAATAACAGATGGCATACTGAAAAGTTACTACTACTCCTAGGCCTAAAGGGTCAAGGGGAGGAAATCCTTTCTGGAACCCACAGTGAAAGTTCTATCTGTATGAAAGTTTTGACCACAGGAGCTATTAACAGATAGACAAATCAGCCCAGACAACTTGCAGCCTATAAGGGAAGGAAACAAAGGAATTAGTACTTCATTCTCTCCTTCCACCCTCAGATATCTTGCCAGTAGTTTCCTTTGGCCAAATCTAGTTGGAATCCAGAGGGTAAAGAAACCCAAGCAGGCCAGCTTCATGGAAAACACTACAATATGGAACGAGATAGAGAATCAATCTATAGCAGATATCTAGCCAGTATTTTCCTTTGGCCAAATCTAGTTGGAAGCCAGAGGGTAAAGAAGCCCAAGCAAGCCAGATTTATGGAAAATAGTACAACATGGAAACAGATAGAGAATCAATCTGTAGCAAAAACTAAAGAATAAGCAGCACACAATATATGGAAACTGGCATTTAAGTAGGTAAGTATTATACAGAGTGATAAGTTCTATGTTAGAGGAAGTTCTGCATAGCATTACAACTTTTAGAAGGGGCATCCCTGATTTGCTACTCTGCAGTACCTCTTGGACAGGTGTTGTCCACCAATTCTGCTCTAGTCAGATCAATTCATATTCAGTAATTTTAAAAAGCATTTTATTATGCAAATTTTTGAATTCCATATGAAAGTAAAGAGAACAGTAATTAGTTGCGATGTATCCATCACGTACAGTCAACAACCATCATTACTTTGGAATATTGAGGCTTCTATCGCCCAACTACTCTTTTTAATTTTGTTTGAGAGGGGTTTATAAAATATTACAGCATTATGTTATTTTACCAGAAAATACTTAAATACACATCTCTGACAATAATATTTTAAATAGATTTTACATATCACCATGTCACTGGCATACTTAATAACATTAACCTATTATGCTAAGAAAATTAATTAAATTCTTTAACACCATCTAATATCATCTATACTCAAAAATCCCTCAGATCATGCAATTGATTGAGAGAGAAACCGGACTGTTTGTCCTATAGACCATCCCACATTCTGAATATCACAGATTGGTTCCTTATGACTTCATTTAATATACTCCTCTTTTTCTGGTATTTCCCTTAAAATTGTGTGTAGCCCCAGAGCCTTAATTGTATTTTGTTCCAATTTTAGGCAATAATATTTAGTGAGTGGTGGTGTATACTTTCCATTACACTGCCTTGGAGGCATATAATGTCTGATTGTCCTACTTCCAGTAATGGAAACTGTCACTGTGGGTTCAGATGATGTCAACCTGACCCTTCCATCATCAAATTTCTCACCAACACTTCAACTAAGGTTTTTAGAATTAATTGATTATTGTTGTCAAGGTACATTATGCTTTTAGGGGATGCAAAATGGAGATTTTCTTCTTCTATCATTCCTTTTGAATCTATCAATTCAACAAAGAATAACTTTCTCTCCATAATTATTAGCTTATCTTAAAATGCCCTTCATCTGGAAAGTGACGATGAATGCTTTAAAATTTCCCCTTCATCTGTTTTCAGAAAAATGGGTTGATGTCTTAGCAACTTCCAATGATATCTAATAAGTTTTTATCATTCTGAATTTATTTACTTTTATACTTGTGATGTGTTTTTGACGATTGAAGTTATTATTGCTCAAATTATGTCTTTTTCTGTCCAGTGGGAGTTCACTAAGTTAACATGTATGTTAATATTTTGCTTAACTTGAAATTGAGATGCCTCTTTGAATTATACTCACTCCCAACATCTCTCCCTTTTAAAATACTATATGTTGCTACAAGACTTTGTTGGAATATCACATGAATACACTTGAATCCTCTAATCACTAGCCACATATTGGATAGTGTTCAATATTCATTCTAACTTTTCAAGATATCACCAATTAACTCCAATTCAATTCTATGTCAGACATGTCACTTAACTGAAATTTGAGGTTCTATCACTCTTCATACCTATGAATTCTGTTTATACTCATTGTTATGGAATTTGGAGTTCTCCACGATTTGTCCTTAAACTTATTTCTCATTACTACTTTACCCTACCTCATTGCTGCCCTATTTGTCTTTTTCAGCTTCTGAAAGGCAGATCCTTATTGAATACTTCCTGCAAGTCTAGGTTCGTGGAAGTTTCTGAGTGAATTTGGGAAAGGGTAAAGGGAGTTGAAATCAAAACAGTAAGAGATGTATTCAAATTTTTTTGCTAATTCCCCTAACTCCCTTTGCTATGGCTCTAGGCTCACCAAAAGAATACTGTCGGTTATGGGTCTTTCTAGGTAGATCTTACTTTCAAAAAGAGACTGCTCTCACCAAAGTAATATATTGCCTATTTCTCTTTCAGTTATGTTTTTTTTTCATTATAAATAAGTTCCTGGCCTTTTCATTACAGGTAGCTTTCCATGCTGTATCTTTTACATAAAGTCCATAGAAAAAAAGATGCCTCATCTACAGTGCCTACAGTTATTATCATAGTCCTGTTTTTCACTGCAAACTAATTATTTGTATTTCTGATCAGTCTTGTGAGCCAGCACAATGTGAATCTACCCACTCTCTGAGTGCTGATAACTTAGATAACTGAGTCAAAAAGGCTGCAGAGATCTGAGGCCTTGGCATCATGATAATGAATATACCCGTGTGAGATAGTCAACAGCCTTTCCCCTGGTGGCACAAGTCTTTGTGTTAGCCTTATCCTCATCTATCTTATTTGAACTTCTGCAGGCACAACTCACAAGGCATCACAGATTAGATTATGCTTTGATCCAATTATTTTATTTTATACATGAGAAAACTGAAGCCCTAAGAGGAAAGGACTTTTCTGAGATTACAAAGTCATGAAAAAGCCACGATTTATTCCAAGTCTCCTGATACTCAGTTGAGCATTCTTTGCCTTGCCTGATGCGTCTAGATGGATGAAAAAGCATTTTCTTATTATCATTTGGATTTCATAAATATTCATGGATTATAAAAGTCTAGTGATGCCTGAGACCTTAGAGACCGTATAACCTATTGTATCTCAACAGGGATCAATGGACTAGATATATTAGAACGATCCCTGGAAATTTTCATTCTATAGGACTGGGATGAGGATAAAAAACTGTGCTTTTTATACAAATAAAAACTTCCCAGGTGATTCTGCACAGTAAGACTTGGAAAACCCTCCTATTTTATAATTGCTTACTTTTGCTGATGAATTAACAGGCCTAGGAAAGAGAAGAAATCTTTTCTTTACACATAATTTCTTGCTTAGGGTCTCGATCATACCACAGTTGACTTTTGAGCAGTTATTTACAACTCCAGCACTATGTACTAAAAAAGATTGAAGCGGTTCAGTTTGGAAGATCTACATTAGGGAAACAACACCTAGAGTAAATCCTGGAGCAGATTGTGAAGTCAGTCCCAAATGTCATTTGGGCACAAGTGTTTTTTGCTTCTATTGCTGAAATGCACATAACTTATGCCATGGGACATATTCAAAGAGGCAGAAAGCTACAATTAGAAGGTGGCAATAACACACATTGCCATCAATGAATTTAGAGAAAAAATAATTGAACTTGTCATTAAAGTCAAAGCTGGATGCATTTTGGAAGGGTAATCAATTTCTGAAGGGCCCCAGTGCAAACTATTCACATCGTTGGAGGTTGTTCTCAGCTACATGCTACAATTAGGCAAGTAGGTTGTACTTTAATACAAATGGGTAGTTCTTGTTCTGTGATATAAACCCATTTTCGAGACTTCTATGCCTATATCAATTGTATATGCCAATACCTCCTCAGATGTGTATCTGTACATTATTTTTCTTAATGATATTGAACACTTTCATATGTGAGGCAAAACCATAAAGCATTTTATTGTCAGATAAGGGAGTAAGACAACTTGTATAGGTTTGAATTAAAAGATAAGTTTACTTAGTAGCATTGGTTCAGAGGCAAGAATTATCACATTCAATTTGTGGAAGATAATGAGAAAGATTGATGGCATATGAGGTGGGCCTTGGAGAATGGGGTGGGTGGAGACAGATGAGAGAGATGAGGGGAGAGGGAAGGAGGGAGGGAGAGAGAGAGAGGGAGAGAGAAAAGCAAGAAAGGAGAGAGAAAGAATGAACAAAAGCATTCATTCCAGGCTTCCAGGCTCAGAGAATTGTATGAATAACGCTACAGGTGAATGAGAGTACAAAATAGATCAGGCTAACCCAGAGACTTATCCTTAGCAGACATTATTTGAAAGGACAGTTCACCCTCTAAGTTTCCTTAAGAAGTTTTCACTGGAAAGCTCCTGTCTTCCGCTTTCATAGTTTGGTGGTAAACAGAGAGGTGTAGTTGAACATCACCTGTAGACCAAATAGGGTGTTAACAGAAAACTAGAACTCTGACAATGATGCTATAATTATGCGGAAGGAGGGTCAGTAGTGTTAAGGAAAAGGGAGTAAAGGATTTAGAAACCGAAGGGTAAATTTTCAGCCTCTTCCTTGCTACAAATTAAGCATATCACCTTGGGTTTTTACTCAATGTCTTTTGCACCTTGCTTTCTTTCTTTATAAAAATAGGATGAAAACGCCTCTTCTTTCTAGGTCTGTGGATTGCTGTGAGGATCAAATAAGATAAATGCAAATTTTGGTGTTATTATTAGAAGTAATAATGGTAAAACGGAGTATTTCATATCATTTAAAGATTTTTTATATATGCTAAGATATTTTTTCATACTTTTTCAAAATATCAATTCTGTAGTGCCATAAATAATTGTATTAAATGAATCGCTGGTACAAAGATCACATTCTGGTTCATAAGTCCTGTCTGGATGACTTAGAAATATTTAACTGTTAATATGAATATGGAAATCCAGCAGACTGAATCATTAAGGAGGAAAAAGGACCCGTTTTATGCATCAGACAGATTTCAGTAGCTTATATTGTCTACCTACAGGAGCTGGACACAATGATTCTTGCATATTTTGGATTCAAATGCATTTTTATTATTATTTTACCCCTGAAGCTAGGTTTGGAAAGACAACATTTGTTACTTAAGACAACTTAGAAAAAAAAAAAAACTATTTCTAAGTTATCACATTGAAAGGGTTGTTATGAGACCATCACATTATTTTATTTGCCAAATATGAATATGTTTCCTCAGTAATGTACTTTTGATTGTTATTGTTTTTAGAGAAATAAGATACTGTTCTCAATAAAATAAAGAACATGCTCAAATAACGAACTAATAAAGGGATAAAAATAGTCAATTAACATTGAGACGCTTGTTCACTGTCACTAGTAATCAAATAAATACAATGCAAATAAATCATTGAGTTATTATTTCAAACTATCGAATTTGCAAACATTTAAAAGAAAAAGAGCTGGCAAATTCATAACCTCCTTTAAAAAGGGAATACTTAAATGAATTATAGTAGAGTGATTCAAGTACATTATAAAGAATAGATGGCAGTGAGGAAATAATCATAATAAATACATAAAAATCTGATGTATAATTGGTGATCTGCAAGAAAATGTGGGGAAAAGGTAGTAGCATTTACTTCTGAATGGTTGTACAATTTTTAGAGTTTTAAAAACTCCATTTCTGAATTTTCTGCAATAATTATTACTGTTATTATCAGTAAAAATGAGAAAACAAAAATATGTGTGTGTGCACTCATACATGAATGCACACCTACTTCTTCTAGAGTTGTTTGGTTCTTAGTTACAGTAAAACTATAATCTACCACAAAATGACAGCAGCATGCTTTACTGAGCTGCAGTTGTGCATATGGCCTGTTTATTCTTTTTTTTTTTTTTTGGTCAACCTGTACTTCTTGTTTGGCTTTCTGTATTATAGATATTTGATATTATAAATATAAATATTATAGATGTTTGCAAGTTACATGTTTCTAATTGCCCAGCTACAAATATCAGTGGTGGTATATGCACTATCTACTACACTCATTCGGGACATAAATTTATATAACAGAAAGGCTACTGTTTTTGTAATTTAAATACACAGGGCTATTTTATTCTATGGGAGCAAGCAGAATTTAATTTAAACTGGCGTTTTTTCTGTAGACCTGGGAGTAGAATTTTTTTTTTTTTTTGAGATGGAGTCTTGCTCTTAATTTTACCCAGGGATGCACTATTTTATTATTTTATAGTGAATAATATCTGACAAGCATGCATTATATTGCTACCTGCTGAGTCATGAATACATGAATACTACCAAGTAAATAGCTCAAATTTATAAATTTTAAAGCAATTTTTATTTTTGAATTGATCTTGTGTTTTTGATAGAATATACCTAAAAGGCTTAAAGTGCATGTAACTGAGCAATTTTCTTTTATGTAATGATGCAAAGTATATGAATAGTAAGTAATCTGACTCAGCAAAGAGACAAGAGTTCATACCCAAGAGATTCGTGCTTTGAGGTTTGGAAATAGCTCTTGTTATGTATTTTTGATCTTGGGTGGGCTATTAGCTATAAGTCTTGGTGTCTTCATCCATAAAATGGTATTAATAGCACCTGCCTTTTCTGCTTTTCAGGTGTAGAGACTTGAAAAGTAAATAATAATACGTGGAAGTTCTCTACCACCTTCTGTGCCCAGCTTGACCACATATTCAGGTTTTTGATAATTAGCACAATTAAAGTGAACCAAGGGGGAACAAGTTGCTGATTTAATTTGGGGTTACATTGCCTTCACCCTGTGTCATAGGCTTACTTAGTCCAAGCATTCCTTAAGTATGCGTGTCTATTTAAGAGATTAGCTGAGGGTGGCTGATATTCAATCTCAATTTATCTCAGCTTTGGGAAAACCATCCCTGCGTGTACCCTATCTGTGCTTGTGAGTCCACAGTGGGATTTTGTATAAAGAACAGCATGTTTATATTTACAAGATTGAAACTGTAGGTGAAGTTCATAAACATCTGAAATAATTCTTTTTTCCTGAAATATTTCCTGCTCTTCTGGCATTCTTCTTTGTAATATTCAGTTTCACATATACTTTCCTAGTTACATTGCAAACTCCATGGGGTCAAAGTGTGTGCTAGTTTTGCATACTACTGAGTCTGTTGTGTCCATTACAGTGCTTGACACATAGCAGATGCTCAATAATTAAAACAGCAATTATACACACACACATATATAAATATATATATATTTATATAAAATATATAAAAACAATGGACTGACAGACTCATTAAGTCCCACCACCCACCTCCTATTTCCTAGCATAGTGTCAGGTACTTATTAGGTGAACAACAGATAGTGACTGTATCTTATTTATATTATTTAGGATGGGCCTCTAGGAGTTCAGTAACTTATTGTTTTAGAGTAAATCAAAATATTAATCCTTACATGACACTTAAATGCATGAATACAGTATTGTGCTTAAGTAGGATACTGTCCTCAATAATTTAAAAATACATGCACCCATTTTTTTTCCATGCATTGAAAATGACTAGTCCAGAGATGAATATGAAGGCAGTGATAAAAGTCTGGGAGCAATATCGTCTAACTTAGGGCTTGAGGCTCATTTGGATTCCCACTTAGGGCTTGAGGCTCATTTGGATTCCCTAATTATGCTGATCTAGATCTTCAGGCTTGTAGTTCTCCCTGAGGGTCTTGGTTATTTTTCCTAATAGACTCACCAGTCTCGTTAATCAAACAAGTCCTCAACACTAAATATAAATCTCATCATAAAATCAAAGTTGCATTTATCCTAGTAAAAGTCTAAAGCTACTTCTACTAATTAGTAAGTTTGGGGAATAATTTGCCTAGACACCAGCAATGTGCTGGGCCTACATTTGGGCTACAGTGTATTTACTTACCATAATTAGTGATTTTTTAAAAAAGGTAATTTTACCACTTGGAGTAAAAGAACATCAAAAATAAATGCTATAATTCAGTGAAGTTTGTAAAAAAAAAAGGGTCTATGTCTATATATCCATCCATACATATGTATGGTATTCATGACACCTTCTAAATTAGTGCAGCAATACATTATATTTTATCTCTGATTTAACTGTTCTTATAAAACAGCAAGATTATAAAAATTCCCACTTAACCAACATTAAAAGCAGCATTAAAATCTACAGTACTTAAAGAACATATTATCAATAACTTCCATGATATGTGCTTACAAATTTTTTCCAAATATTAGATGATTGATACTTCATTTTCTAATAGCTTTCAGACCTGACAATCTGGATGGTAAACTGTAATTCAATATCTCCAAACTTACATTTGGCCAGATTATCATCTTGTGTATGTGTGTGTATGAAGGGGTGTGTGTATGAAGGGGTGTGTGTGTGTGTGTTTGTAGCAGAGAGAAAGATAGAGAAATAAAAAATAAATAAATAAAACAAACCTGGTAAAAGAAAAATTATGCTTTGGAAGATACGGCTTATTTCCCTCTTGGTATAGTCTCTTCATAATATTATTTTTTTTAATTTTTTTTTGTGGGGACATAGTAAGTGTGTATATTTATGGGGTACATGCGATGTTTTGATGCAGGCATACAATCTGGAATAAGCCAATCATGAAGAATGGGGTATCCATTCCTTCAACACCCATCACTTGAACTACAAACAATACAATTACACTCTGTAATTATTTTAAAATGTATAATTAAGTTATTATTGATTACAGTCATCTTGGTGTGCTATCAAATTGTAGGTCACAATCATTGTTTCTATGTTTTTTTAAAACCATTAACTATCCCCATCTCCCTACCAGGCCCCCATTACCCTTCCCAGCTTCTGGTAACCATCCTTCTACTTTTTATGTCCATGAGTTCAATTATTTTTATTTCTTGTCCCACAAATAAGTGAGAACGTGCAATGTTTGTCTTTCTGTGCCTGGCTTATTTCACTTAACATAATGATCTCCGTTCCACCATGCTGTTGGAAATCACTGGATCTCATTCTTTTTGTACGGCTGAATAATACTCCATTGTGTATGTGTACCACATTTTCTTTTGTTTTTATTTTATTATACTTTAAGTTTTAGGGTACATGTGCACATTGTGCACATTAGTTACATATGTATACATGTGCCATGCTGGTGCGCTGCACCCACTAACTCGTCATCTAGCATTAGGTATATCTCCCAATGCTATCCCTCCCCCATTTTCTTTATCGCTTTATCTGCTGATGGACATTTAGGTTGCTTCCAAATCTTTTATTTTTTCCAAAAATCTGAAATTTGAGCTACCATATGATCCAGCAATCTCACTGCTGGCTATATACCAATATCAGAGTAAGCCACAAAAGTCATGTCCTCTACATCATTAATATAATTTAGAGGTGGACAATAAAAAAGAAAATTAATGGAGAAATAAAAGCAGAAATTTATAAAACATGTATAAACAAATGAGTCCATATTACTCAACTTTATATGGGTAAAAATGGAAGTAAAGTCACAATATCAGGCATTGAAATTATTCTGTATTCTGTTACTTGGTGTAAGGTGATTTGCCACAATCCAAGAGTCTATGAAGTAAGTTTGTATGAGATAGGATGGAAGGAAAGGAGAATTTGAACTATCTCAGGGATATTTTTTAATGATTGAAAGCTATGCTATAAAATCTCTTAGGAAAAACATGCTATCAATTGCCTGATGGAGTAATGCATATCTCATATCCTTCTCATCTCTATTCCTTCAGATCACAGTAGCTTTGGCAGCAATATCGAGATGTTGTCAGTTAAGCTTCTAGATCCCTCCATCTGCCACCATCAACATAGTCACATGACTAGAAATAATAATTTATGTATCTAGAATCAGCCACAAGTAGACTGCTGAGTACTTACTACATAAAGGCAAAGCTAGCATTTTTGGGTTGGGGGGGCAGGTGTAGAAACACGTTAACAGTTCTGTAAATACACATAAAGATATGCATTTTCCTTAATCACAAATAAATAAACCAGAAGAATTTTCAGTGATTTAAAAAAATTAAGAAATAGGGAACTTATTTAAAAAGCCTTTGAAGCCACAGTGGCTCTTGCCTGTTATCTCAGTATTTTGGGAAACTGAGACAGGGCCTCACTTGAGGCCAGGAATTCCAGAGGAGGCTGGCAAATAGAGTGAGATGCTGTCTCTAGAAAAAATAAATAAAATTTAAAAATTAGCTGCTTGTTTTGCAGTGTGCCTACAGCCCTAGCTACTTGGGAGGCTGAGGTGAAAGAATTGTTTGAACCAGGGAGTTTGATGTTGCTGTAACTTATGATCTTGTCACTTCACCCCAGCCTGTCCAGAGGATTATCTAATCATACTGTGGACTATTGCCAAATCTGCAGCAGTGAAACTCTGGACACATTCTGTGTCTGGTAAAGTCACACTTTGGAACCAAGAAGAATTTCCAGCCTTACTTCCCTTGACAGAGCCTATCGCTAAGACAGTCACAACATAGATCCAGGATAGAATTCCAACAATAAATCCCTGAGCAAAAACTATAGCTGAAACTGCCATACCATGGATCCTCGATGAAATGCCACCAACAAATCCCTGGAAAAAATACAGCCTGAATATTTAGCAGTAAATACCTGGCACTATCTGAATTTAACCCAGTCTCATTGTGGATCTTGGCTTATTTGTCAGTAGGAAACTACTCTACACAGTTCCATACTGAAACAATAACACTGTGAACCCACGTTGAGTCTCCAGCAATACTTTCCTGGAAACAGTTGGGAACTGATATAATCACATTAGGGACCCATGCTGAATCACTAGTGATGAATTCATGGATATATTCTTCTATATGTGATACGGTCACAACACCTATCCAGGCTGAATCAGTTATTAAATCACTGGACATACTCTGAAACTGATATACTCACAACATGGATTCTGGCTGAAACTCTAGGATTAAGTCCCTGGGCACGTGATATGTTCCTACCATGGACCCAGGCTGAAAGTCCAGCAGTATCTTGGATTCAACCATGGATTCTGGGTAGAATGCCAGCAATGAATCCCTGGAGAGAGGCTACAGCTGACATTGTCCTACCCTGGAACCAGGCTGAATTTATGTAGAAGGAAATGCCTGGACACCGTCTGAAACTTATACAATCACAAAGAGGATCCTGAGTGATTCTCCAGCACTAAATTCATGGACATGGGCAATAGCTGATGCAGACCAGCTGTGGACCAAACCTGAATTTCCAGCAGTAAATCCCTGGACAAAGTCTGTAGTTGATAGTACTATACCATGGATACAGGATGAGTCTCCAGCAATAAATCCATGGACACAGTACGTATCTTATATGATCAAACCATGAGCCCAAAATGACTCTTCAGCAGTAAATCTCTGTACACTACCTGAATCTGATACCATTATCCTGTGGACACAAGCTGAGTCTCCAACAGTAAATCCGTTCACAGAGGCTGGAACTTCCACAGTCACACCATGGGCCCAGGCTGTATCTCCAGCAGTAATTCCACGGACACAGCCTATACTTTCCACAGTCGTACCTTGGACCCAGGTTGAATGTCCATCAGTAAATACCTGGAGAACGTCCATAGCTGATGCCATCACACTGTGGATAGGGGCTGAATTAACCGCAGGATATCAATGGATACTGCCTTGGGCTGCTACTGTCACACTGTGGTCACAGTCTGAATCTCCAGCAGGAAATCTTTGGACACAGTCTGTGTATGACACAGACACACCATGGCCTCAGGCTGAATCTCCAGCAGTAGTTTGCTGGACAGAACATGTAGCTGATACACACCGTGGACTCAGTTTGAATTTTTAACAGTAAAGCCTTGGATCCAATCTGTATCTGATACGCTCATACCATGGACCCAGGCTGAGTCTTCAGCACTAAAGCATTTGACACAGGCAATAGCTTATACAATCAAGCTGTGGAACCAAGTCAAATCACCTGCCATAAATCTCTGGAAACAATATGAAACGAATATGTTCACATGGTGTACTGAGGTTGAATCTCCAAAAGTAAAGGAGGGGACACATCCTATACCTGCTACAGTTATACCACTGAACCAAGCTGAATCTGTAGGAGTAAATCCCTCCACAAAGCTTGAAACAGAAATACTCATACTGTGGACCCAGGCTCATTCTAAAATCAACAATCTCTGTACATATACTCTACTTGATAGAGTGAAACCATTGGCTAAGGATGTTTGTGTAGCAGTAAACCCATGGAGACAGTCTAAAACTGAAATAGTCACATCATGGGCCCAGGATCTGTTGCCAGCAATAAATCCCTTAACAGTGGCTGTACCTGGTATAGTCACACTGCAGTACATGGCTGTATCTCTAGTAATAATTCCCAGGAGAGAGGCTCTAGCTGATACAGTCATAATATGGACACAGACAAAATCACCAGCAATCAGTTTCTGGTTGTAACCTCTGCCTGGCACAGTCAAACTATGGACCCAAGCAAAATATACACCCGTTATCACTTGGAACCAGGCTGAATTTCCAGCTAGAAATCCCATGATACAATCTTAGCCTCCAATTGTAAAGATCTGAACAGAGTCTGAATCTCTAGCCCCAAGTCCTCTGTTATAGGTGGAGACTGATACAGTCATACCATGGACCCAGACTGAATCTTTGGCAGTAAATCCCTGGACAAAGCCTGTTGCTGATACACTCACACTGTGTACACAGCCTGTAACTCCATCATTAATCGTTTTTTCACAAACTTTTCATGATACACTGAAAGCATGGGCTCAAACTGAATGCTTACCAGTAAATACCTGGACAGAGGCTGTAGCTTCCAAAATTATACCCTGGACCCAGGCTGAATTTCCAGCAGTAAATCCTTAGACAGAGCCTTTTGCTCATACGGTAACAATTTTGGCACAGGCTGTATCTTCAACAGTAAAGATCTGGCCACAGCCTTCATTTAATACAACCAACTTATGTATTTAATACAACCAATCTGAATCTGCAGCATTAATTACATGGATACAGCCTGCATCTGATACATACATAGGATTGATCCAATCTGAATCTTCACCAGTGAATTCCTGGAGACTGCCTATATCTAATATATTATCATTGTGGACCAAGCCTGTATCTCTAGCAGTCAATCTGTGAATAGAGGCAATAGCTTCCATAGTCATACCTTGGACCAAAGCTTTACTTTTAGAAACAAAACCCTGGACACATCCTGTATCTGATATACTTATGCTGTGGACCCAGGTTGAATCTTCTGCAGCGATTACCTCCACACAGGCAGTATCTGACACAATTATACTGTGGCTGCATGCTGCAGGCCTCCAGTAGGAATTACCTGGATACAGACTGATCTGATCTTCTTATATCTTCTTATATCATGAAACAATGATGAATCTCAACAGAAAATTCAGGGGCATGGGCTGTAGTTTCCACCGTGTTACCATGCAACCAGTTATCCCTTCAGCAGGAAAAACCTGGACATCTACCTGTGTCAGAATCAATCACCCCGCAGACCCAGTCTGAGTCTCCAGTAATGAACACATGGACAGAGGCTGCAGCTTCCACACTCTCAAAGTGGACTCATGATGATTTTCCAGATGCAAATGCTTATACACAGAGCGAAATGGGCACATACTGGACAATGGGTAAAACTGAAGCTAAGAGGCTGGGCGCAGTGGCTCACACCTGTAATCCCAGCACTTTGGGAGGCAGAGGCGGGCGGATCACGAGGTCAGGAGATCGAGACCATCCTGGCTAACCCAGTGAAACCCCATCTCTACTAAAAATACAAAAAATTAGCTGGGCGTGGTGGCAGGCACCTGTAGTCCCAGCTACTCGGGAGGCTGAGGCAGGAGTATGGCCTGAACCCAGAAGGCGGAGCTTGCAGTGAACCGAGATTGTGCCACTGCACTCCAGCCTGGGTGACAGAGCGAGACTCAATCTCAAAAAAAAAAAAAAAAAAAAAAAAAAAAAAAACCAATGAAGCTAAGAAACTCTGAACAATGCCTGAAGCTAAAATATTTAGAGTTTCATTACCACCTCAACCTGATACTCATGACCTGTGATTCATGAAGAAAATCAAGCATCTATTTTATGGACACATCATGAAATTGAAAATATCAATGAATGGACGTTGTCTGAATTTGGAACACTTATATCTTGGACAGTGCTTGTACCACAAGCAGCAGAACCATGGCCCCAGCCTGAAGCTCTGCTTAGCACACCTTTGTTTAAAACTGGATCAGAAGAAAATGAAACCTTGGGCTCAACCAGAATTTCAAACACTGAGCACATTTACTCCATTTGGACCTGGTAAACTAGAATCCTGGGCCAAACATAATACTACTACATTGAAAACAAGGATCTAATCCGAAACTGATGTCTTCTACCCGTGCACCCAATCTGAAGTAGGTACAATGAGATCCCAGACCATTTCTGAAGAAGATACAGTAAAACTATGGAACTGGACTGAAGCAGGCACAATCCACCCCTGGACTCAACCTAAAACTAATACAATCAGACTTTTGACTCATGTGAATTTCAAGCAGTCAGACCCTGGACCCTGTCCTTGTCTGATACACTGTTGTATCAGGCTGAAATGCAAGCTGCAAAATGCTTGACCATGCCTGACATTAATACTGTGAGTTCTTGGTTTCAGACTCAAAACAATGTAAGAATAAATGTTACTCAACCTCATTCTCGAGCAGGTACTACCTGGATGCAGCCAGAATGGCAAATAATCCACCCATGGAACCAATCTGAAAAGAATGCAGTCAGACCCTGGACCCAGTCTGAAGGTGATGTTCTGCAACCTTGGATCTATGCTGAAAGCAATACAGTCAGACTCTGGGCCCATTCTGAAACTGATAAAATAAAACAATATACTGAGCCTGAATCTCAAGCAATTAGGATGTGGCCTGAAGAGGATATGTTCGCACTTTGGTCCCCAACACAAAACGATGCAGTTTGGCCATGGACCCAAGTGGAATCACAAATGACCCACTCCTGGACCCAGAATCAACTTAGTATAAATTACCCTTGGACTCAGCATGTACCTGCTGCAATCAGACCATGGACTTACTCTGAAATTCAACCCTGCACCCACCCTGAAGCCAATACAGTGATAAGATACTGGTTCCAGACTCAAATGAGTTCATTAAATCCTGGGACCAACCTGAAACTGAAGTATTCCAAATTTGGACTGTAAGCCAAGTAATAAAACCCCAAAACTTCATTGAAATTGATACAGTCACATCTTGCTTACAGACTCAGTGTGATACAATTAGACCCTAGGTTCATCCTGAAAGTCAGCCACTCTCTCCTTGGCCCCACACTGAAGCTGGTGTCAGGCCTCTGAGCCCAAGCTAAGCCATCATATCCCTTGTGACCTGCACGTGTACATCCAGATGGCCTGTAGCAACTGAAGATCTACAAAAGAAGTGAAAATAGCCTTAACTGATGACATTCCACCATTGTGAGTTGTTTCTGCCCCACTCTAACTGATCAATGTAATTTGTAATCTCCCCCACCCTTAAGAAGGTTCTTTATAATCTCCCTCACCCTTAAGAAGGTTCTTTGTTATTCTCCCCACCCTTGAGAATGTACTTTGTGAGATCCACCCCCTGTCCCCAAAACATTGCTCTTAACTCCACTGCCTATCCCAAAACATATAAGAACCAATGATAATCCCACCACCCTTTGCTGACTCTCTTTTTGGACTCAGCCTGCCTGCCACCAGCTGAAATAAACAGCCATGTTGCTCACACAAAGCCTGTTTGGGGGTCTCTTCACACGGACACGTGAGACAGTTTGTATATTTCAGCCCTGGACTCAGCAAAGAGTTACTACAAATCGTTCGTGGACCCACCCTGAAACCCAAGCAGAGAGACTCTGGATCAAGCAGGAAACTGAAGATAGAGACAGATCTTCGTTTTACATTCAAATGAATAAAGGCAGACCATGGGTTTATTTGAAATATCAAATAGTCGGCGCCTGGATCCAGCCTGAACTTGATGTAATTCACTCTTTTATCCAGTCTGAAACCTTCCTATTAAGATTCTGGCCCAAGGTTCTATCTCCAGTAGTCAAACCATGGATCTTGCTTAAAGGAAGAACACTCATATCTTGGATACTGCCTGTAACCCGAGCAGACACTGGATCCAGTCTGAAGTTCATCTTATTGAATCCTTCGGTGTTTTTAAAGCCGGCAAAGTGAGAACCTGGATCCAGCCTGAAACAGAAATACTAAGACCCAGAACCCTATAAAGCTGTTATAATTGATCATTTTCTCCTCCTGAAATTGAGCCGAACAGAGAAACACTATTAACGAGTCATTTTGGCTGCTTGTCCAAACGTGTACCCTTTTTGCCAGTAAAAACTGTTTATTCCCCAGATCGGTATTTTATAGCTTTGTCAACTGAGATAACTGCCACACAAAGCCAATATAAAATCAATTCTATCCAACCAAGCCAGTTTACAAGCATTTGGCTTCCTGGAAGAGTTGTTTACCAGCTCTATGGCAGGAAATTAAAAATTATCAAGACAAAAGAAAGCCCTCATGTCCCAAGTACCTCTCTTATCTCTCTTTATGCTTTTTCTTTATTCATTCTTGTTCTCTTCCATCTGTATGTACACTGACCCCTTCTTGTTCAGTCTTTTCTTCTTGTACTTTCCTTTCATTCTGTATTTTCCCATCTTGCTCAGGTATTTCTCCTCTGGTCTCCTCTCCTATTCTGCTATCCATAGGCTCTTTTGCTAATCCTCCTCAGAATATATTTCCCTCAGCATTTACTAAAGAGTCAATTCTTTCTCATTCTTTTTCATCCTTGCATACTGCTCCAGCCGCATTTTTAACAAAACAACCTCTCCTGATGCCTGGATCTCAGTCTGGACCCAAGCCTGAACAACAACCTCTTAGGTATTCAGAACTCAGTGTTTCCCTGGGTGAGTGTCAACTAGCTGTGATTTGGAAAGAAAGTTTCCAGGCTTTCTGGCTCTTCAGGACAGCTGTTATTTCCCATGAAACCACAGGCAGCTTTAGTCGAGTCAGATATTTGAGTTAATGTACTTGGTATGAAGACTCCTGTTGAACCCTAAAACCAGAGTTTGTAGCAACAGAGGTTATGTTCTCAGACCGTTGCAAAACCAAAATTTAGGTTATTGTGTGAATCAGCAGAGATGTGTAAATATTGAGAGAATATTTTTTTTTTTTTTTTGCCAAACAGGATGTTTGAGCTATGTGTTATGAACACAATTCTATTCAGACAGCAGTATTTTAAAGATAGCCTTACTCCTTAGAAAGGTTTTATTATTTTCACTTGAGGTATATACATATATACACACACTATTGGATAATAGTATAACATCTTGGATACTAGTATCAGATATAAATAATAATATACTACATATATAAACTATATATACATATATTTATATATAGCATCTATATAGTATATATGTGTATATATATAGTATATATGTAATAGTGTGTGTGTATATATATATACGCTTTATTGTTAGAAGGGGAAGTATGAAGATAACCTCTGTACTATATCTAAAATTGTGGGATGAATAATGTATATTTCTATGTATTTTCTCAGAATTGAAGATAATGAATTTCCAAGCATTTTTCTAAAAGTCTAAATTTAGATGTTAGAAAAGGAAGGGTAGTAACACTAATCACTCTATACCATGTGTGGGTTCCTCTGCAGAGTGTGGATTATGCCCTGGCATTATCCCTGTCTGTCCCAACTGCTGGGAGGCAGAAATTGGTGAATTCTGTTGGGTGATTTCTGCACAAATGTTTTTCTCCCATTTTTGTGCTGGCTCCATACTACATGAACAGTGGATCATTAGCACAGCTAGATGTGTCAATTTTATGTAAGTCTGAGCAATTCATTTCAAGATTATGATATCATTATAAAGCAAGTAAAACATTGAGACTGTTACTGAATATGTTTCTTTTCTATTTATTTATTTATTTTTGTTTGTGTGTGTGAGACAGAGATAGGGAAAGAGAGAGAGATAGAGACAGAGACAGAGAGAGAGAGAGAGAGAGAGAGAGAGAGAGAGAGTGAGAGAGAGAGAGACTCTCCCTCTATTGTCCAGGCTAAAATGCAGTGGTGTGACTCACATTAGCCTCAAACTCCCAATATTAAGGGATGCTCCCACCTCAGCCATCTGAGTACCTGGGACCGCAGGCACACGCTACTGCATCTGGATAATTTTGTTGTTGTTGTTCTTGCTGTTGGTAAGGAAAAATTCTCATCATGTTGACCAATTGGTCTCAAATGATCCTTGAAAATAGTTTCTAAAGTACTATTTGCAACTGAGTGCTTACCTGGACTTCATGTGATTCACGTGAACTCCAGGGTTTTTTCACACTGAAATGTGGAAATAATAAGATTTTTTCCTTGATTTTTTTTTCCCCCAAAAAAATGCAGAAGCCCTGGCTGTGGTCCGAGTGGGGCTTATTGACCTCCAGGATCCTGCCCAAGCTGAGATTGTAACCTTTGAGCATGCCATGCCCTATTTAGGTCCCAAGGGACCTCTAGGACCTGGGTTGATCTTCCTGAAGCAACCACTACATTTTCAACCCAGGTTCCTTCCTATACGCCTGGAGCAATGTCTGGAACAAGAGAAAATATACAACTATATGACTGTTGGCTATGTAGTTGGTCCCTTATGAGGGGGTGACTAAAGAAGAAGACACTGGAATGAAAGAGAAGCATGTTTAGGAAGAGAATAGTATCCTCTCATGAATAATAAAAGATTTGTCTTTCCCTTCACCATACTTCTCCCTCTAATGTGGGCTAAAATTTGAAGACAAACACAAACACCTCTTCTCTGTTTTCTATCAGAAAGTCCTGGAATTGTGCAAAAACGGCACCTGAGCATCCTACAAGTCAGCACTTGTGCCCAATTTTGGCTCAAGCTGAATGAACTCACTTTCTGGGTGGAGGCCAAGAAAGCCATGTGGATGGCTGACTATCAGGTGACAAATTCATGGGGTATAAATATCAGGGAGAAAGAGGAATATCTTGAAAACCAAAAGTTACTTCTGGCCCTCCTTTAAAATATTGTTTGATATCTTGCCTCTTGTTTCTTGCAAGGTGACTTGGGAGCACCTTTCGTATGCCATCTACAGCAAGAGGACACTTGGGTGCAAGTGGGAATCTTGAGTCACTTTGAGGACCATTGCACAAAGCCCTAGGTCTTCAGCCAAGTGCACCCTTTCCTTTTCTGACTCCAGGGAGTGACACAGTCTAGCTATGCTCCCTGGTACAAGCAAGGGCCCATGACTACCTCTGCTTCTATGTCCCATTCAGTCTCTACCTCTACAAATGCTTCAGCTTTTACCTCCACCCCTGCTTCTCTTTGGCCACACTTCTCTCTGCCACAGCCTCAGAGTAAGGCTCAAAAACTTGGTAGAGGTAATAAAGGAAGAAGAGAATGGAATTAGAAAAGAAGAGAGGGAAGCAGAGAGGAAAGAAAGCTCTTCCTGTAAAATATATGAGTTTTTTATCTACCAAATCACAGAAATTATTTTTATCGTGGTTTACAAAGGTATTTCACACTTGATCTATGATTCAATTTCCATTGTATCCCTGTATGATATAGATTACTGTATAATATAGGTCATGAAACATGATTACTATAGTTATGTTAATTGCTTACTCTTATACTAGATAAGTAGAATGGATTGTTCAAGTTCTTATGGCAAAAGATGAATAGGACTAACATTAAGACACACTCTCCTAACACAAAGTCATTTCTACCACACAGTATCTTACATGTGTAATAGAATTATTTTGAATTGAATATATTTTAAGTTAAAGACATTATGATGTTTGGAAACAGCATAGCAGTTGGTAAGTAATGTGTTTTAGGTGCTGGTGTACTAGACTGTATTACATTGTGATTATCAGTTTCCTCCTTCCCTTGGCTATCAGAAAACCTATCACAATATTAGCAATGGCTATTTCACATTACTGTACTTCCACTTATTTCCTTAGAAACTGAGGGATCTCTTTTGGTGTCATGTACTAAATGTGCACTTAACCACAGCTATATTATAGCTAACACCTATTGTCATAGCTACAGTGAATAACACATTAAAACACAAAGGAGGCCACAATTATTTGCTCACATTCTGCAAAGTCTGATTCAAAGACAACTACACTTAAGATCATAGTTATGCTTCTAATTTCATCTATATTTCCTCACCTCTTCTAGAGAGAGCCTATCTTCATCGTTTTTATATCTGTAATATGTGCATTAACTGGCATTGCTTCAACTCAGTTTTCTGAGAAACTCTCAAATGTTTTTTAAAATATGAGCTATTTCCTTAACCCCAAACTTGAATGTTCTATTTAAACTGTCATTCTGATATCACACTAAGATTGTAAGTTCAGGAAGATAAGCTCCCTCCAATTTAGAGACAGGAGCCTTATCTCCAAATTTTTCCTTGTTTATCTAATATCTCCAAATCAAATAATTTTTTGTTGCCCATCTACTTTGATAACTTTTAAGTAGCTAAAATCATAGCTATGTAAAGGTTGCAATGGGGAGAAAGCTGGAATGACTCCCAGTACTTTGACTGAAGAAATTTAAGTTAGGACATAAAGAAACTGTGAACTTAGAAAAATAGTAAAAGGAAAACTTTTTTTTTTTTTCAGAAAAATGTAAAAACAAAAACAAAGGAAAAACAGAAAAGAGGTAGAAGTTTGTGTTTGCTAGTCATATTTAACAATGCTGACCTGGTTAGCAGAAATAGGAGGGATCTAAATTTTTTTTTAAATGGTCTACATGTGGCAATTCTATTCAAATTAATTGTGTGAATTTTCCCCTTGGCTTTGGCAGATCAGATTTATCTGCGATATGCCATGCCTTGGAAGGCTGTCATCATCATCTGTGGGAGTCAGATCTGCAGTGGTTCCATAGTTGGCAGCTCTTGGATTCTCACAGCTGCCCACTGTGTCAGGAACATGTAAGTTTGTGCCTGCCTCTTCCCATGTCCTATAATTCATTATCCCATAATTACATTGCTGGAAGTTTATCTGTCCAAATTCACTTCTATAATGCATGACCATCTCACTTATACAATAACTTTTTTGTTTTAGGCTAAAAAGAAATTGCCTCACTGTGTTTGGCTTATTAGTACCTCTGTTAGTTATCTCCTCTGCAACCCCATTGTCTGTGGACTCTTTATTCATAGATTTCTGATTTCAATGAAGATGAGCTAGGAACCTTGTGTATCATGACAAAAGCGATATTCCGGAAAGCCTGATGTAGGTTTAAGGTTCAGGTTTTCTAATGATTGTACTGTAATAAATCTTTGCCTATGCACTCAGGGATCCTGAAGACACTGCTGTGATACTGGGCCTGAGGCACCCTGAGGCACCACTGAGAGTTGTGAAGGTGTCTACCATTCTACTGCATGACAGATTCTGGTTGGTGACTGAGGCAGCAAGAAATATTCTGGAATTGCTACTCCTCCACGATGTCCAGACTCCCATTTGGCTCTTATCACTCTTGGGCTATCTGAGGAACCTGAATAGTTCAGAATGCTGGCTCTCTAGGCCACATATTGTTACACCAGGTCAGTGGTTATTTTTCTTATTAGCGTAGTTGTTCTAAAAAAATGAGGTTCATATTTTTAATATTATGATTCAAGGCATAAGTGTAATCACATTTGTATACATTATTAATTATAAGATATTTAATCCACATCAGAGACCCACTAGGAGATTTGTTTTTGTTTTATAAGATGATGGTTCTGATGATGACTTCACAGGATTTTAGATCTAACAAAAATTATATGAGGAACTTTCTCTGTACAGTCCAGATTTGTAAAGCAAGGTAGAGATGACTTCCTTCCCAACTCTTTTCTCACTTCGGTACAAAGGAAAAAGAAGGGTTTTGTATTGTTTTGTTTCATTTTTACTTCTTTATGAAAATGTAGCTTAACTTGACTTGGAATTTTGAATTTCAAAGGTAAAAATTGACTTGTTAATTTTGCAGAGTAGAATTTAAAATGTTATTAAAAAGTGACAAGTCTGTCTTCATTGACTCACCCCGGTAATTCCAGCAATGTGGGAGCTTAAACTAAGAGGACACTTTGAGTCCAGGAATTTGATACCAGCTTCAGCAATATAGCAGGACTTCATCACTAAACACGTAAACAAAAACAAAGCCTGGTTGATGTTGCACACAGGTAGTCCCAGCTATGTGGGAGGCTGAGGCAGGACGATGGCTTGAGCCCAGAGGTCGAGGCTGCAGTAAGTGAAGATTGTGCCAATGCACTCCAGCCTGGGTGACCAAAGAAGAACTTGTCTCAAACAAACAAACAAACAAAAAAAGGCCAGACATGGTGGCTCACGCATGTAATCCCAGCACTTTGAGAGGCTGAGGTGGTGGATCACCTGAGGTCAGGTGTTCAAGACCAATCTGACCATCATGGGGAAACACCATCTCTATTAAAAATACAAAATTAGCCAGGAGTTGTGGTGTGTGCCTGTAATCCCAGCTACTCAAGAGACTGATGCAGGAGAACTGCTTGAATCCTGGAGGCAGAGGTTGCAGTGAGCTGAGATCAGGCCGCTGTACTCCAGCCTGGGTGACAGAGTGAAACTCTACCTTAAAAAAGAAAAGAAAAGTGACCAAAAAGATAATGAAATAGAAAAATTGTGTGATGTAAAATGTTAATGGTGATGAAATGAACTGAATTTCTGTGTAAAAGTTATAGATACAAGTTTAAAGTAATGACGAGACAGAAGTGATGAGACAAATCGTAGTCTTATCTTAATACTTAGGGTTTAAATTTAACATATATTCTTAAGGATATAGTCCATTTGTCTTTCTAGGAGGGACCAATGACAATCCAGAAATGTTAGGCGCAAGTGATGAAAGCTTCCAGCTGTGCCCACCTGTACCCTGACATAGGCAGTTCCATTGTTTGCTTCATTACTCAGGACAAAAACTCTGATGAAATTGTGGTACATCATCAATTTTTTTCTTACTACATGATAGAAACTATAACTTTGTTCCTATACAAAGGGGTGTATACTGCATATGCCTAAATGATAAATATAAGTGAATTATTGATCAGTAGGAAACCATTTTAAAATTCTTTAATTACAGAACAAAGTCTCTAAAAAAAATCTGTTTTTAATCTCTGAGTTTTCTTACATACGATTTCAATCTCTAGCCATACTGTATAGCTATTATGCTGCTGTACACACAAATCAGACATTCTATATTATTCTCTTATTCTAATAATAGTATCTTTACACCTCAGAGTTTAAAACGAGTCTCACCTTTTTCTATTTCCCCAATTAAAATAACTTTTTAACATTTAATCTTCAGTGATTTTTTGTAGTAATATTTTTGAAGGTATTTCATCAGGATGATTTATTATGCACTTATCTGATGTCTCCTTTTCTTCTGAATACATGTTTTAATATCTACTTATTAAATCTATGATTAATAATTTGGAATAGGGATTTAAATCCAAATTCTATGTTGGAATTTACAGGAGTCAGTGAGCCTACGAAAAGCATTTATGTGCAGACCAGTATCTGACAATGGCAGTTGGAGACAAATAGGCTTCACCAGTCTCAAAGCCCTAGCTACTACAGTGAGTCCACATTTGTCCTGGATATTATCTACTTCAGCAAAAGAAGGTCACTCAATAAACCAGGCCCTTGTGCCTTGGGTAGAAACTCCGAACTCCTCTAGTCTCCTTAAACAACCAACCACACTGCCACTTTCCTCAATAATAATTACGGCAGCCCAGGGACTTTGGTAGCCTAGTGACTATAACTACTGATGCCACAGTCTGGTCACAGTATGATAAAACGCCAGAGCATCAACAAGGAAAATTTTGACTTAGCCTTCCAAAATCTATCTAAATATACCTTCAATAAATATGGCTTTTCTTCGTAATAACTGCTTTCTACTACTTCCTGAACTAATGCATGGCCTTGGATTGTTTTCATTCTTGAAAATGATTCAAAAGTTCATATTTAACATGAACGTGAATGCAGGATTTTATTTATCAGCAAAAAAAATTTTCAAAATGATGCGAAATACAAATGTGGAATTGTATTTGTGAATATTAGTCTTTCAAATTATATTTTTATCCCAACTAACTCACACAATGTTTTGTAACTATCTGCATATTCTCCTCAGGTGGGGGAAAAACAGTATCAGAGTTCTTGAAGAATTTATGAAAAAGAAAATGACAATACTATACAAGGTTTAACCTATTCACAATACTGTATTTAGTGAATGAAAACATTACTTTTAAAATCCTACTTAAGTATTGAGTAAATAAATAAAGCATATTATTTCAATAACTCTAAAATACGTGTTCACGAAGACAATACAACAAGGGTTAAAATACATAAACAAACAAATGAGGCCGGGCATCATGGCTTGCACCTGTAAGCCCAGCATTTTAAGAGGCCAAGGCGGGCAGATCGCTTGAGGTCAGGAGTTTGAGACCAGCATGGCAAATATGGTGAAACCTCATGTCAACTAAAAATACAAAAATCAGCTGGACATGGTGGCATGCGCCTGTAATCACACCTCCTTGGGAAGGCTGAGGCAGCGGAATCGCTTGAAGCTGGGAGGCTAAAGTTGAGGTGAGCTGAGATCATGACACTTCCCTCCTGCCTGGGTTACAGAGCCAGACTCTGTCTCAACACACACACACACACATACACACACACACAAATCTAAAAAAATGGAAAAAAAAATCTGTACTAGAAAAAGAGCTCACAGGCAAACTCACATATCTAACAGGAAAAAAATGTCCTTTAAACAAAGGTGGCACAAGAGGCAAATTTAAAAAAAACAAATGTATCAGCTTGCATATAAAGTACAAATAATATACTGAAGAGAACCACAAGGGGAAAAAAATCAAAATTTATAAGTATGTACTCTAAAAGAAGCTGAAAGTCACTTAAAAATTTTCTGGATTCTATGTCTCTATATTGCAAAAATGATCATAATATTTGCAGGAGCAGAACAATCAAAATCTATCTTAAAACTCAGTAAGCACTTCAAGTCTCACATAAGAATTGTAACAGAAAATGGATGTGTCTGCAGTATTTCCACACAAATCTGAACAAACACTATTTCTTCATACTCTTTGTTTCACTATTCTAAGAAAATAACCTCCATATTAATATTAGGTGATGCGACAAAGCAGGTCTTCATCATGATAAGCAACACTGGGTGTCCACACCAGTACCCAAGTGGGTCTTAATTCCCGGCCAGTTTCCCTCCCTGGGCACATACCAGAGGAGTCAGCCATTTTGCAGTCTCTTCACATTTCCTCCTCTGAGCCCAATGTGGTCCTCCAGATTCTCTGTGTAGTGGCCTCTTTTGTCTGGGTAGCAGGGAAGTGTGAGTGAAGACGGCAGAAAGGAGAAATCACGTCAGGGGAGCCTGGGTTCATCGTAACCGAAAATGATGGGCCTGGGAGAGCCATTCTGGGAGGACGCAGACCTAGACAGGCCTTGGGGGGACATCTGCATGGAGGGTGAGAGGGCCCTGGTTGAGCCCAAACTGAGCCCCAAGTGTTAGTCAGCCTCAGGGTGGGGAAGGGAGCCAACTAGAGATGTTGAGCAAGTTATCCCTTAAGACTTGCTTCTCACCCACTGACCTTAGACACTTATGCCTCTCAGGTGACTTAAGGTGCCCTAATCCTGAAATGTGAGTGTTACAGTTCCCTGAAGTCCGTTTCTCCTTCAGCCCATGGATGGCCTGGGATTGCTCACTGCAGTCTCTTCCCTGAAGCTTGGGTTCTCCTAACCTGACCTCCTCTCTGTTCCCTCTCTAATGGCCTCCCTCCCTCGGGAAGTACTGAAGGGGATTGAGCCACAGGCCCTGGCTGATGATCTGGGGGACTGAAGAAGGGGGTACAGGACAGGTCAGGTCATGGCTCAAAGCCAGTTCCCCAGAGGCCAAGGAATGACCAGCAAGGTTTTTCCCATGATGCCCCACCGTGGCACCCATCTCAGCAATCCTGCCGGGACCTGGGTAGCCAGGGGCAACCAACCAGCTGAAGAAGGTCAGATGTAGGTGTACTGCCTGCAGCTGGAGGCTTGACCTTCATGATCCCACAACCACTGGACTGCAGTGGAATGAGACACCCTGTTTCTTGGAGGGATAGGAATCAGGAAGGTTCATGCCAGACATACCCTCCCACACACAACCTCCCCTACCTTGCTGGGAGGCACTCCTTACCAAGGATGCCAACGCAGTACTCCTGAATGATCACTTCATTGTGGAAGTAAAGGCTGTTACAAAAGGAAACCTTCATCCTGATGCCAGTACCTGGGGTGGCTGAGTTCCTCCATCTACCTGGTCAAGAAGGAGAAACAGGATGGACTCAAAGGACCATTTCATGTAGCTGGACTGAAGTGGCCTGCTAGCTGGAGTGAAGCATGTGTTTCCCCTTCTCAGCTGTCCTGCTTAGACACCCCTGGGCCCCAGGGGGACCGCAACCTCACCCAGGCACTGGACCACTCCCACAGATTCAGGCTCAGCAGCCTAACCTGCAAATCCATCATGTAGCTCAGCAGGACTTCATCATTTGTGACCCTGGTCCATATCTGGGCCCAAGTCTTGAGCACCATGTGTTTCTGGGGTAAGCCTGCTGGACACAGGCACAGGGAATAGGGGTAGTTCCATGGCTGGCATGGGCATAGAGACTCCCCTTCCTCCAGGGACTTTCCCAGGGAAATGTGCCCTTCGACTTTCTGCAGTGCATAAAGGGTCCTTTGCGCTCCTATTCTCTCTTGTGAGTGCTGTGCTTTGCTTCCTGTCCCTACTCTACGTGCTCTCAGGGCAACTGCAAGCAAGCTGCCCTCCTATCTGCAGAAGTCTGGCCTCTGCTCCCTTCATTGTTCCTCATCCCCTGACTCCTGGATGACCTCCAGTGCCTACCAGCTGGCTCCCCGCAACCCTGCTCCTGGGACCTAGGCGCCCACCCCCTGCTGCCAGCCATCCCGAATTAGCAGCTGCGAAGACATGGCTCTGGCCCGGAAACCGGGGATGCCCTGTGGCTTGAGGCATTTACAAAGCCCAGCTGCAAATGATGGACCTCCAGCGAGTCCGTTGCGGGCCGGGGCATACTGGGGCCAGGGCCCGGCTCTGCCAGTGGTCCTCCTGCTGCTGCTCCACGTCGGCCTCTTCCTTGGCCACCACTTCCACTTCTGTCGTGATGTCATTTACCAGGAGCACGCCTCTTCCCCCCAGGCCGCCCTCTCCCGCAGAGCCTCCAGACTTAACACGGTGCCCTCCTAGGGCTCCCACAGACCAAGGTCTGAGCCGCCCACCCCACGCCCCTGGCACCCCTAGACTCTGGGGGCCGCTCCTCGAGAGGCCCGGGGGCCTCGCCTAGCTGAGAATCACGGTCTCACACCTACGTGGACCCAGGATTCCTGGGGAGTCCCGCAGGGCCCACAGTCCGCCGCAGTCACCATGAGGTCCAGATTCCCTGCATGGTTAGCTGCATACAGGAGCCATAGGCAGAGGCCCTGGACTTCCAGAGCCCCGCTAGCAGGCACCGCGGCCGGTGGGTGCTGCACTCACAGCAGCCTCTGCGCCACCAAGGCAGTGAACACAGGTCATTGGATGGGCGACCACGGCAGCTTGTCTCTGGTGTGCCCAGGGCATAGGACAAGAGATCCTTTGGAATACCCCTGGGAGTGCAACATCCTAGGGAGGATGCATGGAACTTGGAGTCTGTATTTCCCTAGATCTGAAAGAGTCCTTGCGGGGTTTTGAATTCCGGTGCTGACGAATTCCACCCCAGGAAGGTGCCAGATGACTTTCCTCCCAGATGCCCCCTCGGCCCCACTCCCCGAAAACCACCGCCGCTGCCCTTGCCCCAGCAGGCAGGACTAGACCCTCTCTCTTGCCTCTGGATCTCCAATATTCAGTACCATCAGCCTAGCCTGCCTAATGAAGTGAGATGTTTCATGTGTTCCCTGTGAGTCAATGGCTTGCGGCACTCAGGATGCCAGTTAGGGTATAGGTCTTCCATGTCACAATTCCAAAGGGCTCACAGTCTGCGTGTGCCTGAACCCACCACCACCTTGCACAAGCATCTTCTCAGAGGAGGACTACCGCGGGAGGATGGAGCTGCAGGCCACCCAGGGGAGGGGCTCCTCAGGAGACGCCTACCGCTCTTGCAATAATTGGCAGATGCCCACTGCCTTCCCAATGATTGGCTGGAGGTAGGCGTGATTTCCGGGCATGGCTTCCCACTCAGGCCAGCTGCAGCGGTCTTTCCTGCAGTTGGCCCTGTGGTGTCCCGAAGCCGGATGCATACGACCTGAGTGACGGGAGACCCTGAGGCTGTTTGTCCTCCTGAAAAGCACCTGTATTTTCTGTTTCTCTGGACAGGTTGGTCTCTCGGCAAGACTAGAAAGCAAAGGTTTGGGATTTTGTCTATAAAAGCGAATGGGCTTTCTATATGTGGGCTTGAATTAAGGGAGGAGACAGTGGGGAGAGAACTCCTTAGTGCTCTAAAGAAACTCATTTTTGTTAAACTCTTTGATTTTTCTTGAAGATTCTACCTTTAACTGTCGGACATATCTGACATGTGGGCAAGTTCTGGGAGATGGTGCTAAGGCGCCATTGTTTTCATGGGCACTTTTTATTAAAGCAGTTTTTCTCTGTGAATGTCGTCATAATTCAAAATACAGGCAACATACTTAACCACTGCGATTAAAAACCCGTACTTTAGTCAGCACATGTCACATATGTGATTTGCTTGGCGGGAATTATCAAATTTTGACGTATTTTAGTGTATGTAGAAGTCTGGGGCCATAAATAACCTCGGTTTAAATTTGCCTCTGTAAAGCCTGTAATTGTCTCCTTCCTTGTATGACAGTATTTGAAACATGTTTCATGTATCTGTGGCACCTAAGTAATTTAAACCGAATAAGTGGGTGTAATGGAGTTAAATGGAGTTGGATAGACTTAAACGAAAACAAAATAAATCTGCTTGTTATTCTACTATCTTCACACACTGACTTACTTTTGTAATCCTAGCATTTTGGGAAGTGCAGGTAGGAGGATGGCTTGAGGTCAGGAGTTGGAGACCAGCCTGAATAACATAATGGGCTCCTTTACTCTATTGCCATTTTCGCACCAGGGACCGGTTGGTGGAAGACAATGTTTCCTCAGACAAGTGTTGCCCAGCGGAAGAAGGCAGTGAGATGGACACGTTTAGGGGTACGGGCTGGCGGCAGGGCCCCGAGGGGCACGTGGTGGGGCGGGGCTTCTGGTGGAAGAGGTGTGAGAGGGGGCAGGTGGGGCAGTGGGGCTGTCACCGGGACAGGGTGGGGCAGGAGGGGTGGGAGGCGGCTAGGGAGGTTTCCGGATGAAACTGTGCCACCTCAGGTCATCCTCAGGCGTTACATTCTCCACAGACAGGTATTACAGGTTATCCTCAGGCATTACATTCAGGCCACAGACAGGTATGGCGTGAAGGCCAGTGTTTGGGGATCCTTGATCTATTATATATTTCAAATCACTAAAAGATGCTAAAATACTTAAAATGATCTCCCCCTAGAACATTTTAATTAGCTTGATTTAATCTTTCATACAAATATCACGCTGGGTGTGGCGGTTCACACTTGAAATCCCATCACTTTGGTAGTCCCAGGCCAGTGGACTGCTTGAGCCCAGGAGTTGGAGACCAGTTTGGGCAATATAAGGAAAACCATGTCTATTTAAAAACAAACAAACAAACAAAAAAAACACACACACACAAAAATTGCCCAGCCAGCTACTTGGGAAGCTGAAGCGTGGGAGGATCAGTTGAGTCTGGGTGGAGGAGGCTGTAGTGAGCAGTGCACTTTAGCAACAGGAGATATACATCTCAAGAAAAAAAAATACACAAAACATCACACCATACCTCATAAATATATAGTTTTCAAATAAAATTATTTAACTGGGAGCATCCTTCATATTGCAACTTAGGAAAATTACAGTAGCTTTTCTTATCTAATTTTTATAAATTAGATTTTGTCACCTACATAATAAAATGCAGCATTTGTCCATGAAGTCAGTGCCCCTTTTGCTCTGTATGTTATGAATTTTACATATTTAAACTAAGAAATACTAAAAAGATGTTAGCCTCTGGAAGGGACTTTTACTTGAATTTCCAACACAGTATGTAATAAAATTTTATCTTTTTAGTTTGTCTATTTTTATCTAATATAGATTTTTTTTAACCATTTACAGCACAATGGTAGAAGCAGATTGTCATGGCAAGCTTTTCATTGGTGGCCTCAATAGAGAAGCCAATGAAAAGGTGCTTAAAGAAGTATTTGCAAAACATGGTCCCCTTTTGGAAGGTAACTCTTAAAGCCATGTGTTTTGTGTGTGTGCGTGTCTCTGTTTGTGTGTATTTTCGTATGTATATTTCAATATGTTATTTAAAATATGTAGGTTATGTATGTATTTTAAAGTATGTATTTTTCAAAGTTCATTGTATACATACATTAAAACGCCTTGTGATTTGTAAACTCTTATTTTGAAGTATCTATCTGATATTTGGAAAATTCTCATAGCAGCAGGTGAAGGGTAAGAATCACTTACTGCTTAGAAAGGAAAATGAGGAAAAGTAAATGTGTTATGGAGTTAGGGAACAAACTGGAATAAAATAGGCTGACTATAGGGGTGACTTAGTATTAAGAATCATAGTAGTGATGTGAAATGCAGTTATTTTTTGGTTTGATGTAACTTTCAGATGGTTAGTAACTTGGTGAGTCCATTCTATAAATATAAAATGTTTTTATGTATCTTAGTTCTTTTGATAAAAGGTCGAACCAGTAAGTCCAGAGATTTTGTGGTCATTATTTTTGAGAATGCTGCAGATGCTAAGAATGCTGCCAGAGATATGAATGGAAAGGTAAGAGTCCCTTATTAATAATACTCTAATTCTGGTTTTCAGTTAACAGTATTTCTAGGTCTTTTTAGTATAACTAAAGTGTTGAAGATAGTAGAATGCCATATGGACTGAAATGCTTTAGCCATCGTCTTCTTTGTGCCATACACATGCAAGTGTATTTGGAAGGGTACTGCAATTAACATTACATAAATTAATATATGGTAACTTTTTTTCTATTTTTGTATTTCAATATGGGTGTAAATAGATTTTCAAAGGTTTCCAAGAGCATTAAAACCTAGAAGGAACCCTCCTCTAAATGAAAGGACTAAGTTAACATTTTTTAAATGCTATCAGTGGAATTACTTCCAATTCATGGAAATACTTCTATAGCATATACAAACTGTGGATAGACATCTAGACAGACTCACAGGAAGGAAAGATTCTCTCCCATTTTCTGCAAATATATTCTTGAGAAAGTACATTTAAATAAGACCTTCACATTTAAGGATGTGTTAAGTACTTGAAAATAGAAAACAATATCAGAACATTGAAGTTGGACAACAGAAGAAGTAACTGGCATTTTTTGCCCCATCCTTGCTCTTTTCTCCTAAGGATGTTTTTTTTCCTGTCACCAGAGTGATTTATGTAACATGAATACCTAATTGCTCATTTTCCCAATGTGTTTGAGAACGTGTTTTGATCAAACCAATGGTCTCTTGTCCAATTGAGTCTTAAATCTAGGGATTGTGTGTTTACTAAAGCTTTAAAATTTTATGTAATTCTATTAACTATTGAATTCCTTTACATTCTAGTCAAGATCATTCCATTCTGGGCCCTTTAGAGCTTTTCTGCTTTCTAACATTATCCAAATCTGTTTTTCTGCTTTATAACATTATCCAAATCTGTTTTTAGCTCCTGTCACTCTTTATGGTACCCCTAAAATGATTTTTTGGACTTTTTGACAATTATTCTTTCCTATGTATGTCTCAGAAATAACAATTCATCCTTCAAAAACAACTTCAATTTTCTATTTTCTTCCTCGTTGCAAATCGTAGATATTTTATACTCACTGTACCATGTATTAATCTATTGATGGTTAAATTGTCTACAGTGCATATTTAAGGCTTCCTAGTTGCTTTTATTTTTGTTGCATCTAGTAGAGTTGCTGACACATAGCAGAAAGTACATTTTTATTCACTCTTATAAATTAGTATTTTAAGCTGTGGTAGAAACCCAGAGTAAATTTGTGGTAGTTGTGGAGATAATTTTTACTTACGTATAGTAATCTATGATAATTTCCTTTTCCCCCCTAGTTTTCAAGCACAAGAGCAGGCAATTTGCATAGATTTTTTGCTTGTTTGGTTTTTTTGTTTTTTAAGACGGAGTCTCACAGTGTTGCCAGGCTGGATTGCAGTGGGACGATCTCGGCTCACTGCTACCTCCCCCTCCCGGGTTCAAGCAATTCTCTGCCTCAGCCTCCCAAGTAGCAGGGACTACAGGCACATGCCACCACGCCCAGCTAATTTTTGCAGTTTTAGTAGAGACTGGGTTTCACCCAGTTGGCCAGGATGATCCCTATCTCTTCACCTCATGATCCACCCGCCTTGGCCTCCCAAAGTGTTAGGATTACAGGCATGAGCCTCTGCGCCCAGCCAATGTTATTTCTGAATTACTTCATCTCACATATTTTATTGTGTAAACATAAATATGAAGTTATATGCACATAAATGTTAAGACGGCCAACAAAGGAGGTTCTTAGAGTTATCAGGGGCAATTAACAGTTTAAGGAATTTTGACTGACTTTGAAACACTGGGAAGGAAGCAGCCATGCGCAAATCTGGGGAAAATATTTTGGGCCCAGAAATAACAGCAGAAGTTTCAAGGTAGGAACAACTGGCAATTTGGCTGCAAGAGGTCTTGTAAGGGATTTAAGATCTTCCCCCAAATAACAAAAAACATGTAATTTTAAAATAGAGTTATTTATTATCTGAACTGTTTTCAAAAATTACTTTGGCCTATAGAAAAGATCATACTGAAAAATGTTACTGTGAAATTAATTAGCACATTTAAGCATTTCTGAGAAACAACATGAAGTACTATATTAAGAGTCATTTTTTAGGGGCACGTCTAAGGCAAAATAAGAAATGAATAAGGCAAGAAACCTTAATGAGATCAAACAAGGATCACATTTACAGAAACGTTTCTAGAGTAAATATAAAATTATAAATCATATGGGGATATTTTACGTAAGTGTTAGCAGATCAAACAAGAAACAACTCATATGACTAATGTGACTAATCATTTTGAATAAGTAACCTCATTTTTTTAAATGACACAAGTTTCCTTGGGACACTGAAACTTTTAAATCAGTGATGCGAATACAAAGATGAAGTGGATGATATATTGTAAAAAAAAGACATGCCACATTCTTCCATAGAATGTGTGATGGGTTAATCTTTTTTGTTTGAGGTGTTTTTTTTTTTTTAATAATTGAGGAGTTTTCAAGGAATTTGAATAATAGAATTTGTGTTTGATCCCTTAATGGAAGGCGTGTGTTCAGTAAATGTCTCAAATTTGGTATTGTGAAAGACGTGTTCATTTTAGGAGGAAAAAAATTTGCTTTGGGAGAAAATATCTAGAATTGAACTATAGTTGATGTAGAAATGTTTGTAAAATGTGCTTAGGTTTAATCTTGCCAACGTTATTGATAGTACTCTTAATACTTTTAGTCTTTGGATGGAAAAGAAATAAAAGTAGAACAAGCAAAGAAACCATCTTTTCCAAGTGGTGGTAGGCGGAGACCACCACCTTCTTCAAGAAACAGAAGCCCTTCAGGAAGTCTGAGATCTGCAAGAGGAAGTAGTGGAGGAACAAGACCGTGGCTGCCCTCACATGAAGGACACTTGGGTAATGTTCTAAAATATAAAGATGGAACCATAGGACTGAAAGAAAATAAGTTTGAAGATATCAAAATTTCCCAATTTTATTTATTTTGGGAAATTTACTTATTGGTAAGAAGTAATTTTCTTATTGATAAGAAAATTAACTTATTGATAAGAAGCAAAATTATTTCTAAGTACTAAAGGTGTATTATAAGAATGATTGCACTAATATCTAAAATTTGTTTTAAAATTGTAATAAGTTTGCATTGAAATAACACAAATTTCAAACTGAATTGAGTTTATGAATGCTGATTGCCTGTACTCAACAGGTTTTCTGAAGAACTCATTTATATTAATTATACTTCATAGAGTTTTCTACTTTGGGGCCCAGAACTTCATATCGGTTGTATTATCAAAATACAATGGAATATTTAAAACTTTCCAACAGGAAAAAAAGTAATTCAGTACTTAGGATTGATTTTCCAATATTTGTTTTTTTTTGTGTATACATGTGCAAACATGTATGCAAATCTATTGCTTTGTAATTTTCATATGGAGAGTTTGTACATTGGCCTGCCATAAAGCATTTTCAATTTAAGAAACGTAGAACTTTAATTTCTAAAAAAAGTCTATGACTCTGGAAAGGACAAAACACCACTGCTTCACAGATATGTATGTATCTTTCTTGCTGGAAGGTGAGTCACTGAAAATGGTATTTATGAGTGATTTACACAGTAGAAATGAGGGGTCAATTTCTACATAAAAAAGAAAAACAAACTATGTATTTAAAAATATATATATATATTGGATGGGGGTGGGCGAGGTGGGTCACGCCTGTCATCTCAGCACTTGGGGAGTATGGGGTGGGTGGACCACGAGGTCAGGAGTTCCAGACCAGCCTGGCAACCATGGTGCAAACTGTCTGTCCTAAAAATACAAAAAATTAGCTTGGCATGGTGGCACATACTTCTAATCTTAGCTACTCGGGAGGCTGAGGCAGGAGAATCACTGGAACCTGGGAGGGAGAAGCTGCAGTGAGCTGACATAATGCCATTGTACTCCCACCTGGGCAATAGGGCAAGAGTCCATCTCAATCAATCAATCAATCAATCAACCTATTGGTTAACATATTATCTATTAACCAACCTTCAAAAATCGATCTTTAATTTTGTGTTTTAATGACCAGATGTGTAATTAATTGGAGATGTGTTTTTAAAGTTGAAATTGCAGTGTTTGCTGCATTTTACGATGCATAGCTTCATGGTAATTTTGTCTCCACTGATCTTGAGGGTGAGATTCAATAATACTCTGCCATGTATGAGAATGTGCGTACTCTAACCTGTAACACCACCTAGTAATTGGCATATATCTACAGATTTGTAGATATATAAATATTTTTATATTATTTAATAAGCAATTCTTAAAGATTATTAAAATTTAGCATAGTCTAATCTGAAAATTAGTGTTTCACAAGGAAATTGTAAGAATTCTATACTATGTTAACAAATTTTAGAGATAATATATTTTCCTGATGTGTCACCTTTTGATATTGCAAATATTTGAGTTTCTTTGAATGGAATTTAGTTTATCTTTTTGATATGCTTTGAAAATTTTTCCTCATAATAGAATGATATAAACAGTCATTTATCATTTTTTAATATTTTTTCTTTATGTATATTATACTTAGATATTTTACTGATAGATTTCTGCTCCCTGTTCACTCCCCATTTTTCCCACATCTCTCTCTCACACCAATATATTATAATTCTTGAGTTTCCTTCTAGATTTTCTAAACAGACTTTTATTGCTTGAATTGTACTAATTTCATATAGAAATGTTAATTTTATTAGTTTAGACAAATGTGAATTTGTAACATTATAATATGTAGAAAAACAACAAAACTTAGCCATTCAAGAAACAGTGATGCTAGTTAACTAAAATGATTTTGTTTGAAATACAGATGATGGTGGATACGCTCTTGATCTCAACACGAGTTCTTCTAGGGGAGCCATTCCAATTAAAAGAGGTCCATCTTCACGAAGTGGAGGTCCTCCTCCTAAAACATCTGCTCCTTCTGCTATGGCAAGAAGCAATAGTTGGATGGGAGGCCAAGGTAAATGCTACCTGATAAAAGACCATATTTTTTGTATGACTAAAAATGAGCTATTTTAACTGGATTCTTAAATTTAAGTTCATTGAACAAAACAGAAGTGACACATCATTGGGCATAATTACTGATCAATAGCTTTTATTATACTTTCTATCTCACTAGGTACACTCAGATTTATGTTGAAGAAATACTCGAGCTTCTCACTGCAGTTGAAAGAAGTGATTAGAGTGAGGCCAACATTCCTCTTAATCCTGTGTTTGCTAGATAATTCCCCTTAATTTTTCTAAAAGTCCCTAGCAGTATTCTTTGATGATAGGCTTCTTCTTCTAATGAATTCTTCCATTTCCTAGGTCCCCTGGTAGTGGTCCCCTGGCAAGCCAATTGAAAAATTGCTTGTTCAGTTTCTTTATTGGGTTGGAGTCTTGCTCTTACCAGGTCAGAGTGCATTGGTGAAATGATGGCTTACTACAGCCTCAAAATCCTGGGCTCAAACAATTATCCTGTTTCAGCCTCCTGAGTTGCTGCAACTACAGGCATGCACCACCACACCTAGCTAATTTTTTTTTCCTGTATTTTTGTAGACAGAGGATGTCACTACATTGTCAAAACTGACATAAAAGCCAGCGGCTCAAGCAGTCCAGCTGTCTCTGCCTTCCACACTGACTCGCACTGTGAGCTGCTGAGCCTGACCATCCAGCTTCTGAGACCTCAATAATGTTTATGTGCAAGGCATTCTTACTGCTTCTATGAAGATTCAAAAGAACTACAAGAGCATTTAGCAGAAAAGGAGTCACTGGGCTTACCTATTATTTAAAAATAAAATCAAGTCTTGAAAGGTAGACATGAAGGAGTCCAATATTCTTAAATTAAGTGGATATCATAGAAGTGCAGAGATGTGAAATATAAGGTCATGTAAATCAATAATTAAGATTTTACCGGGATGTTTAAACATTAACACAAGATCCTTAGCGTAAGACTGGAAATTATTTGAGGAGAGAATTTAGAACTAAGCAACCTGAGGTGAGCGGTAGGATTGAATAGAAGTAATATTTTTGAGAAGGAGAATTGTTAAGATTGCAGACAGAACAGAAGAAAGCAAGACAGTAAATAAAAGTTCTTAGCAAAGAAGTTTAGGCAGAACAAATTAAAATTCTTACTTAGTCCTCCACCCCAATATGGAGGAAATTGAAAACTGCTGTTTTCAATTTTACATTTCATATGTAGAGTATCGGTGAAATTAGATATTTATTGACTTCAGCATACATAAGCCAACACATTTCCATTGGAAAATTAGCCAGTGAACATATCATAGGTGAAAGACTGACCTCTAAGGAATAGCACATAAAGAGTATATTAAAGGAGAACATTTTCTATTTTGAAATAGCAACAATGTCGTAATGACCCCTTTAACAGGATTGCTTATTGCAGTAAAAGTAAATCTTGGCCATCATTAGAAAGTTTTCACTAGTATATTTCAATTTGTCAACATTTAAGGTAGAGCCAACCACTTAGAGATAAAGAAGACCTTTTATGTAAAAATTTAGCATCCAATCATTCAAAGGTAGCATCATTTGTGTGTGTGAGGTGGATTGAACAACATAGGAAAATTTACCTTCTTCAGCTGAGAAGGGACAATGGATGTAAACTTAAAAATCTGTGAAGAGTTTGGTGCTTTTACATGTCTTCCCTGTATCATTGGTAGTCATCAGTAATTCATATGAAAGGAAAAACAATAACTAACTAGTTATTTACCATTACAGATGAACTTTTACCTAAGAATTAATGTCTGTCTTCAGCTCTGTTAGAAGAACTGGCCTTGCAGTAGCCATGGGATTATCCAAAGCCATAAGAAATATTCACAGTGTCATGACTTTCTAGTAATTTAGGGAATGAAAAATGGAGTCATAGTGGAGTCATAGAAGAAATAATTTTAAAAAGTTGTTTGAGAGAAGAGAAAATAGTATTTCGGATTTGCTGTTCTTTCCCTGTTTCATCATTTTAATATTAAAGGTCCCATATCACGTGGAAGAGAGAATTATGGAGGTCCTCCATGCAGAGAGCCAATCTCTTCCTGGAGAAATGACCGTATGTCACCAAGAGATGATGGTTATGCAATTAAGGAAAGGTAAAGAAAATATTTTTTAGAAGTTGATTTTTTTTGTTATGGTGATGAAATTCACATAATAAAATTAAATATTATAAGGTAAACAGGTGGCATTAAATACATCCTGTGTTGTGCAGCAGCTAACTCCATCAAGTTCCAAAACATTTTCATGACTACAAACTAAAACTCCAGCTACCAGTTAAGCAGTCCCTTTCATTTTCTTCCTTCCCTCAGCTACTGGCAAACATCAGTCTTTGCTCTGCCTCTGAACTTACATGTTGTGGGCATTTAATGTTAATGGGCTTATACACTACATGACTTTTTGTATCTGTCTCCTTTCCTTTTGTATCATGTCCCGAAGTTTCATTTACATCATAGCACTTAAATCCTTCCACAAGCGGTTAACCCATTATTTTATTTGGGTTGTTTCTACCACAGTATTTCTATGCTCCAGTATTTGTTTGAGTACACTTATTCAATTCTGGGTGTATATATAAATGGAATTGCTTGGTTCTGTAATAATTATGTTTGTTTTCTTGAGGAAACACCACATGTCTCCATAGCAGCTGCATCATTTTCCCTTCCAACTAGCATTGTATCAAGGTTCCAATTTATCTTCACCCTCTCAAACACTTGCTATTTCCTGCTTTTTATTGCCATTCTAGTGTGTGTGGGAAGTATGGTATCTCACTTTGGATTTGAAATGCTTTTTCTGAATCACCGATTATGAGTATCTGTTCCATGTGCTTTTTGGGCATTTGCCTATTTTATTTGGAGAAATATCTGTTTAGATGTTTGGCCTTTTAATTTTGTTTAAGTTGTAAGTTAGTTATGTTTTGGATACTAGAAGTTGAAAATTTAATATTTGTTGTTTAAACTTATGCCCACAGAAATCATCCACTTTCCCGAGAATCTAGGGATTATGCTCCACTGTCTAGAGACTATGCATACCATGATTATGGTCATTCTAGTTGGGATGAACATTTCTCTAGAGGATATAGGTATTACAACATTTCCTGGACTTGTCAAATAGAATTCTTAAATGGTTCATTCTGACATTAAGAATTTTTTTTTTCAATTTAGTGATTGTGATGGCTGTGGTGAGGTGATGTTAGAGATCATTCTGAACGTCCAAGTGGAAGTTCTTATAGAGATGCATTTCAGAGATAGGGTAAGGGTCCGGGATGGATTTGTAAATTATAGAATTGTGTTTAATAGACCAGATCGTTATTTTAATGAAATTCTAAGGAAAATTACGAGGGACAAATATAACATGTCTAAATATTGAGTATTCTTAACAGAAGAAAGCATAGGGAATGATATGAAGGTGAGAACTTCAGTTCACGTTCAGAAAATGTGACTCAACTTTTACTTTAGAATTAAATTTGTTAAGCTTCAAAATAACTTCTCTTACACTTCTTATTAATAAAACCTTCTGATTATTGCAGGCATAATTAATATCCTGTCGACAAAGACAGAGGAAAGTAGATATTTCCAAATAGTACTTTAACTTAATCATGCTTTAGTGATAGCAGTAATAATGTTTAAATATAGTCCAACATATTATTTTATCAACCCTGCAGGGTCCCCTGCAGGGACCTCTCATGGTGCACCATCTGCAGGAGTGCCTCTGTTGTCTTATGGTGGAAGCAGCCACCATGATTATAGCAATAAATGAGATAGATATGGCATAAGTCGGGAGAGTTACTCAAGGAGCTGTGGTGATTTTTATTCCCGTGATTGTGGGCACGTTGACAGAAAAGACCAAAGCAATCTACCTTCTCTGGATAGGGTACACCCTGCTCCTTGTGAAACATGTGGTAGCTCAAGATATTTGTCATCTACAGGAGATGGTGGGGAAGGTGGATCTGACAAAAGAGGCTGAAGCAGATATGAAAGCAAGTATTCAAATAATAGTTATTGCATACTAAACCTTGTTTGCAAATCGAAAATTGACCTGTTATTTCTGCATTGTTACCTGCGTCTTACTAAAAGAAACATGTATGTTTTGTGGAGAGAGGTAGATACTAACTTCCTCCATGAATTTTTTGAGGTATTCAAAGGAATTTTATTTCCAATAAATAAAGGGAATTTTATTTCCAAGTAATTTCATACTAGCTAATGCTATTTGAAAACTATCTGTTTAGATGTAATATCTACATTAAAATTTTCAGAATAAAATTTTACATGTAATGCAAAATGCCTAATGTTTTTGCTCAGCTGCACATGCTTAAAAGCAAATTCAATAAGAGAGTAAATTGCATTGTTTGTTGAACATTTTCCTTTATTTCTTTGAACATAAATAGATACAAAATTAGGCATATGTTATGTCTCCCTTGCAAGCTGCACAAGTTTTCTAAATAGGCTGTTTCTCTTTAAAAACTTACAAGCTTACAATGTTTGAGTAGTCTTCAGAAAGACTACAAGACTCTCTGCCTCACCATATGTTTATCCTTTAGAGGAATAGTACAGGTCAAAGGAAATAATTAGATGTGGTTGATATTAAAATTTAAGACATCCAGAACATTCTACTTGAAGCATTCTGTGACTGAAGAGGGATAATGCTAATGAAAACTTTTTTTTACCTAAATGAAAAGTGAACCAGCTAAGTTTCTCAAGTGCATAGCATAATGAAATTAAATTTTCCTAGTTTAAATGGTGGAAAGTAAGTGTTTGGTCTTGGGAGGTAGTCATGTTATTTTTTTCTTAAAAGTTTTGACAATGGTTGTTGTAAGTCATGGTGTAGTAATAAGTTGTTACAAATAGGAATAATCTAGAGTGGTTGGAATTTTATCAGTTTTTTGTTTGTTTGTTTGTTTGTTTGTTTTGAGATGGGATGTAGCTTTGTCACCCAAGCAGGGGTGCAGTGGCTCCATCTTGGCTTACTACAACCTCCACCTTCTGGGTCCAATCTATTGTCCTGCCTCAGCATCTTGAGTAACTGGTATTAGATAAGTGTGCACTACAGCTGGCTAATTTTTTGTATTTTTAGTATAGACAGCGTTCCACCACACTTGCCAGCCTGTTCTTAAAATCCTGATCCACCCTCCTCAGACTGCCAAAGTTCTAGGATTACAGGCATGAGCCACCACTCTCAGCCTATCAGACTTAATTGGTTATATGAATGGAAGCACTTTCAACCTCATACTTTTGGGAAGTGAAGTGTATAAAACAAAACAGCAGCATAACATTTCAGACAGGGGATTGCTTAAAGGTTTAATAAATCATCAAATGGTAAAAATAAAAAGATTTGGACTTAAATAACTAAACCAATTAATTTTTCTGATTATACATTGTACAACCTAAAGAAATGAAATACATGAAGTTCCAGAAGTTTTACAATCCATAATTCTTACAATTAACAGACTAATCTGCAATGAGGAAATATTTTCTTGATAAAATTTTGACAACATCTTCAATTTCTATAGGTAAGGGTGCAAATAATTTTAAAGGGAGAAGTTACCAACTTGGATTTTCAAGTGAGTTATTTGTGTTATGAAGTTGTGTTTTCATTCACCTACAATGTAGGATTGTGAGGATGAAGTGAAAAAATAAAACTCCCTAGTCTTATGTATCTTACTGCCCATGTGTGACGGCTCAGGTTTTGAATTCCAGCACTTTGAGGCAAAGGCTTGCTGATCACTTTAGGTCAGGAGTTCCAGACCAGCCTGGCCAATACCATGAAACCCCATCTCTAGCAAAAATATGAAAATTTGCTGGGCATGGTGGTGCACACCTGTAGTATGTTACAGTTAATTGGGGGGCTCAGGCAGGAGAATTATTTGAACCTGGGAGCCTGATGCTGCAGTGAGCCAATATTGCACCATGTACTCTAGCCTGGGTGACAGAGCGAGACTCCAAATCAAAAATAATTATATAAATCTACAAATATGTAAATAATAAATAAGGTATCCTTCATTTCAAGCATTTATTCTTTGTTTTTTCTTTTTTAGACACAGGGTCTCCCTCTGTTGTCCAGCCTGGACTGCAGTGGCACCGTCAAGGCTCACTGCAGCCTCGAACTCCTTGGGTTCAAATGCACAAGACTTCCATTTCAGCCTCCCAAGTAGCTGGAATTACAGACACACACCAACCACCGTGCCCAGCTTTTGTGTTTGTGTGTGTGTGGTAGGGACAATGCTTTGGATATATTGTTCAGGCTGGTCTCAAACTCCCAGACCGAAATAATCCTCCTTCCCTGGCTTCCCAAAGTGTTGTGATTATAGCCGTGAGCCACTGAGTCTGGCATATCTTTTCTCATTATGAGCGACATTCCACCTCACTGAGTCTGGCGTATCTTTTCTTGGTATCAGCGACATTCCACCTTCGCTCTATTAATTATTTTGAGATGTACAATAAATCATTATTAAGTGTAGTCATCCTGTGCCACTGAACACTAGATATTATTCCTTCTAAGCAAGTATAATTTAACCCACCCCCATCCCCTCTTTGATCCCTCGCTTACCAGTTCACATTACTTGTATCAAAATATCACATGTATGCCAAAAATACCTACAACTTTTACGTACAAATTTTTTAAATAAGTAAAAATTAATAAAAAAGGGTATCTCCAACAAAGTGATAAAATAGGAGGCTCTAATTTGTTCCTCCATCCACAAATGCAACAAATAAAGAGCCACACCCACATCAATTCCCTATGAGATAAACTTACAAACAAGTTGGGATACTCTTGCATGTAGGGTTATGAAAATACTTACTTAAAAAAAGGTAAGAAAAACTGAATCATGATCTTTTTCTAGCGTTTATCTCTGACACATTGCCCTAGAATCAATAGGGAACTGTTATTTCACAGCTTCTCTCAGAGAACTGAAGTATTAATCCACATATGTAAAGCCCCAGCTGTTAACAGCTGCTTCTCAATGAAATGATTCCTCACTTGCCTATCTCTGGATTCTAACACAGACTGGCATTCATAACTCTCCTAGGACCTCCAAGATAAAAGAGGGATTTAAATAGACATTCAAGCACTTCTGAAACTGTTTCCTCCTGGCTTACTGGATGTCAAGCAGTCAAGAAAGCTCAGCTCCCACTTTGTACCTCAAAGAACTTCTATTGTACATCTAACGTCTTGACTTTTTTTTTTCTTTTGAGATGGAGTCTTGCTCTATTGCCCAGGCTGGAGTGCAATGGCACGATCTCGCCTCACTGCAACCTCTGCCTCCCAAGTAGCTGGGATTACAGGTGGCTGCCACCATGCCAGGCTAACTTTTGTATTTCTTAGTAGAGACAAGTTTTTGCCATGTTGGTCAGGCTGGTCTCAAACTCCTGACCTCAGGTGATCCACCCACCTTGGCCTCCCAAAATGCTGGGATTACAGGCGTGACCCACCACATCCAGCCATGTCTTGACTTTTATAGCTTCTGCCCAGGTATCTTGCTTCTAACCCTCCTGACTTTTGTATCTGTCAGGGTCCTCTGAGAGCAGGCACGTAGGCATTTCTCATCAGTCTTCATCATCACTCACTCTAGCAATATACTGAGCTTCTAAATTTTCCTTCCAAGAAGTCAAACTACCCAACTATTGCCCTGACTTCTCAGGGTGATGACTAAGATTTTGAATACCATCTTGCCAATCTCGGGAAGCTAATGAATCCCAGCTTTTTGTAATCTCGAGATTCTAAAGAGGAAAAAGGATTGTTTTGTGAAAACTCAGCATGATTTTTAAACTTCCCTATTCATATAGTTTGAACATTTGTCCCTCCAAGCCTCAGGTTGAAATGTGGTCCTCCACACTGTAAATGGCACCTAGTGTGAGCTGTTTGTTTGTGTCATGGGGATGGATGCCTCATAAATGGCTTGGTGCCCTCGCCATGGTTAATAAGTGAGTTTTCCGCTCTATTAGTTCCCACAATGCAGCTTACATCCAAATAGGTTGTTGAGAAGTGCCTGATTACCTTCTCCCCTTCTCTCTCTTGCTCTCTCCACATGTGACATGGCTTATTTCCTTTTACCTTCTGTCATGAGTGGAAGCCTCCTGAGGTTCTCGTCAGATGCAGATGCTGGCACCACAGATCTTTTACAGCCTGCAGAACCAGGAGCCAATGAAAGATCTTTTCTTTATAAATTTTCCAGTCTCATATTCTTTTATAGGAACACAAAGAGACTAAGACGTGTATCTCTGGCTGGTAACTTGCCTATATCAGTAAGCAGTGGAGATCAGCATTCACTATTTCTTGTGTTCCATACGGGACAAAGAGGTGGTTTTCAGAGGTCCCATGAGCTCTTCCTTATACCCAACCCTTGGATTGCTCTACCTTTCAGCTTCTCCATGGAAGCACCCAACCTTTTAAACTCCTCCCTTAGGAACAGTATTTTGTTGTTGTTTTCATTTTTATTTATTTGTTTGTTTATTGAGATTGAGTCTCACTGTGTCACCTAGGTCGGAGTGTAGTGACATGATCTCAGCTCACTTCAACCTCCACCTCCTGGGTTCAAGAGATACTCCTGCCTCAACCTTCTGAGTAGTAGCTGGGACAACAGGCACATGGCACCAGGCCTGGCTAATTTTTGTTTTGTTTTGTATGTTTAGTAGAGAGGGGATTTCACCTTGTTAGCCAGGATGGTCTTGACCTCCTGACCTCATGATATGCCTGCTTCGGCCTCCCAAAATGCTGGGGTTACAGGTCTGCGCTACTGTGCTCAGCCTGGACCAGACTTTTAACTTGCCTGTTTCTAGGGTCTGATGCGACAGAACAGGCATTCTGTGACTCTACTAATTCCCACCCTCTCTGCAAAAAACCTCAACTCACAACTATCCTTAGATACGGACACCTGAGTGAATGATTCTATAGCTTGGGATTGGATCTCTGACACATTTTTTTGACTGTAGAACTGAGAATAGCCACACAGATAGGATAAAAGAACAGTTTTAATTTGATGCTTTTTCTCCTCCCCAAGCCAGCACAATGTTGCATACAAAAAATTCCCCTGAACTCAAGTTTCTTCACAGAGGAGAGCGTTGAAGATGTACATTCTGTCCTTTCTTTTCCATTTTGCAATTCGTCACATGAAGTTCTCTCTAGTCTTACCCTGTGGGAAACAGTGGGGGTATCGGACAATGGCGGTCAATTAGAAACAAAGTACATGGATGGGGCTCACAGTGACCATAACAGTAATCTTACTCATGGCTTTGCATTCCAGCCAGCAGAGTTGCACCATCAGAAAAACTAGGCAACAGCATCATTCTGCAGCAACCAAACATGGTTAATGGGTCTGCCAGGCTCAAATCACTGGCCAACTGCCAAATCCCACCCTGGTTTTCTCTGCAAAACTTCCAAGGCTGTGACAAAGAGGCAGCTTGGTGATTATCCACGGAAGGGTCATGTGACCCCACCCATTCCCAGCTGCCATACTTTTGACCATCCTAGCCCTGTGTGCTCCACCCATCCCCAGGCTGAAAAGCAGAGGCAATTTAGTGGTTAAGGATGAAGTTTCTGGCCCTACCTGGACCCAGTGGGCAAGTAGCTTATATGATAAGTCTTGGTACCCCTGGAAGGAAGTTCACTTCTGATGTATCTAGTGGAAATCACCAGGGTGTTAGAATCCCTAGAGCACATGACTTTATTGAGAAACAGAATTCCAGTCTCGGCTCCAGCCCCTCCCACTGCTGTTGGGAAGCAACTACCCTGCTGGGGAAAGGGCCTGTCTGAGCTAATGAATGTAGGCTGTCCAGGCTCTGTCCAGCAGAAAATGGATCTAGACTCTCCAGCCTCTGTCCCCTATAGGGATGACCCACTCTCAGCTCTGGCCTTTCCACTTTAGTCAGGGAACTCTATAATCCTTGAGAAACTTTCTGGGCAATATGCAACTTTCTTAGGAGAGACCAGGCTCTAAATGATCTGTTCAACAGCGGGTGTCAAGGGACCTGATTGTCAGCCCCAGGCCCTTCTGCGGCAGGCAGAAAATTAGCTCAACCGTGCAGAGACCTTCCAGTAACCATCACAGCCAAAATTACAGGCATTCCATTCTGTGTTCTGCAACAGAATCTAAGTGGACACAGTCTCAGCTTCAGCTTGTCCAATTTCAATTTCTGAAATGGAATCATTAGTAATAAATAACCTACAAGCCAAAAAAAAAAAAAAAAAAGCCCAGGAACCGATAGATTCCGGATGAATTCTACCAGATCTACAAAGAACTGCATCATATTCCATTGTGTGGGTGATCCCAGTTTGTTCAACTGGTTGTGTATGTATGCTTACACACACACACACAGGCACACACCTGTGTTTCATGTTCCCTCAAAAAGCTGCAGTGGAAATGCCAGGCCAGCCTCTGGTATCATCCGAAGGATCAGTGGGGAAGGACCCACGCCTTTGCTTGCATTACATTGTTGCCAGCAACCCTGTCCACAATGGCATCTTTTCAGTGGTTTCTTACAGCTCTTTAGAGAATCTGCAATTATGTTTATTTGTATGGTTTACAATATATTCGTTAACCTTTATCTCTAAACTTGAGGCTGGGTACAATGGCTCAAGTCTGTAATATCAGTACTTTGAGAAGCTGATGTTGGAGGATGCTTTGAGCCCAAAAGTCTGAGACTACAGTGATGTATGATTCAGCCCGGTGACAGAGCAAGACCCTGCCTCTAAGTAAATAAATAAGAAAAATACAACTGATAGTAATATTTTTGTTTTACAGTTTGGAAACACAAATTTCCTTGATCAAATAAATGAATATTTGATAGTCACTAACACAGGACATTTGCTTGTGTATGGGAACCAACGCAGGAAAGCAGTAGGATTAGATGCTCTTTCCCCGTAATCCCTGAACATGTATATACTGTGATGATGATAAGGGGTGAATTTGGATCAGGAAGTCTTTCTGCCAGAGCCATCAAAACTGTGGAAATAAAACCCTCCACAAATCAGGAAACAAAACAGTTTTTACTGATAATAGTAACTATAAAATCTTTTGCAGATTTGGTTTCATTTTTAATTTAGTGTAGATTAGGCAGCGTAACACAGACTACCCTGCCCCTAATAGTATGCGATTTGATGACAAATGTCAATTAGACTTGGTTGTTGAAAACTACAAGAATCTTAGTTAACAGCGTAGTTACATGAATAATTTTGACAATATAAACCAGCTTATTTTAAACTTTCAGTTAGTCCACTAGACACCAAAATATTATTTTAAACATAGTTCAGAATTGATGTGGATAATGGGCAAAATGGCAAGCTTCTATTTTTATTCATTTCCTTTGGTTTTATGCCTTTCATTCTCTCCTTTCTCCCCTTCCTTCCTTCCTTCCTTCCTTTTTTCCTTCCTCCCTCTCTCCCTTCCTTCCTCCATCCCTCTGTCTCTGTTTCTTCCTCCCTCCCTCCCTCCCTCCCTTCCTTCCTTCCTTCTTATTTTTCTGTATCTCTGTTTCTCTCTTTGATTTTTTTTTTAGGTGAAACCATACTCTGTTGCCTAGGCTGGAGTGCAGTAGCATGATCTCATCTCACCGCAACCTCCCCATCCTGGGTTCAAGCAATTCTCCAGTCACACCCTCCTGAGTACTTGTGACTGCAGGTATATGACACCAATCCTGGCTTTTTTTTTTTTAATTGTATTTTTAGTAGAGGCCAGGTTTTACAATGTTTGCTCAGGCTGGCCTCAAACTACCATCCTCAAGTGATCCACCCACCTCAGCCCCTCAAAATGCTGGGATTCCCAGCATGAGCCACAATGCCCACCAAGTTTTATGCATTTCTTTCCTCAGTCATTTCTCCTATCTCTTTTATTATTTTTTATTTTATTTTATTTTTATTCCTGAGACAGAGTCTCGCTCTGGTGCCCAGGGTGGAGTGCAGTGGTGTGATCTCACTTCACTGCAAACTCCTTCCCCGGGGTTCAGTGGATTCTCCTGCATCAGCCTCCCAAGTAGCTGGGATTATATCCATGGGCCACCACACCCGGTTAGCTTTGGTATGATATTAGACATGGGATTTTACCGTGTTGGCCAAGCTTGTCTCAAACTCCTGACGTCAAGAAATCACCCACCTTGGCCTGCCAAACTATTGGGAGTGCAGGTGTGAACCTCCGTGCCCTGCCTCATATCTGTTTTAAAGCTCAGTTGATTAGCAATATTATCTTCCTGGAATGCTTTATGTTTACAAAACAACTATAGCATTATTATTTAGCCCCTTCGGATAAAATATGGTAGTACTCAAAACATACATACAGTCAGTGATCAAAAGATCAGTGTAGGCCAGGACCTAAAATGAAAGACGAGTTGCTGCAGTTGACTAGCATTAAAGCAGACCAGAGTTGACCCATACCCAGCCAGGAGATGTGAACAGAGGCTTTCAAAAAACTCCATCAGATACATGTTAGATTATTCTCCAGCCATAGCAAGGGGACATTAAAGATCTGTTTGTGTTTAGAAGAGTCTCGATGGTTTGGCTTTTCCAGGGTATTAGCATTCGTGGCATTGGCCTTTAAAGCTCTCCGTAATTACTCAAATCAGTAGACAACTCAGTTTTTCTAGGAGTCTAAAGTGCTTTTCAAAATTATGTAAAACTTAATGGCTTAAAACAATAATTATAATTTACTAACTTCAGTCTCTGCAGTCTTCCACAGTCTCTCAGCCAAATGATTGTGGTTCAGGGGCACTCAGGAGGATGCAATCTAATGATGGCTCAGGACGGTGACATTGTCAGGTGTCTTCTCATCTCCCTGGTGCCACGGCTAGCATAACTCAAATAGTGGGGCTGGACTGCTGAGATTCTCGGGCATCTCATTCTATTTCTATGAGTCTCTCCATGGGATGTCCCTTCTGCATAGTGTTATCAGGGTGTTAGACTTCGTGATATACTCGTCAGGGGCTCCTGAGGAGTTTGGCCCCATGAGAGCAGGAGACTTAGGCAGAGCTGTGATACCTTTTCTAACCTAGGCCAGAAGTGGCCCAGTATCCAGAAAATGCTTGCACTGTTTTCTATTCATTAGAAGCAAGTGCTGTGTTCAGTCCCATCAGGAATATTTTCAAATGGGTTTGCAGAGAATTTCAGTGTTTTCGACCAGTACAATGGCGATGCCTAATAATTACTTATTTTTATAAGTGCTGGATGGGTTTTACCAAGCATAATAGCAGATACAGACTTTTAAGCTTAAAACCTAGATGTCATAGCTCTGAACATTTGGTTGTATGTTGAAATAATTCTTACGGAAAAATTGACTTTGAAATGAGAGCTATAAATAAATAAAATAAATGAGATAAACTCATAAATATCTGCATGAAATGCTTATAAAGAGGTCAGCCTTAAAAATGTCATGAGGTCTAATGTGCCACTATTTTACTATTTCTATGGATATGACTTGGACAGGAGGACAAGGACTCAGGGGTCTGCTGGTCAGTCTCTGCAACTTGAAACAGCGGCTGGGGCACCAGGAGTAACACTTCCAGCCAACACCATGTAGTGAGGACAAGGAGTCCATCTGGGTTAAGGAGGGTGTCAGCATAATGTGACCTGAAGGAGAGGTACACCTTCTACAACCAGGATCAAGTTCTCTGGCATTGAAATCCGCCATGCCCAGCTGTGGCAGAGTGAATTGCTCAGCTGGTGCTGGGTTTCTAGGTGTGTTCGGGAAGCAGCTCCCTGGGCTGGGAAGGATCCCCTCATTCCCTTGCCATGTGGGAGGGTGAGGTTTGTGGCCTCTGCTCTGTCTGTTCCAGCTCTTTCCCTTCCCATTATCCTGCTGCTGGGAAAGATGGCAGGACCCTGGAATGGAGAAGGGCCCTGGGTTGTTGACAGTGCCTGTGGGTGGTCATGTACTAGGAGGAGAGTCCTCACTGAGCCTCCTGTGAGCTTGGAGGCTGGGAAGGAACACTTATGGGGCACTGGCTGTTCCAGAGTCCAGGGGCCTGTCCCGGAGAAGCCTGGGGGGAAGTCGTTAAGCCTGTGGTTCTGCAATCTAGGTGGAAGAGCTGTATCTGCCATGGCTGACATCATCAGGGCAAGACACCCACTGGGTGGAGAGCTGGACTTATGCATTTTTATCCCTGTCCTGAAGGGACCCTGCATGCCTGCCTCTCCGGGGACCAGTCATCCTGGGGACCCCCTCTCTGGGACCACTCATGACCATAAGCTTAGGCTCTTGTGTGCCTTGCTTCCTGTCTGCCCAGGTGAGGCAACCTGGAGAGGATATGCGGGGCGAAGCTCATGTGCACACGTGCAGCACTGGAACGGGGTGTCACCAGCCAGTTAGGCCGCTGCTCACCAGGCCCTCTCCTGAGCTCCCACCTGGCTAAGTGGTAAGTGTCCCATCTACATGACCCTGCAGCCCAGGGTTTCTCCTCCACCTACCAACCCTCTTGGGGAGAATGCCATCTTCCCTGGAGACTCAGGACCTGCTGGACCCACATGCTGTCCTCCTCTCTCATGGGCTGGACACTGTCTAGTGCACAGGGATTCCTGGATAGCGAATCCCAAAACCCCACGGGTTCCATTGCTTCTTCCCTGAATGCCTGCCTTCCCCAACCGAACACACAGGAAGACCCAGCTGCTAGGTTTTATTTCCCGCCAGGTGTCATTTCAGGTCCATGACATCTCCTATAGGTAGCTCGCACCAGGCACCCATTTCCTCCTACTACCTCTGCCATTTGTGAAAACCATGAGGACTCTTCCTGTCTCCCAAAAGGGCAGGCTTCACAGGTCCTGAAGTTGGACTGCCAAACCCCGCAGTGCCCTGCTTGCCAGCTCAAGAGCTGAGTTTGAGGCACACATGTGGGCAGGAGTGTGGCCCCCCCCAAATCAAGGTACACAAAGGTACACAGGCACAAGTGTGCACATGCGTGCACAGCTCAGACACGGAGGCTAGAACATACCCACCCTCATACTGGTATGATTGAAACTGGGTGACTACACCAATACTAATGTGGACCTTAATGCTCAGCCACATTCCTTCGCTACACACACAGAGAAGGTTCCCTGCCATTTAACTGATCATCTACAATGGTATTTACTTTTACTTTCATACTTTTTTTTAACTTACCAAAGTATGTTGCATTCTTTCCCCCGTCATGAAAGACTTTGATACAAGTAAGGAGGAAGGGCACTTTTTATAATAAAATCCTGTATCTGCATCTGTATTATTAAGGCATTTAAAAAACTTTATGTCTATTTTTTAATGTCATAGGAAATGTCTCAGGGGCCGGGGAAACATGAGTGAGGATGGCAGAGGGGAGAAAGCATGTCAGGGGAGACTGGGGTCATTGAACCAAAACATGACACGACTGGGATAGCCATTCTAGAAGGACACAGACCTAGACACGCCTCAAGTGCACCTCTCTGTGGCAGGTAAGAGGGCCCTAGTGGAGGCCAAACTGAGCCCCAGGTGGTAGCAGGCCTCAAGGCGTGGAAGGGAGCCAGAGAAGGATGATGCGGCAGCTATCCATTGAGATTGCTTCTCACCCATTGACCTTTGCCACTTCTGTGTCTTAGGTGACTTTGGGTGCCCCAGTTCTGAAATATGAGTGTTACAGTTCCCTGATGGGCTTTTCTCCCTCAGCCCAGGGATGGCCTGGGATTTCTCAGTGCAGGCTCCTCCCCGAGCCTTGAGTTCTCCATGTGTGTCCCAGCTCCAGGACCCACAGGCCTCTGAGCCCCCAGCCCTGGGTTGCTTACCTGGTTTCCTCTCTGTTTCCTCTCTGAGGGCCTAACTCCTTCCGGTAGTGCTGCAGGGGGATTGAGACAGAGGCCCTGAATGATGATCTGGGGGACTGAGAAAAGGGATCCGTGACTGGTCAGGTCATGGTTCAAAGCCAGTTCCCCAGATGCCAAGGAAAGACCAGCAAGGTCCTTTCCCATGACACCCCTCAGCGGTGCCCACCTCAGCAATCCTGGCTGACCTTTAGTGGTCACGGTCAGCCAACCAGCGGAAGAAGCTCAGTTAGGCTGTGTCCTGCCTGAAGCTGGGGTCTTCTGCTGCATGACTCTAGAAACACTGGACTACAGTAGAGACAGATGCCATGTATCCTGGAGCAAGAAGATTTGGGTAGGCTCATGCCAGGCCTAGCCTCCCACACTCCACCCGCTCTATCATTCCGGGAGGCACTCCTTACCGAGGATGCCAACACGATATTCCTTAAAGATCACTTCATTGTGGAAATAAAGACTGTGACAAAAGGAACACTTCATCCTGCCACCAGTACCCTGGATGGCTGAGTTCCTCCACCTGCTACACCAAGAAGAAGAGGACAGACTCAAAGGATCCATTTCATCTAGTTGGGCTGAGGGCCTGCTGGCTAGGGTGAAGCATGCGTTTTCCCTTCCCAGCTCTCCCACTGAGACACCCCCAGACCCCAAGAGGACCTCAACCTGACCAGGACCCTCGATCCCTCCCCCAGACCCAGGCACCCTAGCCTGATTTGCAAATCCATCCTGTAGCTTACTTAGCAGGACTTCCTCATGGTTTCTGAAACCTGCCGACATCTGGGTGTGCGGCACAATCTGCCTCTGGTCAAGGAGCCTCCAGATGACTGGGTGGGTGTGCCAGGAAACACCCTGCAACTTTGCAAGAGCTGGGAGACTGTTGGGCAGGGCTATCCCCCAGACCTTTGGCCTGGCACTTTGCATTGGTGATCCTGTCTCTGTCCAGCATGAGGGGCACGGTAACGGATATGGTGGTCTTGTGGGCAAGTGGAGGGAGGCCCAGAAAGACTCTGCCAACAAGGAGTGGGGAGCACAAGTTGGCAGGGTTTGGGTGTGGGGTGCTGTGGTGTGAGGCAGTTGTTTCCTCAGAGTTCCTGAGCTGCACATGGCCCTTGTGCACTGGGTGCTAGATAGGCTCTGCTGAGGGTGTCAAGGTGTGTGGTACCCTCTTCTGTTCTCCCTGAGGGGTGGGTGTGTCCACTTGAGGGAACCGGTGTGGGTAGAAAGGACTGCAGGGCTGTACCTGGTGCTCCCCATGGGGCTCATGTGTGTGCAACGGAGGCATGTGTGCAAAGGAGGATATATATGCTCAGGGCCCGCAGCTCTTTGGGTGCAACACAGGCAGAGGGAAGAAAGACTGTCTGGGTACCTGGTGCCTGCCTTGCAGAGGACAGCAGCCCCGTGCACCATGAACCCGAGTCTTGAGTACCTTGTGTTTCTGGTGTGAGGCCTCTGGACACACACACATGGGGAGTGGGTGTGGTTCGATGGCTGGTATGAGCATGCAGACTCCCTTTCCTCCAAGGACTTTCCCAGGGAAACGTGCCCTTCAACTTTCTGCTGTGAGTGAAGGGTCCTTGACACCCCTATTTTCTCTTGTGAGTGCTGAGCTTGGCTCCCAGTCCCTATCACATGCTCTCAGGTCACCCTCAAGCAAGCTGCCCTACTATCTGCAGTATCCTTGCCTCAGCTCCCCTCGCTGTCTCCCATCCCCTGCCTCCTGGCTGACCCTGTGTGCCCCTGGCCTGGCTCCGTTGCTCCCCGCCCCCGGAAGCCCGACTCCCACCTCCTGCTGCCAGTCATCCCGAATGGGCAGTTACAAAGATATGGCTCTGGCCTAGAAGCCGGAGATGCCCTGGATGATGGCCCCTGTGCCCTCCAGGCCAGGCAGACACTTCTGACAAAGCTTCTGCCTCAGCCATGGGCAGGGCATGTGGCCTGGGGCATTCACGGAGCCCAGCTCCCTGTGAAGGACCTCCAGCGACTCTGTGGCCGGCTGGGGCATGCTGGGGCCAGGGCAGGCTGTGTTCACTGGTCCTCCACCTGCCGCTCCATGTCGGCTTTCTCCTCAACCACCACCTAGACCACCGCCGTGACGTCGTCCACCACCAGCACCTTCTCCTCCTACAGGGGCACCTCCACACTCCGTGCCCTGGCTGCCCTCTCCTGCAGAGCCTCCAATTTCAACAGGGTGCCTCCTTTGGAGGTCCCATTGCCTACAGCCTGCACTGTCACCTTCACGTCTGGATAGGTATATCCTTAAAATATACGTAAAGAAAAATAACTTAAAAGTGTTCCTGTTTCTCCACATCCTCTCCAACATCTGTTGTTTCCTGACTTTTTAATGGTCGCCATTCTAACTGGCATGAGATGGTATCTCATTGCGGTTGCAGGGCCATGGATGAAGCTGGAAACCATCATACTAAGCAAACTATCACAAGGACAGAAAAACAAACACCACATCTTCTTACTCATAAGTGGGAGTTGAACAATGAGAACACATGGACACAGGTGGGGGAATATCACACATCTGCCCAGTTGGGGGGTGGGGGACTAGGGGAAGGATAGCATTAGGATAAATACCTAATGTCAATGACGAGTTGATCAGTGCAGCAAACCAACATGGCGCATGTATCCCTATGTAACAAACCTGCACGTTCTGCACATGTACCCTAGAACTTAAAGTATAATTTTAAAAAATGAAAAAAAACTGAAAAGGAAAAATGGCTCTCCAAACCCAAATACTAAACAGAAAATTAGTATCAAGTGGCCTAGAATGTAATTTACATGAAAATGTCACAAACATTCAGCAGATAGTTTCTAAATGCTACAATAAGCCTGACAGTCTGCAAGAAGCTCAGAAAAACATGGTCCTTGCTCTTCTCAGAGTGCAGTTGTTACAGGCACAGATAAATGAGGAATAATAAGTATGATAACTGCTGTAATAGGCAAATACAGGAACTATAACTGGAAATAAAGACAATGATTTTGATAAACAAAACTTTAATAAACAATGAAATATTTAAAAAAAAAGACTCATGATTTTAATAAACGTTGCCTCCTTCTTCCCTCCAGAAGAAAACTCATGCCTCTGCTTTATTGGCTGACATGTTCCTAAGGAGATGTAACAGGTCTGATTTGTATTAGTAAATCACATTTGCCTCATTTATGAAACATGTGTTTAAAAATCCTCTTAAAGGTCAAATGAGACTATTTGCTGTTGCTGGATAAATTGTCAAGTGCTACCCAAATATTATTTTCTCATGGTGATTTATACCGTGTGTATATTACATAGTTAGCGTAGCATTCTCATAAAGGAAACCTTGAAACACATCTGCTGCTCGGTTTTTATTTTTCAACTGTTTCAGTCATTATTATTTATCACATGCTTTCTAGGGGCTTTTGAATTTTAAAGAGATATGTATACACCAAAAAGAGAAGGACAATGAAATTGTGAGACTACAGTCATAATGATTTCATTGATTAATTCAATTGTTTACAGGGCTAGATTAGATTATATTTCTCCCAAAAGATTCTCGGAGAAATTCTAAGATGACGCACCCACTGTTTGAAATGGCCAAAAAGTTGTTGCTTAAGTTAGAGTTAACTCTTTTTAAAGCCTGAAGATAAAGTAATAGTTTCGTGAATTACAACAGGGAAAATAGGATTTTTAGTGCTACTTGCTCTCATCAGAAATAATCGTTAACTTTTAAATTGTTCTTTATGTCACATTAAATTTTTCATTTCCATCTCATGTTTTGGATGTGGTATGTATTTTTAAATGCATTTTCACCCTTATTGTGCTTCTGTGAGAAACTGCAGATTTAAGTTCATATCATAATTATCTTTTAGTTTTATTTGTTTGTTCCTAAAGGTTCACAGAAATAAAGAATTCCATTTATGCTTGTATCTTTCAGCAACCTCATTTCAGATAACGGTGCACATTATTGCAGGTATCACATGTACAGGTCCAAAGGGAGAAAAAGAAGAAAGTAAGCTTTTAAGTCTAAATATTTGTAACACTAGATCAGAAACTCAGTATTCATAGTGAAATCAAAAAATGATCACAGTCAATTCCATCTCATACCTAGACTGAAATAAGAACCTTCAAAAGCAAAGAAAGTTAAGAGCTTTGGGCTTGTCAAAATTTTCCTATACAGATAAAATTATTGGTGACTTTCTCTCACTAGAAAACATAAACAAAAATTCATCCTTCATATATGTGTAAATAAAATATTTTTATTTCTATCAGTTATAACATGCAAGCAAGTAATACAGTGAAAGTACAATAATAAAACGATATAAGGAAATTTCTCTGTGTCAACAAATTCCATCGAGGCCATTAATTTTACAAAACCCATAGAGAATACTTCATGAAACTACATTATACTCTACTCTTTAGTATTTTACTTACATTTTAAATAATCAACAAATTAAATAAAATTCTTAATCATTATTTATTACCAATAACATTATTCTACTCAAGTAATCCTTTTGAGATTAAATATTTTAAATAAAACATTAAAAACAAATTGTATTGACTGATATCAGCTTTTGATGAAATAATACTTCTGTATTTGTAGTCATGTGAAGTATAACTTTCTCCTCACAATGGATCTTTTATAACACCAGTGGTATTGCTTTCTCTGATACAAAGCCTTTTTGATCTCACAGCTTTACTGTATCTACATATTACATTCCTCCAGATAGTAGGCTTCAAACAGATGGAAAAAATTATATTTGTGACAAAATTCTAGGAAAGGGAATGGTAAAACGGGACAATAATTTCTAAATTTCTAACTGTTCATCCATGGATTTGGATATATTAAGATATAGACAAATATTTGCACACTGCAAGTTTGCACATGTGTTTATAAATTTAAATGAGGTATCCATAATGTATGGGTTGTGTAATCTTTTAATTAATCCTCAATTTTACATGTGGGAAATTTGAAAAGGGTTTATCCTTATCAAATACTCAATTCGAAGTACTATACTGAATGTATAGTACTTTGATGTAAAGCCAACAAAATCTCTGTCAACGTTCATTTCAATTAATCCATTGATGTTAACTGCTGATAGCTTCATTCTCCTTGATCCCTGTTGGCAGCCTGAAAGCTAATTCTCACTCTAATTCAGCACTCAGGGTGCCACCCACAAGTGACTAACACCTTGCTGTGGATTGTGACCTCTGACTCTACCACTTTTGTCCTATAACAGTCCTACCTTTGCATATTTAATGAACTTTGTACATGGTTAAAAAATAAAACTGTAGTGAAATGTCAGGCCATGCTGTGAGATGTTCCATTGCTTCTGTATCTCTAATTAGATGTTCCATTGCTTCTGTATCTCTAATTGACCTTTCATGTTATAGAGGACAAGAAAAACAATTCAATACATTACTTAGTAACCAATCCAATGCACCCTTTCTTATTAATATGCCAAACCCATCCCTTCAAGGCACTGACATCTAAACACAGCTAGATGTATCAAAATCTCTTCTCATTAATAACCATTATGTTAATCACTGTTGCCCAGATCTGGACTCTGACTGTGAAATCCTAGGGTGGAAATTGCTATAATGGCTCAAACTGCGGGAATGACTATGTTTCGGCATAATTACTGCTGTCATCTTACTGAAAAATATCACATTAGATGGCAGCTTCTAGTTACATAAATCCTGTTGATTAATGTCCAGCATTTATGATATTGCACAAGTAAAGATCTTTGATAACTTAAATGATTAGCTGAGCAATAATTAAAATAACTCACAGCAATTTAAATATTCATTTACTTACTAGAAGTGCCATACATCATTAACTCCTGATGAAAACAAAGTGGGGAAATTGCAAGTGCTGAACTGGTTACTGAAGTATGTATTTCGGGGTATTTTATAAAACTATCCATGCCATGTATGATGCCTCACCTGCAAGGATAAAGCTTTAACATATATGAAAAATAAGTGTCTTTGGTTCTTAATATCTTCCTACATTTGTCTTCATAACTTCAACACAAAAACACTCATATACTCGACTTTTGGCTGGGCTGACTACCAGTTATTAGGATTTAAGTAAATAGAATAAAGATTTCAAAATTCGATGACCAAATATGAGAAATCACACTCTCCCCGTAACATACAATTATTCTCAAGTGCCACTGCTAATGCAAAATTGAAAGAAGAAATTAAGTCTAATATATTGCAATATTCTAAAATCTAAAATTTTTTCTTTGAGGTCTGGTGGTTCATGCCTGGAATTGCAGCTCTTTGGGATGCTGAGAAGGGAGGATTGCTTCAAGCGCAGGGTTCAAGACCAGCCCAGGCAACATAGCAAGTCCTATCTCTACAAATGTAACTAATTAAATACTTAATTAAATTGGGCATGCTGGCACACATCTATCTTCTATTTACTCAGCAGTTCAAGGTCGTAGTGAGCTGTGATTGCACACTGCACTTCAGCCTGGGCCATGAGGTAAGACTTTGTCTCTACAAAATAATTCAATATAACAAAACAAAATAAAATAAAAACACTTTATTTGTTTTTTGGAAGTTTGCTTAATTGCTCCAAAGCATAGACATTGTTTAAAAAGTTAAGCAGTTCATGGGGAATCGGCAGTGAACATTGTTTATATTGTTTTCCAAAAATTAGGATAAATGTTAGAATATTATATATAAATATCTCATAACCTTTTGTACAATAAATATTGACAAATGTCAAGCCATCGTGTTTATAGACTTTTCCTTCAAAATATTCATAGTTTAATTGGAGGATGAAGAGAAGAGCAATAATTGCAATGTACTCTGACAAGTGTTACAATAGATACAATTTAGTAACTTAGCTGGAGAGGAAGGAAGTGCTTAACTGGGTTTACAGGGGTTGGGGGAACTTTCTCAGGTCAGGAACAACTGATGCATCTGTAAGGATACAAATTTGCAAGACGAATGTTTGGGAGAAAAACACTGTAGAAAAAAAGAAACATTATTTCTATCAATGATAGACATACTAACAGTGCATATGATGCCATCTGCCCAATTCTTAGACTATACTAGCTCAATAAATATTTCTTGAATGAATCCATGAATGGAAGATACTGGGAAAAGAATGCTGGAAGGGATTTTCAAAATCCAGTGAAACAAAGGTGAATACTCTGGACTTTACAATTTTGCCTGCCGTTCTTTAAGTTCTTGTTATGTTTACTACCTCATAAGCTCTGTTTTACTTTTTGTTGTTTTCACAAATATCACGCATGATATCGTTCCTGAGACTAATTCTCTCTTGATCCCTTGATACTATATTTGTCTCTGATACTCCTTTGTGTGAGGTCCTGGGTTTTTATGCCCACAGCTACGTCACTCACCTCTCCCTGGCACTATTCTGTAATAGAGAGGCCTGGCCCCTGGGAGGCAGGGTTCCTAGGCTCTCATAAAAATTACTTCCTGTTTCAGCTCAGTCAAGGGATGACACTGCAGAGATTAGAGAACAAAAAGATGAGAGAAGCCAGTTTGTGTCGCCTTCCTTCTCAGCAGGGTATGTTTCCACAGTGATTCCATGCCTGCAGGACATGCTCTCTGTGTTTCCATTTTCCATGTAGTGACCCGAATCCTAGACTGGCTCTTCTAATGCCGTTTTCTCCAATTGTCTTTTTGAAGGATTTGGGTACTATTGTACTATTTTGGAGTTTAAAATTTAAAAAAATATTGATATGGACAGGGGGGCAGGGAAGTGCCTGATAGAGGAGGGTGTGGTTCTTGGCTAGGGATTCACCCTCAGGCTTGTGCTCATTGACCTAGGTGAGGCCATGCACTTCTGTTTTCTTGCCCAAATTGGTGAGGACATGCGCTTCTGTTTTTTTGCCCAAGTGTTGCATTTTCCAAGAGCACCCTGGCCTGCCATACCCCCATCCTGTGCTATCAGAAACCCCGAGACCCTAGCGGGCAGAGACACAGTAGCTGACGTCGAGAAGAACCATCAGCAGAAGAAGACACAAGCAATTGGACCTGGAGAAGACACCGGAGGAAGGAGAGCGCAAGGACAGAGGCGGCAGGCCATCCACCGCAGAAGAACACAGAGTTGCGTGGGGCTGTGGAAGGAGAGCGCTCACCTGCCCCATTTCAAGGGAAAACCACCTTCCCGCTCCGTCTCCCTTCTGGCTCCCCATCCATCTGCTGACAGCTTCCACTCAATGAAACCTGCACTTACTCTCCAAGCCCACGTGTGAGCCAATTCTTCAGCTACACCAAGGCAGGAAACCCCAGGATCCAGAAAGCCTTCTGTCTTTGCAGAAAGGCAGAGTGTCTAATTGAGCTGACACAAGCCGTCTACAGATTGATAAACTAAAGTAACACCGTGTAACACATGCCCGCTGGGGATTTAGGAGCTGTAAACATTCACCCCTAGATGCTGCCTGGGGTCAGAGCCCCACAGCCTGTCCTCATTGCTAGCTCTGCAGCGGGGGATAAGGGACGTTTTCCCGTTGCACTATGAGTCTGTTTCCAATGCAGTGTGCTTTCTGCAATACTGCAGTGTTACCTCATTGCATATATTTGACAAAATAAGTTACAAACTATAATGTGAGAAGAAAATAAATGGTGGAGAATAAGGAAGAAAAATGAAACATTGTGTCAGTAAGGAATGTTTTTTACTTCATGTAACAGAAAAAGTAAACATGAATTAAATAAACAGGAATTTCCGGTTTTCACATGTTAACCAGCCACAGTTAGGCATTTGGCGCCTTTGATCAGTTGCATTGCTGCATGGAAGTAGCGTAGCTGCATGGTAGTAGCACTGACTTTTTTTTTTTTTTTGCTATTTTCTCCAAGGTGAAACCTAGCTCAAATCCAACACCATGTTGGGTCCAGTTGTTGCTAGCCAGCTTTGCCCACACTCTGGTTTTTCAGTCTTATCAGCTTCTAGTGTATGCAGCTACTTTAACAGTGTGTTTTTGCTAGTCATGTGAAACTGCTGCCTGAGATTTTCTATTCTCCTGCAATCATCTAGTATTTTTCCTGGCTCAAATTATGTGACTTGCTCATTTTTCTCCTCAGGACACTGCAGGATGTTCTTTACCTGGTTTTTTAAAAGAGCATTGGTAAACCAGTTTCATTTCCCTCAAATACTTCTGAGAATTCCTGAGAAACTTATACATGTCTCACTGGACTGCACCACTGCCCACTCAGCTGCCTGTTATTGACTTCTTTCTTTAGATAAGATCCCCCAGACAGCAACTGCATGGGCCCTCCCACCCCCACTCCCACTAAAGACCAACATCCAATGTTTAAAACATTTTAAGTCTTAGATATAGCATAAAGGGATTATGGAATACAAAACAACACATCAGACACATATATTAAGAAAACTTCAGCCAGTATCAGTCTTTGACAACAAAGGTAACCATTTTAACTACACGGTATAAATATATTTACACATAAAGTGTATGCATAGGGAAATGTTTCTCACATTGTATATACTTTCTCCAGTGATGTCTTAGGCACTCATTTAAAATAGGTCACTGATTGAATTACAACTGTAACCTATAATGAAAATAGCAGAGTAGAAAGGTGTAGAAAGGCTTTTTTTTTTTTTTAAACAGCTCATATGTACACATTGTTTGGTCTTCCAGTTGTGCTGTTTCTTTTGTATGAGTGTGTATATGTTTATGTAATTTTAGATAGTTACAGAGAATAGATTTAGTCGAAGTAATTAGAAATTAAGCAGACTTCTTTGTAATAAAAAAGGAAATGATTAACTTTAATTGAATTTTAGTGCAACAGTAAAACTGGATAAGAATTTATTCTTACTCAGGGAAAAGATGTACTGTGTTTTGCAGACTGAAAGAGTTCTTTCCTGAGTAAGCCAGTGTTGGCCTTTATTGCAGAAATAGATTGTTTTTGGTAGACCCCTACAGCCAGCTACCTGCAGAGAAAGAAATTCTACTAGAGAGGATTCTAAATTGAGTATTAAATACTCTTTCTTTAGGTGAAGCATTCACATACAATATTCTTTTACATTCAGCATAATTATAAAAGTTAATTTTAGAACACTTTCCAAAAAAATAAAGCAATTATAAAAATTAGGGAGATAATTGTATATTCCTCCTTTAAAAAGTTTTAGCCTATTCAAATCTAACAAGTCCACTCTGAAATACCTGTAAATAAGATACGAAATGAATAAGAAAATACAGCAGAATGTACCAGATGTTTTCTATGTGTTGGATATACATACATCTGTTAGTTTTTAATGGCAGACAGAGTGCAGTCTACATAATTTTATTCATAGGAGATGCCTATGCATCATATATTCACAGATAACTATTATTTCTCTGAAGATTGAAATAGAAAGCTAGGAAAACACAACACAGCACATACACTGGATTATATTTAAGCAAATGTGAATTGTATAGTTACATGATCTCTTCCAGGGGCTTCTTATCACTCTCTCACTGGGTAGTCTAAGGATTGATTAAAGTTCCTAGGCTCTTTCAAGCTAAGAAACACTATGTAAGTGCTATGCATTATCATGGTAACACGAGAGTGAGGCATAAGTGATTTGCAACATCATAGGCTCTTTGAAATGTGCGTCTAGTCTGATTGAAAGTTTTCTCTAACAGTGTTTTATGTATTGGAAAGTGCTTATCATATTTGAAGATGAAATGTGCTCTACTGAAATCATGCAAATCTGCAAAATCAATCTTTGTTCTATATATTAGTATAATGATGTTTCTCAAAATAGAAGAAAACTTGGGATATGATTTCAAAGGTAATTTATAATAAGGTAGAATTTTGACATCAATTATAACTTGTCTATTATCATTTGATTGACTCAGCTGTTGCTCTCTTAATTAGTGCAACTGAAGTCTAGTTAATTTGCATAAAGGTAGCTATCCCATCTTACAGACTTTTAAAGACAGTCAGGAGACTATTCACTGTTTCTATAAAGCTTACATAGATTTTATCAACATGTTTCAGTCATGTATGACTGACTGCAATAGCATCAGTTCTAAAATGTAATTTATACATTAATAATTCCTTTAATATTTTTATTTTTATTTTTATTATGGATTCAGAGAGTACATGCACAGGCTTATTACAGAGGTATATTACATGATGCTGACATTTAGTCTTCTATCGATCCCGTCACCCAGATAGTGAACATAGTACCCAACAGGAAGGTTTTCAGCCCCTGCCCCTCTCCCTCTGTCCCTCCTTTGGAATCTCCAGTGTCTATAGTTCTCATCTTTATTTCTGTGCACCCAACCAAGTTTTAGCTCCTATTTATGAGAATATTCAATATTTGATTTTCTGTTTCTTCATTAATTTGCTTAGGTTAAGGCCTCCAGCTGCATCCACGCTGCTGCAAAGGACATGATTTTGTTCTTTTAATGGCTGTGTACTATTCCAGGGCTCATATGTACCACATTGTCATTGTCCCATCCTCCACGGATGTGCTCCTAGGTTTATTCTATGTCTTCGCTATGGTGGTGAATATGAGAATTCTTGTGTCTTTTTTGGTAGCTTTAATAATTTATTTTCATTTGAGCATATACATAGTAATAAGATTGCTGGGTGAAAGAGTAGTTCTATTGTGAGTTCTTTTAGAAATCCACAAACTGCTTTCCACAGTGGCTGAACATTCTCTCCACCAGTGTATAAGTATTCCTTTTCCTCTACAGCCTTGCCCACATATGTTTTTTTTTGGGGGGGGCTTTTTAATAATAATACTCATTCTGACTGGTATGAGATGGTATCTTGTTGTGATTTTGATTTCCCTTCTCTGATGATCAGTGATGTTGAGCACTTTTCTTATGTTTCTTATCCACTTGTATATCTTAAGAAGATATTTTAAATAAACATACAATTATTTCCTCTACTCATAGGTCAAATTCTGCCTATGTCCTTCTCTCTTTTTCTACTACATGATTTTACATGGATAATGAGTCAAAAAATGTGATGTGCTAGTAATACATTTTATTTCATACTTATAAATGTAAAATGTTTTTCTTTGAAAGATACCACATTCTCCAATTTTTAATTTTTTTAATTCCTTTAAAGCGGCAATGGGGACAGGGAAATTTTAAAGCAATTACTTCACAAGGTGATTCCAATTTATACAGAATATTGTTCATTGTAAAATTATTTTGTTTTTGAGTAAAATTAAAATATGTATACAAATACAAAATAACATAATAAATACTAATTTTACCCCACTTAAAAATAAAAGCTATTAATATTTTCCTTGTTCTATGTATATTACCTCTGGTTGTAATTGGAATACACCCCATCAGGTTCATTTGCTTTTCTCCATTTCCAGAGGTGCCATTATCATCAACCTGTTATTACCTTCATATTTTTATAAATTTATTAAAATATTTATTTCTAAATAATACTATTTTGTGAATTTTTAATGTTTCTGTGAATATATAAGGTGTGTATTATTTCACATTTTTTGTTAACATTCTTACTGAGAGCTGCCATTATTGATGGCATAGTTCTCAGTCTACAGAATTTCATCATGTTCCATGATGTGTTTGTCCAAATGCTACAAAGAGAAACCTTCCCTATGCATCTAGGTACACATGTGTGAGAGTGTCTAATGAATATACTAGAAGAATGGCTGGACTGCAGTGTGCATACAGTTTTAATTTTGAGGGGATGAAATATATTCTCATTAGGTCCCAGGGCTACCACTTTATTACTATTGTTTATCCAAGCTAATTGGCTTAGCATATGTCTTAGATTTTTCATTTTTAATGAAGTATTATTATAAGTTACATTGATTAGATCCAGCATGTGTTTGTTAAATGTTCATTTTGTTTAACAATTATAGCTATTGTCAGGGCTCCATCATTAGGTGAGGAAAATAAAATATTAACAGAATGATGACTTCGGTAGGGGGATAAGTCTGAAAATCAACTTTATTTTCCTAACACGGTTTATACAATACATAGATAATGCTTCTTTTTCAGGGACAGCATGCAGCAGAGTGCTTGATAATAAATCAATATGCACTGAGTCAGTATTGGCTAGGAATGGCTAGTTCCTTCCAATCTTCCCGGGTGATGGAAGAAGTATTTGACATAGTTTTTTGTTTGTTTGTTTGTTTTTTCTATATGGTTCATTTACATGACACTGCCAGATCATCATATGGTGGGTTTGGGGAAAATGAAGGAAATAATAGGCTAGATATATGTAAATTATGTGCTAGAAATAGAAGCTTAGCACAGAGAGAGTAGTTAATTGGTCTGGCCACAGTGGTTTTGTCATCTCTCATATGCCTACAACTATTTATTTATGGGCTATTTGCTTATGACGATTTAAAAAAAAATCTGTTTCAGCAGCAATGACTAAAAAATGCAAGTAGATATTTAATTAAAAACAACTCTGGCCGGGCGCGGTGGCTCATGCCTGTAATTCCAGCATTTTGGGAGGCCAAGGTGGGAGGATCACAAGGTCCTGAGATTGAGACCATCCTGGCCAACATGGTGAAACCCCGTCTCTACTAAAAATACAAAAACTAGCTGCGCATGGTGGTGCATGCCTGTAGTCCCAGCTATTCGGGAGGCTGAGGCAGGAGAATAGCTTGAACCTGGGAGGTGGAGGTTGCAGTGAGCCAAGATCATGCTATTGCAGTCTAGCCTGGGCAATAGAGTAAGACTCCATCTCAAAAAAAAAAAAAAAAAAAAAAAACAACAACAACAAAAAGAAAAAACTCAATTTCCTTTTCAATCAGATTATGGGTTGAAAAGTGTCTATAAACGCATGGTGTAATCATAAAGCCTTGTATTCTGTGATTGGGACCACAGTCTAAAAGTGATATCCAGAAATCCAGAATATAGAAGGCTGAGGAAAAAAACCAGCTGCTACTTCAAAAGGTAATACTTAGTTACATTAAGAAAACTATGCCTGAAGATGACATTTTCACAGATTTAATATGTGAATTTGGAAAAATTGAACATATAATTCTGAGATGATTGGCTTTTTATTGACATCAAATTACTGTTTTTTAAAAACAATCGTGTACATTTTTAATTCTAATTTTTCTGCACTTAAGAAATATGCATCAGTAATTGTTAGTATATTAGCTCCATTAGCTACAGAAGAAATTCCAAAATAATTGAATAATGCCATCTAGATGTTTCAAACAGAAAATTGGATTAAAAAATGGTTTGATTTTTAATCAATCATTGGAACCAAAATAAAGCTGTTGAAATATTATTGTGTCAGGAAAAAAAACATTGAACAATATGATACTTTTTTTAAAAAAGTTCACTTGAAAAGCTAAACATTGTGGATAACTTTTATTGGTGACAAGAAAAAGCAACTTTGGAAAAGTTTTTGCAAGTAACTTTATTTAAAAATCAATATAAAATTAAAACAAATGCATTTTCCTAAAAAAACTACAGGTAATTATTAAGAAACAGATTAATACATATAAATATGTTCTAGAATAATTATTCTTCCTCTTATTTGTAATACTTCAATAATAAATACAAAGAAGTTATTTTTCTATTTTGCCTCAAGATATGTAATTGTGAATTTAAATTTCTGAAGGGATTTCATTTTCAGAAGTAATTGGAAGGTAACGATTTCATAGCTCCATTGATACAGTAAAAAAAAAAAATGCCTGTAAGGAAATAACATAATAAATATTAAATAATTTTGCATATGTTGGTAACCTTTTATTCTAAAAAAAGTTTCCATTGGAACAATAAATATTTTAGTCACCCTAATTTTACTAAATATCATTAGATAATCCTGTGATTGATGGAACCAAATTATCATTCCATACATCCTTGACTACACTTGATATTATTATTTTAATAGTTGCCAAACAAATGAACAAAAGTTGGAACGTAATGTGGTTTTGATTTATATCCCCAGATTACTAATGAGCTCAAACATCTAGCCATTTTTCATTGGTCATATGACTTTCTTCTTTTCTAAAATGTATCTATTTACCTGTCCTGCTTTCTTCTACTGGGCTAGATTGTTTATAGATTTTCTTGTGTAGTTATTTTGATTTTTTGGGGCGCTGGTAATTTTATGTATATTTTTCTTAGTGATTTTCTGGAGTTTTATAAACCCCCAAGATAATTTTTAGAATTTATGATCTGAAGATTTTCAAAAAGCTAACTCAGAAGTCATTTGTGGCCATAATGCTAACTTCTAATGGAAAAAAATAATTTTGCCACTTTAGCAAAACATACTTTAAAGATACTAATTAGAAAGCACTGAAGTGCTCAATTCTATCTTTTTAATAAAATTTGCATTTAAATAGTCATTTCAACAAAATCTTTTCCCCTACAATAAGAACCAATTATTAAATGTTGATTACGTATCTCCTGCATGGTTTTCTAAATATTTCACAATTGTCATTTTGGTAACAATCACTTAGCATACTTGTTAGAATTGCTGGCTCTCCAGGTCTCATTTCAAATGATTGAACAAGGATTTTGAACCAAATAATGAGAAATATTTGAATATATATTTTATGACCCATGTAATTATTTGGGGATATTTGTGAAACTCTGGTCTGACACTTAAGATAAAGTAAAACATCAACAACAACAACAACAACAGCAACAGAAAGAAAACACACAAAGAACATCAAGTCAGGAGTCAGGAATAAATACCTTATCTTTTCCTCACTCCTGCCTTCTCAAGTCATATGCCCCTGTCTTCTTTCTCATTCTTGATAAATACTACTCCATCTATCTAGCACTTCACAGGAGTAATTAACCTGTTAATTTGCAATTTAGCAAAAAGCAAGAAACCTACTTCTGAACATTTTCTTTAGGAACATGGTTCTAGCTATACACTGTGTGTCAGGTAATGCTATGGATAGCCATAAAATAGCAGTATTTAACAAAAATATTTGACCACGGTGGCAAAATTATCTTTTCTAAATGATCCACTGCTACTAAGATTACCTTGATATTTTGGAGACTGTACTGACATTTTGAATTTCACATATTCATGGGAGATTGGAAAGTGTCTTCAGATATCAGCGTCTATAATGTTAATACTTGTATTAACTTCCACATTTTTCTGTGTTAAAGCAGGTGTGCAGTATTGGATGAACAGGTATGCCACTGAAGCATAGCTGTGATTAAAATTTTATACGTTTTCATGAAATTGCACATGACAACATCTCCACAGAAAATTTAGATTTTTGGCTCACCTGGGAGATGTTCAAGAAAAGGACATTTTATATTCTTAATGATTTCCCAGCTGGTTCTTAAAGCGAGGTAGCACAATACTGTGGAAAGAGGCAGTTCTGTCATCTGACATTAGACTTTAATATATGCTAAATATTTTGAGGCCCAAATTTCAGATGTATGAAGTGGGGTCTAAAATATCTAGCAACTGTGTGTGTAGTTATAAAGATCATATAATAATAATTGACTCTGTTGGCCTGGTACTTTTCTGTAAAACAAAGACATCATTTAACTATTTAACTTTGTTACTTAGTATAGCTTCATTTGGGCATTTTTAAGGAATATTTATATTGTGATAAAGAAAACAGTTAATACTGGCAGAGAATGGTACTTACTCCAACATTGACTTTGCAGAGCTCCAGCTGTTCTGTAAAGAAACTGACGTGAATTGCAAAGAAAAAAAATAGTGGATGATTGAAGGTTGTTTAGGGGCCAGTCTTTATTTACTAAGACTATGTAATTTTCGGAGAGGACACACAACCTGTGAAGTGTTGGGCGTGAAGGATGAAGACTCATCAAGAAGAGGCTGCCTCAAGGATCATCCTCTACATTTCTAGCTTGAAATACAAGGTATATAGTGCTGTGAATTTCTGAAATAGTGGAATACTGTAGGGGGAAACATGTTTGGAGGATGAAATATAATATAATTAAAATAATCCCTACTAACCAGTAGAGATGGGTTTCACCATGTTGGCCAGGATTGTCTCAATCTCTTGACCTAGTGATCTGCCCAACTCGGCCTCCCAAAGTCCTGGGATTACAGGCGTGAGCCTCCACACTCAGCTAAAATTTTCATTTTTTATTAAAGCCTTTTGAACATTATTAACAGTATTTTTCTGATATTATAAACTATTCTCTAATATTTTCTTCTAGCAATTTGGCAGCTTTGGTTTTTACATGTATTTTTAAAATCATAGTCCATTTACTCTTGTGCATACTGTGATGAAAAGATTTACTTTTATATGTCTTTAACAAATGTGTTTAGTCCATTTTGCCTTCAATTTTTTTCTTAGGATATTATTGAATAGTGCATCACTTCAGCATTGCTTAGACTGCAACTTCTGTCATAATAGTGTATTTACTTCTGGGTTACTTCTATTTGCAATAGATTTCCATACTACAATATTTAGAAACAGCTGTATGAAAGTGTTCCCTATTAAACAGAGTCCTCGGCTGGACACATTGGCTCACACCTGTAAACCCACCGCTTTGCGAGGCCAAGGGGGATGGATCACGAGGTCAGGAGTTCGAGAACAACCTGGCCAACATGGTGAAACCATGTCTCTACTAAAATTACAGAAACTAGCCAGGTGTGGTGCAGGCGTCACCCAGCTACTCAGGAGGCCGAGGCAGGAGAGTCACTTGAAACTGGAAGGTGGAGGTTGCAGTGAGCCGAGATTGCATCACAACACTCCAGCCTGGGCAACAAGAGCAAAACTCCTTTTCAAAAATCAATTTAAAAAAAGAGTCCTCTTTTCCATCTTCCTCTTCAACATCATTGTTCTCCCACACTTACTACAAATTTGCCCAGATGAGTCCCATCCCTTTTCAATTCTGTATTTAGAATCAGCTTGTCAATGTACATGAAGCATCTTGCTGTAACTTTTATTATGATTGCCTGAATTTTTGTATTAATATAGAAAGGCACGTCTTATCATGTGAAGATTTTTTAACAATTGCCTGGCCACCTTTTTATGTATATTTTGGCTTTCATTTATTATGCCCTTCAATAAAATTTAGTACCTCTCTTTGAAAATTGTTGTGTTTTTTTAAATGTTTATTTTTATATGGCTCATAATTTTGTTCTCATAAACTCTATCAATTGTAATTAAATTCTAATCATATTGTTTAGAATTTTAGGCACAACTTACCTATATGCTTAATTACTCGTTGTTAGTGTTATTGTTTATATTGTTATTGCTAGCTTAGGGATATGCTCTTCTTTATTAATTTGTCTACTCACCTTCTTGAATTTTCCCTTTTGTGTGAATTTCCTTTTTACTGAAACTTAACCTTAAGAAATTATTTCAGCAAACAAATTGTTTGTACTACATCCTTTCAAGTTTTATATATCATGAAGTATCTTTATTTCACAATCACATTTTAATGATAGTTTTTTAAAAATATATATATTATTTTAGATCATGGCTTGAAAAACCCCTGCTGCTTTATTTTTAATTGTTGCTTTTTAGAAACTTCTTGCTAGTGTAAATGCCATTCACATATAGGAAATTTGTCATTATTTCTAGTACCCCTTAAGATAATTTCATTGCGTTTGGTATCTGTTTAGGGTGTTTTCTCTTTGTTTGTTTTGGGGGAGAACAATAAATTTCTACTCTCTGAGCAAGTTTTTTAAGTATACAGTACAGTATTGGTAATCGTAGTCACCATAGGGGAATGTTTGCATCAGCTATCAGTGAAGTTCCAGCTGTCAAGACTTGTTGCGGATAATGAGTTTCCCTCTCCAGATGTCTCAGATCTATAATGGTATAGCTTACTTCTCCCAGCATTTAAAAACTTTTATTCAAAAAACAATAGTTGCTGCAAATGTGGAACCTTTGCACTCTGCCTGATGTCTACAAATATTTATTATCTTGCACTCAATCTGAATGTTCTATATCAGACCTATTATCTAATTTTCACTACCACTGTCATAGCTTGTGACTGAGGATCAGTGCAGGGACAAGCAGTGGCCCTCCTCGCACTCCCGGCCCAATGTATTACATATAAAGTAAGTGAAAACAGTGTGCTTACTTTGCAGATACTGCTTTAAGACATATCTCTAAGCATCTTGTCTATATTCACTTAAGTTTAGCCCTCATGGATATCCCAATGACATTGTGCTGACTTATTCTCTACTTCTGTTTAAAAAAAAAAAGTTTACTTCATTTTTGTTAGTTTTTATTCTGCCTGTATTTATTCTTCATTTTTAAAGAGAAGAACATGACACAAGACTGAAATATTTTATGCAATCTACATAGAATTAACCCTGTATGTCACTTAGAAAGCCTGTGTGTGTGTAGAACAATTTGAGTTGTGTGTTCCTTTTAATTATTTTGCCACTGTGTCAATAGGTAGAACTTGTGTTCTTCTCCATTAGTTAACAAAAATAATGTGTGGGTATGGTTGTGTGACTTTAAAACTCAAAACAAGTTTATTTGATTATAAAACATTCAATTTTGTGAAATCAGACATAGATTTAAAAAATATCTTTAAATCAATTTAAAGTCATCTAACTTCTTTTAAATTCAATTAAGTACCTCTTTTTGTTTGTTTTTTGATGGTCTCATATCTTGCTCCATGTCATTTTCTCAGAGAAAATTAGTAACACAACATCAGCTTTACCAATTCAAAATTTTCAGTGCCTTACCTCCGCTTGATCTTAAAGTCTTAGCTGATTTTATTGGTAGACTACACCATCTTTATTTCAACTAAGTTCTCGAAGATTTCAAAACTGAGGGGTTAAATAAATTACTTATCACCTATTTCTGTGAACTACTCCTACTCAGGGTGCTGGAGATGATACCATTTCATGGTCTTAAGTTTCAAATCAAAGACAAACTAAATCAGATTGAATTATTCACTGCTTTTCCTGGGCCACCTGATATTATGGTCCAATCAGGAACATTTTAAAGCCTGTATGTTAGGTCAAAAAAAGCACAAGGCATGGTTCAATTGGACTCCTAATTTAAAATGAGGAAAGGAGAAGGGAAGGAAAGAAGGAAGGAAAGAAAGAAGGAGGGAAGGAAGGAAGGAAGGAAGGAAGGAAGGAAGGAAGGAAGGAAGGAAGGAGGAAGAAGAAAGGAAGGAGGAAGGAAGACAGAAGGAAGGAAGGGAGAGAGGAAGGAAGAAGGAAGAAAGGGAGGGAGGAAGGAAGGAAGAAAGGAAAAAGGAAGGAAGGAAAGGGGCCAGCAAAAAGCTAAAGATAACTTAGAGCTTGTAATCATCATGAACTCTGTTACTATATTATTTCATTAAATAAGAAAGCCAAAATTTGTGCTACGCAGGAAGTGTAAATGGAAGTGGATCTCTGTTATCTGTATATTATTTGTAGGTTCTGGCTTCAACTGAACCAGTCAAACCCAACTTGCACCGTTTGGCATGACCTGGTCATGCTCCTACAGCTTTTTAAACATGGTTCATTTTTTCTGTTTATGGCTTTATTTCTTCAGTGACTTCCAGATAGTCTTATTAACTTTCAGTCCCTTATTCACTCTCAGCCTCTCAGTTTATTATTTCTATGTGTTTTTTTTTTTTTTTTTAACTTTGTATTTTAGGAAAGACCCCAGTGGCACACATCTCCTTTAGTTTTACTCTGGCACTAAAGTTGATGTAGGGCCATCAATCCTCTGTCTTTAGAATTATACATAAACTATGATTTACACCCAGTTTGTCATAAAAAATTGTATACATTTTCATTCAACCTCTCTTTCCACTTCGCTAATTCACCTTCTTGTCTTCTGAATGCTTTTCCAATTGGACCTTGCCAGCCACCTCCCCTTTCTAGGAAGAACTTCCTTTTTTCAACAATGTAAATGAGACTGCTTTTCTAACAGCAGTGATGGCTCTAATTGAACTTCATAAATCTTTACAAAATTACAACTCATAAATCTTTACAAAATTACAATTGCCATCAGTGAGGTACCACTGAAACTATTTTTGTCAAAATAAATCTTGGCATTGGATGGGCAGAGATGTGGGGATGGACTTTTCCAAAGGAATACCATCACTTTGTTTCAGTGTTTAGAATACACTTTTTTGGCGGGGGGAGGTGGGTAGAAGGGAATAACTGTGCCTTCAATGAGTTGGAATAAAACAAACCATCATCATTTCAATCTATAATTATAAGAACTTCAGAACAACCGGTAACCTGAGTTTAAACTATAGTATCAGTTCACAAAATTCCGCCTTTTGATAATATAGCGTATTTCCCAAGAGGAACACTCTTTAGTCAGATGGGTCGTGTATTTACAAGTGGCTTTGGAGACTTGTGATTTTACACCAGCACCTACTGTAACTAGAGTAGAGTTACTGGTTTCCTAGCTTTGTGTCTCTCTATATGTCAACAGGGGGAAAAAGACTTAAATAATCAAAACTGATGACTCTAGAGGGAATCCCTCTAATGCCTCGGCTGTTATTAAGGCACCCTGAGGGGAACACTTTAATGGCTCTTGACCATGGCCCTTCTTTCCTGGCCAATCTGCCCCCTGGATCTTCTGTAAGACCAGTATAGCCTCTGTTAACTTTAACTCAGCAGCAAGGCACCTTTTTCTGGCTCCATAGTGCCTACTTAAAACAAAACAAAACAAAACAAAAACAGAAAATGCATATCTTGAATATTGTCAAATAAGGCCTCAGTTAAAACAGAAGACAGAAATTTCAGACCAATTGATACATCATGTTTTAATTCAGCAGAACTGTCTTCTATTTCTTTACAAGAAGTGATCACTTGGTAATGAGAAACCTGGAAAAGTTGTGAAAATTAATTTGCTTCTCCAAGAACATTCAATAAATCATCCTTTATAATTTTACTGAAAAGGCAGGAGAGTGATGGTCTGCATATCATCCACTATTCTCTTCACTGCAATGAGGTTAAAAGATAGCATGAACAATGACGGTTAATACTATACTTACATTTTAACGAAAAAGTTAAGGTTTACAATGCATTTTATTTTACCCAGAAGTGGGTAGCCATTATTCCAACTGTATTCATTTGGGTGAGTTTGAGGATTAAATTCTTAATGTCTGGAACACAGTGTACAGTCGTATCTTATTCTCCCTGTCTTGTGGGTAGCTGATCCACAACATTTTGAAGAGTTGTGTCACAGATTCATGGGTATAAATGTGAAATAAGTGAAAACTAGTATGTATCTTGAGTATCCCTTATTCTTGCTAGACACAATGTCACGGACGCAGTACCTCTCACAAAGTTTTATGGATCACTTCATCACTAATAATCTATGGCAGAGTTTCAAATTACTATAACTCCTAGGAGGATTTCTACTTTGGGATTCCTGGAGCCTAGGTTTCCGTTCTTCCTACAAATTACAGGTTTCATTATTTGATGACAAATCAACTATTTAGTAGCAATATGTGCTGAATGGTTGTGTAAAGTAAAGCTAATAAGCTTTGTAGGATGGAAAGTATTTAAAAATGATTGTCAAAGGAGTCTATTTTTAACAATGGAAACAGAAACTAGCAAGTGCATATGTTGAAGGCAGTAACATGCAGAACCTCTTTGTGGTTTCAGAGGAAAAGACGGCAACCCAACCTCAGCATGATAGCATGTTTAACTTCAGTAGGATACTGTTTGTATTTTTAGGTACAGTGTGATTTTACGTTGCTGAGTTGGTAATTACAGTTAAGGTAGGTGCAAGAATAATTCCTGATAAATGAAAATAAATATATATACAAATGATACTACTAGTCAGGTATTTAGGAATTACAAAATTTGTTCTCTATTGTCAGATATTCATTTCCTCCAATGAAAACTGTAAAAGAGCACGTTTTTCAAAGCAACTGTAAGTCTGTCTCTGGTAATAGTTGTGTGATTGAAACTCAATGATTCCTTCTCTCCTAGAGGCTTCTAATGGAGAGAGATCATTATTGAAGCACATATTAAAATATACTCCTGATAGAACATTATTTATGTCAACATGAAGAATAATTTTGGGAGGTGTTTGTAGTTCTTTCTTTTTTCTTTCTTTTTCTTTTTTTCTTTTTTTGAGACAGAGTCTCATGCTGTGTGCCCAGGCTACAGTGTAGTGGCATGATCTCAACTCACTGCAAGCTGCACCTCCCAGGTTCATGCCATTCTCTGCTCCAGCCTCCTCAGTAGCTGGGACTACAGGTGCCTGCCACCATGCCCGGCTAATTTTTTGTATTTTTAGTCGAGATGGGGTTTCACCATAGCCAAGATGGCCTCGATCTCCTGACCTCATGATCCACCAGCCTCGGTCTCCCAAAGTGTTGAGATTACAGGCGTCAGCCACTGTTGACAGCCGTAGTTATTTCAATGTCCACTGAACAATTTTAACTTAAGGTAACTTCATACTTCTTTGTAACATTAAAGAGTCTTTGGATTCAACTTTAAATCTTGAAATACAGTGGATTTAACTATTTAGAGTAAGAACAGATATATTTAAGGTAATAATATTGGTTGAAATGTCTAATTTATGACAGAAGATATGCTGTCTACACTCATCATTTCGCAGTTACTTTGTGAAAGATCACAAAGCACCACAGGCAAATCCAGCATTCTATCCTTGGGCCCTGATTGTCCTTGCTGGGCCTTCCTCCAAATCCTGACTGCCTCACTGCCATTCAAGTTTGAGTGGGGCACTGTACGTGGTATAAGCAATGGATGCTGACCTGCAACCGCAAAAAAAAAATTAATCATATAATTTTATTCACTTTCTTTTTACCACATTATGATACCAACCCCGCTGAGCATAGCTCACTTTCTGCAATCCTCTTGAATGAGGTCTTTGTTAATAATTTTCCATGGAAACTTACTTGATCTGGGCAATATATTCCTCTCGGAAATTTAGTTGTGTGTATCTATGATGTGTTGATTAATTCTTGGCTCTTTCACTACAAGCAACTATCCACGAGATCGAAATAAAATTAGCAAAATGTCAGGTGCGATGGCTTCCATCTGTAATCCCAGCACTTTGTGAGGCTAAGTCGGGTGAATCACTTGAGGTCAGCAGTTCAAGACCAGCCTGGGTTATATGGCAGAACACCCATCTCTACTACAAATAAAAAATTAGCCAGGCATGGTGGTGAATGCCTTTGGTCCAGCTACTCAGGAGGCTGAGACAGAAGAATCACTTGAACCCAAAGTTGGAGATTGCAGTGAGGCAGGATCACACCACTGCACTCCTGCCTGGGTGAGGCAGTGAGACTCTGTCTCAAAAATATATATAAAATAAAATATAAAAGCTCCAGGATATCCTTTTGCCTATGTATCATACATCATCATTTAAAGAACAGGACAAATATTTATAAAAATGAGACTATACCAACAATAATATTAAATATAAAAGTTTAATTTTGAAGTTCATTATTAAAGGGAGCCTTAAAAAGGTGCAGAACGGATAAAATTCAAATGTGTATCTTTATTAAAATAGGAAGAAATTTTTGGATCAAAAGATGAATTAATGTCAAAATGTGTCAGATGGAATGTCATACATATGATACTGTGTATTAATACTTTGACACATGTGTTTGGCAATTTTGTGACAAAAAGAAAAAACATATCAACTTACCCTGTATTTAACAAAAAAATCCCTTCATTATATGATATAAACATATTTATATTATATTAAATTAAATATTTAACATTTAAATATTTAATATTTCATGTTTATTTGAATTATAATAAATTTGCCATGGAGACTGTGTGTGTGTGTGTGTGTGTGTGTGTGTGTGTGTGTGTGTGTTTGAGAGAGGAGATTTCTTATTGTAAAATGGATTATGTTACAAAATTATTTCAAATTAGTTATTTTCAAAAGGGTATACATTTTCCCATAAAAATAATACCGTAAGAATTGGAAAGATACATAACAATCTTTATAATTTCAGGATCCAACATTAATAAACTCTGACAAGCAAGACATAATTCACGTTGACTTTAAAATGAATAGGAGGATGGTTAGAAGAGTGGAGCAATGCAGCCAGTGGAAGTGAGAAAAAAATCTGACAACTGAACACCTCTAAAATCAGGAGTGATGGATAAAGCTTTCTGGGTATGGATTTCTAGTAGAAAGGTAACATGTACAAGTCACTTGCAATCTAATTGTTCATGGAATAAAAACCACCTAACAGCTTATTATTTAAAATTAATAGTCCTGTTGCTTAGCACATATTCATAATTTCCATGGCAGAACTGTGTTTCCCGTTCCTTTGCTTCCTGTTAGGGGTTAATGGGATGCCCAGACATGAAAAACAGGGAAGGTCTTGAAATGTGTTTGGCAATTGAACTTACCGTCTTGCTTTCCTGCTTTTCTTTACAAGAAGAAAATAACTTAGCTGTAGGTTTAAAGAGAACACATTAGAATCGACTGAGACAAAACCAATTCCAACTAAGCTTAGAAGAGTAAAAAATCCCTCTTTTTCTGCAGTTACAAAGGCAAAAATACATGCTTACTATAAAATACCACCAAGTTTTGGTATGGGTAATTATGCAACATTATTGAGACACTAAATTGTATACTCTTTACCTAAAAAAATAGTTTTGCCAAACAAGCATTGGTACAGAAAGTGTTAGATTAAGGCCTATACAGGAAAATTCAAAGTAAGTAATATTAACAAGAACAGTGATGATAACCTCAGTAGCAATAACAATTAAAACAGAAAATTAAAAGTAAGTAATATTAACAAGAACAGGGATGATAACCTCAATAGCAATAACAATTACAACAGAAGTGTCTTACTTACATTATCTCATTTTACATAAAAAAGACAAAATTTACATTGTGAATTGGAATGCTTAAAACTTCAGCTTTTTTTATTTTAAAATACTATATTTCCATGTAAATGGGGTCCTGCATTTTTCACTCAAATCAGTGAGACATCTCTTTATTGTGGCTGAGCTGCTCTTACCTGTGTATGTGGGAACAAATCTTGTCCTAGTTTTCAGTTTCTTGAATGAAACAGCAGTAATAACAAAAATGAGAGGTCCTCATCACTGACGCTACGTATGGCTTTTTAAAAAAATCAGTGTTAGTTTCTTTATTTTTTGGTTGGCCTGTCCTTAGCTTTTCAAACAGGCAATATCTGTCTTTAGAGAACATCTATCCTTGCCTAATCCTTTGCTAGCATATAATATAAAGCAGGAGAGAGAGAGAGAGTGAGAGAGAGAAACATACAGAGAGAAGCAAATAGAGAAACAGAGAGAGGGAAACCAAGAAACAGAGGGAAACAGAGAGAGAGAAACAGAGAGAGATAAAGAGATAGAGATTCTTCAAAAACAATAAATTATGTCTGCATCTGAAAGAAAGTAAAATGTACTGATGAGCTTGAACTAGGGAATGAAAACTTTGGTTCTATATGTTTAATTAGTTTCTAATTTCTCTGTAATCTCATCATGAGTCTCTAACAGGAAATAATATTGACCATACATTTGGTACAATTAGGTGCTCATATCTTAGATCATTCTCAAGGGGCTCACTAAATTATTTACTAAGCCTAATGTATTACCAATGCAGGTTTAACTCCACCTCTAGTGTAACTGTAAAATTCAGTGAGTAAGCAGTGCCCTGTGATCATCATGGGCTTGTTGTTAGAGATAAGTGAATAGAGTGCCTTGCACAGTGTCTATAAGGAAATACTGTATCACCTTGCCCTGCTCCATTAAAGGAATGAGGGTTTACATCATATTCCACACAAGGAAAACATTTTTAAATGCTTCATTTTCCCTAAGGTAAACCACAATGACAACAACAACAACAAGAAAAACAGACTCATTCTGTCTGGTTCCAAAAATTAAATCAAATCTTGAGCTTTTCTGTAAGTTACTGACTCCCTAACAAAAATAATTTTATCTTGGCCTTTGAAATGTTGATATATAAAAATGGGAGAATGTCATCTAATTTGACAATAATTCAAAGAAGTTATTAATTGTCCATCATGAACATTACAGCTTTGATAAATTAAATATCTAGTCATTTTTTTTTAATTTTACAGCAAGTTCTGTTAAAACCTGTACTCCAATTAATAATTTTCTGCAAATGAATTTATTTTCTTTTCTAAATGACTTAGTCTCTGAGTCTTTGACATTTGATTTCCAGTGAGTGCCCATAAACTGTTTTATATTACCGTTGTTATGAACATGGCAGTCATTTTCATAGTTCATAAATATGCATAGATTCAAATATGTACTATCTATGATAAACTTTTCTTTTTTTATTATACTTTAAGTATTAGGGTACATGTGCACAACGTGCAGGTTAGTTACATATGTATACATGTGCCATGTTGGCGTGCTGCACCCATTAACTCATCATTTAACATTACGTGTGTCTCCTAATGCTATCCCTCCCCCCTCCCCCCACCCCACAACAGGCCCTGGTGTGTGATGTTCCGCTTCCTGTTTCCATGTGTTCTCATTGTTCAATTCCCACCTATGAGTGAGAACATGCAGTGTTTGGTAACTTTTAAGCGGTGATTATTCTGGTGACTTTAGCAGAGCCAGGAGACTCTAAACAAACAATTTACTTCAGTTATTTTTGCTGTATAAACAGTGATGCATGTTTCCTCCAAGGTTCAACTGAGCATTCAACTGAGTATTCTTATGACTAGTCCATGAAGAAACAATATGATCACCTAAAAACAAACCCAGCTGAAACATGCAGGAAACACTAATTTTGAATATATGGTTATCATTTATTGCATATTTATTCACCAAGCACTGTCTTGATAAAAACTGTAAGATATGTCAATCAGCCTTAATAGACTGACTCTACAGGAGTGACTAATCACTCCCCATAGGTAGGCCTTTCTTACCTGGACACACTGTTTGTTCTGGATATGCTAACCACTTTAAAGACGTTGATGATTCTAAACACTCATTCAGGTACCAGTGCATGATCTGTTAGGAACTGGCTGCACAGCAAGAGGTGAGTGGCTGGCAGGCCAGCAAAGCTTCATCCGTATTTACAGCCACTCCTCATTGCTTGCATTACTGCCTTAGCCCCACCTCCTGTCAGATCAGAAGTGACATTAGATTATCATACCCCGTGGTGAACTGTCTATGCGAGGGATCTAGATTGTGCACTCTTATGATTATCTAATGCCTGATGATCTGTCACTGTCTGCCATCACCCTGGGACAGAAAGCAAGTTCAGGCCTCCCACTGATTCTACATTATGGTGAGTTATATAATTATTTAATTATATATTGCAGTGTTGTAATAATAGAAATACCGGTACAGAATAAATGTAATGTTCTTGAATCATCCCAAAACCATCAGCTCCCCACCCATGATCTGTGGAAAAATTGTCTTCCATGAAACCAGTCCCTGGTACCAGGAAGTTTGGGAATGTCTGCTCCAGACCAACCACTCCAGAGAAACTATAATGACTGAGCCATATCAGCGACCTGAGAAACTAAAAATTCTAAAAACACAAAACAATCTGCACAAAAGACTACTACCACAGCCTCCCAGGAGAACTTGACCTGCTCTACATTCTCACAGAGATGAAAGGGCCCATCCAAGTAGAAATTTCAAGTAATCTCTAAGTAGGTTACCTGCTACCTTTTATGTATATAAAATAAGTACACTTTCTTCAGGTTTATGTGAGTATTGTTTCACATAATAAATCCCACTGAGTACTCAGACACCCTCTGAACTTGTAAAAATGCTGCCTGTTAACTTATCAATGTTGTTGCTGTCTAATGAAGGATAAGCAATAATTGTTTATAAAATTTTAATGCTTGTCTTAGTGCTTCTTTATTTAATCTTTTAAAAATTCAGTCAGCTACTGTTTACGTGTGTACTATTAATATGTCCTCTCTTTAGAACCTGATAAAAAGAAAGCTGGACATAAGAATGCTTTTACTACTATGGTTTCCATAAGGATAAACTTGGACAGAAACTGTTAGTACATTCTAAAGCATATATTTAGTAAAATAATATGCTATCACCAGTAATTTTATTACTAAGCTAATTAAGTTTTGTATCTAAGATGAATGGGATTATTAGAAATTAATTACTTGAATAAAGAGAATGCATTCATGTTTTAGTATGAACTTTAGTATGCCAATTTTCTAAAGAGTTCGGTTAATGTTACTCATTCATCATTCTGTTCCACAGTTTGTTGAGCATGTACTGCACATTTGGAAATTGGAGATCCATAGGTTGATGCACAATATATGAAAACTACCTTCTCTGACATAAAAAATATTACACATTTTTATGTCAAACACAAGCATGATATGAAAACATACTTTTAACGACACTTTCAAGTCTAAACTCTCCTGAAACTGACATTCATTCAAATTTCTCAATAAGCTTACACACACAATTTTTATCCTAGCATCCATTGTTTTCCATACCATTCTGCAATTAAAATATTTCACTGCAAAATCTACTCAATATTGTATTTTCCTCTGCACCGTTTCTTCATGCCAGAGAAAATGAAGTAATGTAAGGAAAAGCTACAAGAGATTGGAGAGAAAGTGTAACACGAGCTGAGCCCTGAAAGGAGAATGGAACTCCAACCAATTGTAGAAAGGATTCGACTCTCAGGCAAAGGAACTTAGAATCAATTTCATGGTAACCTCAGAACCTTCATATTTTCTCTTTCTGTCTTACTTTCTTTTGTGCAAGTCCTTTCTTAGTTTCCAGGTGTGGGAGCTTTGCCTGCATTGTTACTTTGATTCAGAAGTCATCAAAAAATTTTTAAAAAGAGTTTCAATCCAGCAGTTAATAGATGGAATATGAATAAGAAACCAGCAAGGATTGTTTTTATTTTGTTTTATTTTATTTTTTCCTACTTTCATAAAGCTAAGTGAAACACTTCAGATTTAAGAAATTCTCCTCTTTCCTGGAGCAAAATTAAGCTCTAAAGTTCAGAGGCAAGTAGAAAATCAAGCATCACTTCCCCTCTGACTACAAGCAAAAGAAAACAAACCTTGCAGCCAGGATAGCAGGAATCTGGCTGGGTAAAACCGCATCAAAGCTGCTCTGTAGATCAACCAGCGATGCATCTCAAGTGGTAATCTGGGAGCATGCCACCACCATAACGCTTTCAACCCTAGTAAGCAAATACCCACTTCTAAGATGAAATCTGTCTTCTTTGAGTAACCCTCAGAGCCCATAATGTTGTCAAACCAAAAAGAAAGCATCTTTTCTCATCCTATTCCCATTATAAATTAGACATGTTTTGTAAATAAATACTGCTTAACATTGCCTAGTTTCTAACCCATGCAAAAGTTTTATAGGTTCTAAAGTTATGTGCATTCTGAGATAGGTATACTAATGCAATACCTAAACTTGTTTTTACTAACCTTGCTTTTACTAACCTTGTTTTTAGACTCTCCCTTTCTCCCTTAATCACCTAGCCTTGTTTCCATGTGAATATGCTCTCCCTTAGCTATGAAAGCCAGACGAACTCCATTTGGCTCCTTCATTTACAAGATATCAAGGACTCCTTACCCACCCCCTTTCCTCAAGGAGTTAACTTGTGTAAGCTGATTGTCTACGCATCAAAGAGTCCAATTAACTGAAGCAAGCAATGCACAAAGCAAGGTACTGAAGCAAGCAATGTACAAAGTTCCCAGGATTTCACTCAAGAGATAACACCATAAAGCCTTGAGTTTGTGTTCAGCAGAGCCACCATACCTGACATCTTATAATATATTTAGAGCCCCTGCACCTGGAACTGTTTATTTCTCTGTAACCATTTGTCTTTTTAATTTTTTGCATGTTTTTACTTCTGTAGAATTGTTGCAACTGAGCCCCCTTCCCCTTCCTAAACCAAGGTATAAAGGAAAATCAAGCCCCTTCCTCGGGGCCGAGAGAATTCTGAGCGTTATCCGCCTCTCGGCTGCCGGCTAAATAAAGGACCCTTAAATTCATTTCAAAGTGTGACATTCCTCTAACTCGCTTGGGTACAACACTAATGGAAAATGTATCATGATATGCTGTATACCTTTTCAAAGGTAAAATAAATATATAATTGCAGAACCATATATTAATCTTTCAGAGGTATACAGAGAAATGCAGAGGCATGCAATTAAACCTATGATGAATATAAATAAATGAGAAAAAGGAAGAAAAATCACAGACTGTAGTGATATAATAAGAGTCATAGTTGTTTTCTTTTACTTTCATGTTTGTAAAAACGTAGTAATTGTTGGGTACCTGAAAATGTGATACTAATTCCCTTAATTACATGGTACTAAATATTTTCTTCCAAGGTTTTTATAGCCTTTAGTTTAGACAAAATTAAGTTTACCTGATGCAAATCATTTTAAAGGAGAATTTGTTTAGCAAATACTACTTTGTAATTGTAGGAAAAGTTTTTTTAATTATAATTTGTTTACATTGATCAATTTTAAAACTAGTGGAAATTTTGAATAAAGACACTTCCTGTGAAAAAAGAAAACAGCTCAGTGTATATTATATCTAAAATGCTACTAGCTTGCTTCTCCTTCTAAAAGACATAAATCTTAATCATGAGGAATAATTTTCAAATATACTCTTAAGAAGTACAAAAATGGTTTGGGAAAACTGGCTAGCCATATGCAGAAAACTGAAACTGGACTTCTTCCTTGCACCACTTACAAAAGTCCACTCAAGATAGATCAAAGACTTAAATGTTACAACTAGGACCTTTAAAATCCTAGAAGAAAACCTGGTCAATGCTATTCAGGACAAAGGCATGGGCAAAGAATTCATGTCCAAAACACTGAAAGCAACAGCAACAAAAGACAGAATTGACAAACGGGATCTAATTAAACTAAAGAGCTACTGCACAGCCAAAGAAACTGTCATCGGAGTGAACAGCCAACCTACGAAATGGGAGAAAATTTTGCAATCTATTCATCTGACAAAGGGCCGATATCCAGAATCTACAAAGAACTTACACCAATGTACAAGAATAAAACAAATAACCCCATCAAAAAGTGGGCAAAGGATATGAACAGACACTACTCAAAAGAAGACATTTATGCAGCCAGCAGATACATGAAAAAATGCTCATTATCACTGGTCACTAGAAAAATGCAAATCAATCCACAATGAGATATCATCTCTCTCCAGTTAGAATGGCAATCATTAAAATGTCAGGAAACAACAGATCCTGGAGAGCTTGTGGAAAAATAGGAATGCTTTTACGCCGTCAGTGGAAGCGTAAATTAGTCCAACCATTGTCGAAGACAGTGTGGCAATTCCTCAAAGATCTAGAACTGGAAATATCATTTGACCCAGCAACCCCATTACTGGGCATATACCAAAGGATTATAAATCATTCTATGATAAAGACATGTATGTTTATTGTGGCACTATTCACAATAGAAAGACTTGGACTCCCAAAAAAAAGGTGAAGAAAGGAACCGCATGGTTAACTCACTGAGTAATCAGTAAGTCATTGGTCCGCACTTGAGGTCACAAAGCTCTGGGGGAAGTTGGTTCAAGCTGAGTTTTCATTATAAGACAACAGTTATCAGCACCTCAGAAACAGTATATAAAAGTATTAAAACAGTTGCTTACGGCTAGCGGGGCTTCAGTTTCCCAGGTTCAATTAATGAAATTAATATAAACTTTGGTCATATAATCCATGGTTCCCAGAAGAAGGAATGCTAGACGTAGAACTCTGGGAACAAGTAGGGAGAAATCTTAAACAATGTTATGCACAGGGTCGTCAGGTCCCAGCATCAGCTTTAACATGGCGGGCTTTACTAAGGATGGTTTAGTCCCATTATACACAGAAGAGCCTAAAAATGAGAAGGAGGGAGAAACATCACCTGCCTTATCACCTCCTTTTCCCTCAGTCCCACTATCACCGGGCCAAAATAACAAAGAGTAAATGGAGGGTTTGCCTGAGCCCCGTCTTACTGTAAGTAGAAAAAAAGGCAAGAAACATACTTCAGCTATGGGACCTTGTCTTAAACAAGTGGCATTAGAAGGAGAGCTCTTAGCCTGTCCAGTAATGCAAGACCAACATGGTAATCAAGTACATGAACCCATTTCCTTTCACTCTTATAAACAATGAAGAAAAAGCATTAAAGAAAATGGAGCCACTAGACCATTTACAAAAGGAATGATTGGGGCCTTAGCAGACCAATTCTGTGTGGGCCCATGGGACTGGTCAATGCTAGCTAAAGCAACTCTGGAGCCTAGCCCATTCCTCCTCTGGAAGGCAGGATATGGACGGCTTGTGCAAACAACAAGCCAACCAGAATCAGGCAGCCGGGCAAAATATAATAGCTGATAAGCTCCAAGGGAGGTGTCCTCATGCTGATGTATAAAAACAACTAAATTTTGATCCCCAGGCCTTTGCTGAAGTGTCTGTGTGCTCTCAGAGCTTGGGACCAAATTCCCAAGACCAGAGTTCAGCAGAGGTCTTTTGTAAATGTTTGACAAGGGACTTAGGAGCCATTTGTTGAGTTTATGGATCCGTTAACTCAGGCAATTAAGAGGCAAATTAGTCACACCCAGGCCACTCCTATCTTATTGCTGCAACTGGCTTTTGAAAACGCTAATGTGGATTGCCAGCAGGCAATGGCAGGCAATCAAAGGAAAGGCAAGCACCATCCAGGAGCTCATATAAGTGCCTCACCTGGTAGGAACTGAGACAAACAAGGCCAGAATATTAGCTATGTCATTAAGCCCTCCGAAAGTGAAAAGGGAGAGACACCAAAATTGTTTTCTATGTGGAGTGAAAGGTCATGTGAAGAGGCAATGCCCCCCTAGTGATAACCGAGCTAACTCAGGGAAAGAACCCTCTTCTATATGTTCCGAATGTAGGAAATGGAAACATTAGGCAAATCAATGCAGGTCTAAATTTGATAAAAATGGCAATCTCATAGGAAATCAGTCGAGAAACTTCATGAGGGGCCAGCCCCAAGCCCTGATCCCAACTGGGACAATGCCGACAGCTTTCCTTGGTCAGCTGGAAAGCCCACAGTTCTCTCTCTTAGAGCAGCCACTACTGGGAGTGCATGACTGGACTTTCTCTGCCCTGCCAAATTAGTGCTAAAAGAGGGAGAAAGCCCTAAAATGGTTGAGACTGGGATCTGTGGCCCGCTGCCTCTAGGAACAGCAGGATTAGTCCTTGGGCAGCCTAGCCTATCCAGTAAAGGAATTAATATGCTCTCTGGGGTAATTGATAGTGATGACCAAGATCAGATATTGGTTATAATGGAATATAAAGGTCTGCATATTCTTCCCCCTGGATCAAAAATAGCTTAGTGAAAGACTTTACCATAGTGAGACCCTAATACCCATGGGAAGGAAAGGGGAAAGGGAAGTTTTGGAAGCACAGGAGCTACAGGAATATATTGGAATCAATTAATCACTGATCGGAGACCCATGATTACCTTAAAACTTGGTAATAATAATTTTACTGGCTTATTGGACACAGGGGTTGACATTTCAGTCATTAGTGATCAGAACTGGCCAGAAATTTGGACTTGGATCACTGAGAAATAGAAAATTGTCAGCATCGGGGAAGCACACACAGCCAAACAGAGCACACACCCCTGAACATGCTATGATTCAGAAGGAAGAAAGGCAGTTATACAACCTCTGATCACGCCCATTGTTATACCCAGATGAGTGAGAGAAAACGCCGCACTTTGAGATGAATTATTTAAGCCAGCGGCCAAAGAGATGGCTAATGCTCAAAATTCTCTCAGCCCCGAGGAATGGGCTTGATTAACTTTTATACTTTGGTTTAGGAAGGGGAGGGGAACTCAAATGCAATAATTCTACAGAAGTAAAAACATGCAAGAATCAAAGAAACAAATGGTTACAGAGAGACAAACAATTTAAAAGACAAATGGTTACAAAAAAAGCAGTGTAACCAGGTGTGGGGCTCTAAATCCTTCATTAGAGTTAGATATAGATGTTATGCCAGGCATGGTCTCAAGGCTTTATGTTGTTATTTCTTTGAGTAAAATCCTGGGAACTTCTTACATTGTTTGTTTCAGTACCTTATCAGTTAATTGGGCTCCTTCCATATGCTGAGGATCTGCTTACACAGGTTAACTCCTTGAGGAAGGGGTTGGGTAAGGACCCCTTAATGTCTGGTAAATCAGGAAGCCACATGGAGTTTGTCTGGCTTTCCCAGACAAGAGGAAGTCTTACTTGTATGGGAAAAACAAGGCTGGGTAACTAAGGAGACAAGCAAGGAAAATTTAAAAGTAACGCATTAGAGTAAAAACAAGGTTAGGCACTACACCTATCCCTGTTAATCTCTGGGGATGGGAATTATTAGCGCAATTGTTGGGGGGCGGGGCACACTGCAAACCCCTTTCTAACAATGACCACTGTGGTTATTCCTCCGCTACCTCTGACTTGGCTCTCTCAAGATCCGGTCTGCTTAGAAGAGTGGCCTCTGAAGGTAGAGAAACTACAGAGGATTCATGTGTTAGTTGAGGAGCAGTTAAAGGCTGGACATCTTGAACATTCTACCAGCCCCAGGAATTTGCCTATTTTCATCATTGCCAAAAAGTCTGTGAAATGGAGGCTTTTACATGACTGATGTGCTATTAATGCTAATTTACAGCCCCTGGGACTCCTTCAAAGGGCCTCCCCTCCCCAGCAGCAATCCCTCAAGATTGACCTATAATTGTTATTGACTTAAAAGATTGCTTCTATACCATTTATCCGATGTCCACCCCTGTGTCCAATAAGCCAGTAAAACAGAACAGGAGAGAGAAAAATTTCCATTTACAAAACCAGCTATCAATAATGAAAATCCAGCTTGTCAATTTTATTAGAAAATGCTTCCTCAAAGGATGCTAAATAGTCCTACCATGTGTCAGTTTCATGTAAATCAATCTTTGCTCTCTAGTAGAAAAGAATTTCCTGACTATAAAATTATTCATCCTATGGATGATATTCTACTAGTAGCTCCAAATGGGCCAACACTTTTAAATTTGTTTACTTCTGTCATAAAGAATGCACAGCTGAGAAGTTTAGTCATTGCACCTGGAAAAGTACAAATGTCCAATGCTCTCTCCTTGGAAATAAATTGGATATCTGTTAACCTCCCAGTCAGTAAGACCTCAAAAGGTTAAACTAAATACTAGCAAATTACACACATTAAGTAATTATCAGAAATTACTGGGTGATATTACCTGGCTCCATCCCATTTTAGGAATTCTTACTAATAAACTACAAAACCTTTTTTCTATCTTAAAAGGCAATCCAGCTCTTGATTCTTCCAGATATTTAATCCCTGCAGCAACAAGAGAAATTGAGGAAATGGAGCTAGCCATCTCTCAGAGGCAGCTAGATCATATTGATCTATGATATTCAATTCAGTTGTTTGTATTTCCCAACAAACACTCCCCTACAGGGTTACTAGGACAAATGACCCCTGGGCTACATTTCCTAAAATGGGTTTTTTGTTCACATACTGGAAGTAAAACACTGTCTCTCTATATTCACTTAATTACTAAAGTCATCTATTCAGGTTGCAAACATTGCAGTCAGTTACTAGGTTATGACCCTGATGTCATCAGGATTCCTTTAAGTAAAAAGCAATTTGAAGCAGTATTACCTTTGGCAATAGACCTGCAAATAGCTTTCTCTGATTACACAGGGCAAATAGAGCACATCCTCCCTACTGATGAAGTCCTTCATTTCTTATCTCACACTCTGATAATAATGCCTATAAAAATAATTTACACCCCCATGCCTAATCCTTTAACACTGTTTACTGAGGGGTCTGCTAAACATGGAAAAGTGGCAGTCTGGAGGAGACCACACTATTCAATCACTTGAACTGGGTTTACTAGCATGCAGAGAGCTGCAACTGGGGCTCTGAGTTTGGTTGGCCTTAGAAACTTTTTCCACTCAGCCCATAAATATAGTTAGGTGATTCTGCATACTCTGTTTATTTGTTACAAAACTTTGAAACAGCACTGATTAAGTCCACTCTGGAGCCAGCTCTGTTTACTCTTTTTCTCTGACTTAAACAATTCTAGACTAATGTTCACATCCTATTTTTACTACACACATTCGAGCCCACAGCCCACTCCCTGGCCCATTGGCTTATGGCAACGAACAAGCAGACCTTCAGGTTATGACATCACTGCTAGACCAAGCCACCCAATCACATCAATTTTTCCACCAAAATTGGAGAAATTTATCTAAACCATTTTCAACTTACCCAGAGGCTAGCTAAACAAATTATCCTACAATGCCCAGATTTCCAGCGCACAGGCACGCCCCCTCCTTCTACAGGTGTGAACCCTACAGGATTCGAACCTAATCAGTTGTGGCAAACAGATGTTACAGACATCCCTGAATTTGGGAAACTAAGATATGTGCATATATCCATTGATACCAACAGTCATTTAATCAGTGCACATGCTTTGCCTGGAGAGCCTACTCAATATGTCATTAAACATCTTCTTTTAACTTTTGCATTTATGGGATGACCCACAAAAATGAACACTTTTAATGGTCCAGCTTATACCAGCTCACGATTTCAACAATTTTGTCACAGGTGGAAACTCCAACATTCCACAGGCATCCCATATAACCCCCAAGGATAGGCAATAGTAGAACACAGACACTTCACCCTTAAAAATGTGCACTAATAACAGAGACAGGGTAATATAAGTAAGCACGCTGCAACACTACTGGCACAGGCCTTATTTACCCTTAATGTTTTAAATTCAGATGACAAATTTCAATCAGTTGTAGAAAAGCACTTTGCTAAAACCTCTCAAGGCATAAAACCTGCAGTTTTATGGAAAGATGTAAACAGTAATGAATGGTGTTGAGAGGTGAGAGCGTGCTGGCAGTCCTCAGAGCCCTCGCTTGCTCTCGGCACCTCCCCTGCCTGGGCTCCCACTTTGGTGGCATTTGAGGAGCCCTTCAGTCCCCCACTTCACTGTGGGAGTCCCTTTCCAGGCTGGCCAAGGCCGGAGCCCACTACCTCAGCTTGCAGGGAGGTGTGGAGGGAGACGCACGAGCGGGAACCGGGGCTGTGTGCCGTGCTTGCGGGCCAGCTGGGGTTCCGGGTGGGCGTGGGCTTGGTGGGCCCCACACTCGGAGCAGCCGGCCAGCCCTGCTGGCCCCAGGCAATGGGGGACTTAGCACCCGAGCCAGTGGCTGCGGAGGGTGTACTGAGTGCCCCAGCCGGGCTGGCTCACCGGCACTGCGCTTGATTTCTCGCCGGGCCTTACCTGCCTTCCCATGGGGCAGGGCTCGGGACCTGCAGCCCGCCATGCCTGAGCCTCCCACCCACTCCATGGGCTCCTGTGCGGCCCGAGCCTCCCCGATGAGCACCACCCCCTGCTCCACGGCACCCAGTCCCATCGACCACCCAAGGGCTGAGGAATGTGAGCGCACGGCGCAGGACTGGCAGGCAGCTCCACCTGCAGCCCCGGTGTGGGATCCACTAGGTGAAGCCAGCTGGGCTCCTGAGTCTGGTGGGGACATGGAGAGCCTTTATATCTAGCTCAGGGATTGTAAATACACCAATCAGCACCCTGTGTTTAGCTCAAGGTTTGTGAGTGCACCAATCAACACTCTGTATCTAGCTGCTCTGGTGAGGACGTGGAGAACCTTTATGTCTAGCTCAGGGATTGTAAATACACCAATCGGCACTCTGTATCTAGCTCTAGGATTGTAAATACACCAGTCAGCACCCTGTGTTTAGCTCAAGGTTTGTGAGTGCACCAGTCAACACTCTGTATCTAGCTGCTCTGGTGGGGCCTTGGAGAACCTGTGTGACAAAACTCTGTATCTAACTAATCTGATGGGGACGTGGAGAACCTTTGTATCTAGCTCAGGGATTGTAAAGGCACCAATCAGCACCCTGACAAAACAGGCCACTCGGCTCTACCAATCAGCAGGATGTGGGTGGGGCCAGATAAGAGAATAAAAGCAGGCTGCCTCCGGAGCCAGCATTGGCAACCTGCTCGGGTCCCCTTCCACACTGTGGAAGCTTTGTTCTTTCGCTCTTTGCAATAAATCTTGTTACTGCTCACTCTTTGTGTCCACGCTGCTTTTATGAGCTGTAACACTCACTGCGAAGATCTACAGCTTCACTCCTGAGCCTGGCAAGACCACGAGCCCACCGGGAGGAACCAACAACTCCAGACGCGCTACCTTAAGAGCTGTAACACTCACCGTGAAGGTCTGCAGCTTCACGCCTGATCCAGCAAGATCACGAACCCACCAGAAGGAAGAAACTCCGAACACATCTGAACATCAGAAGGGACAGACTCCAGACGCGCCACCTTAAGAGCTGCAACACTCACCGCGAGGGTCCGTGGCTTCATTCTTGAAGTCAGTGAGACCAAGAACCCACCAATTCTGGACACAGTGTGGTCTTAATGAATTATTAACATGGGGGAGAGGGTAGGCTTGTGTTTACACCCCCTCAAGTCCTCTTTGGATTCCAGCACGAGGCATCAAACCATAACATGGCATGGCTAGGGTCCAATCTAGTACCGGAATTGAAAGAGTTAACCCAGTAAGACCCACAGTTCCAGAGGAGGCTGAACAAATCCTGCTCCAGACACAGGCACCATTTACTCCAGTTATTTTGTTTCTTTCTATGCTATCTATTGTACAATGCGACTCACATAGGGTATTGATCATTTTTATACTCTCGCTTTGCCTGCAAACTGTACCTGCTACACTCTATTGGGCTCATTAAAATATGAGCCCTAAATATGAGCCTAAAATGGCCCACTTTTCTTTCACCCTGTCACCTGGGCAGATAACTCCCTTCCCACTCTGTAACAACATGACTGCTTGGCTAGGACGGATAGATTTACACCAAGTAGGGTCCCTCAATAATAACACACATTTCCCTAAGGTGCCAGATAACACTATATAGCACTACACTATCCTCTCACCGCTTCTAAGTTATAAAGGCTCTAACCCTTACTGTGTAACTGCTCCAAGACAAGTATGGGTACATCATGGCAAAAAAAGTGCCTTAACAGTTTTAGCTACAGATAACCTCAAACTGGGCAATGCAATCCATGCTGCTTTCCCAAATATTCCTTTCCGTACTAAAGAACAGAGCCAAGAAAATAATGGATTTCACTTTAGCTGGGAAGTCTCATAGTCTCTGGTTGGGCAATTAAAACATCTTAGAGTGGAGTCTCCATGGCCAACTGCAGGGCACGCTTACAAATGTCTTTCTGCATCGTAGCATTAACCACAATATTTTATAGCCATGTCTCGTTCCCCTGTAATTTGGGCCGATGGAGGGATGGGATATCCCCAGACCCTGAGTAAACCCCATACCAACCCAAGGCACCTTATGGCACCTGGGACATCTTAGCACCTCTCTTAACACCTGCTATGGGAGATATCATAATTCCAGGCTCAACTACACTATAGCCTTTATTCATACTCACACTGATCAGTGCCTGGTTTGCACTACCCATCCATATGTTTTCCTTACAGGAACTAACATTTCCATTACACCTGGAAATGCCACATTTGTGACCCGGGTGCAGGGACAGGCTTGGTTTGCCTCATGTATCACTGGTCATGATATGTCTAGTTTAAAAACTTCCAGTGTCGTGGTATTAAGGAGACAATCTGAGGCACTTCTACCAGCCAATTTGACATGCAATTGGCAAGATTCTTCTGCCCTTGCCACCTTAGAAAGTGCCCTGTCCCAGGTCAGACACAAAAGATTCACATTTACACTTATGGTCTTTACAGGCTCAGCCATAGTCATTATGGCAACTGTTAGCATTGCTGTTGTATCTATTACTGAATCAGTACAAACAACTGCTTTTGTAGATAATCTGGCCAAAAATATATGTGATGAACTTCTCCTACAGTAAGGAAAGAGTATGCGGGAGAGCCACAAGATGCACTAGCATTCTGTCAACAGTGAAAATGTGAATGGCAACATAAACATACCTGTGTCACTTCTCTACCATGGAACCAATTAATGTATAGCTAGGGTGAGGTGAAACAACACCTCTGGGGAACCTTTTATAACAGTTTAACTGCAGACATGAAGCAAGTTAAAACTAAAATTTTAAAATCTGTTCACACCACAGATCTGCACACCCAACAGCCATGTGGAAGGGAGTACAAGATCATCTCTCCTACTTGGACCCTAACTCCTGGGGGATACTCTTTGACTGGAAAAGATTTTTGCTAATTATGCTCATGTTTGTCTTATGTTATTTGCTAATCCTAGGATGCAAAGTCTAAATAAGAGCAGTGACTGCCTCATCTGAAAATCCTGTGGCTGCACATATCTGTGCTCTGCAATCAAAAAACCCTAATAAAGAAAACAAAAATGGGGAAATGTTGGGATTCACTCAGGATGGTGGCAGAAATAGTAAAGGGAAATATTAGGGGAAGTTCTAGGGAATAGTCACAAACCTTTCGTAAGGCCAAAAGGTTACCCAGCTTGTAATAATTGAACAGATTGAAGGCAGCTAGTTCTTACCTTGGAACATTATGTCATAGGGTAAATACAAGGGACAATTGAGGCTTCCCCAGTTAAGTCTGTTTATCCTACCTCCATTAACTAACCTTTGTACCAAATGGCCCTCTCAGGGGGAGGTGGACCAAGGATATTGTCCCCTAATGGTATTCACTTAGACTACAGTACCTGAGCTTTAATCATTCATAGAACTACTGTCTTAACCAAGTTCATTATCCTCAAGTGTAATTACTCAAAGCTTCTGTTGGTAATTGTATACTAAATAAATGCCTGGAGTGCTAGCTGCTCAGGGTCTGCTGCAGTGACAAACCTGTCTTGGTGTGCAGGCAGTCAGACACAGCAGGACTAGCAAAACAGAATACCTGTGTGTCAGTGTACATTTTATTCATCTGTTGTTTGGGCCAGGGTCTGCAGGCAGACGCCCACAGCTAATGCCCTCTTGTGAGAGGCAACACCTGTTAGAAAACTCAAACTACTGGTAGTTCTAGTCAGGGTAGTGGAGTTTGAGTCCTACTAAGATAGAGAGAGTAGACAAAAACCTTTGGCTTCCTATTGAAATTGCAGAAAGGATACACTTTAGGAAGAAAATCTGGATGCTAAGAATAAAGAGTTCACAATGAGAATAAGGATAAAATCCAAACAGTCTCATCCCAGTAAAGAATAAGACAAAGGTTCTACAACATCAATATCACTAGCCAACAATTTCTGATAGAGCAAATGCCAACCTTCTTCAGAGAAAGAAAACAAATCCCTTATCTAAACATGCAACTGCAGTTCACAGAAAAATGTTATTACATGTATAAAGAAACAGGAGCATATTGACATAGGAGAGATAAATAAGAAATCAGACTCTTGCATGACCCAAATGTTGGAATTCACACACAAGGGCCTTAAAACATTTCTTAAAATTGTGTTCAAGGACTTAAAAGAAAAGATAAAAAGGCTGTATCAGCAGAGATAATTCAATATCTGAGAAATTTCAAAAGTAGATGTTTTTAGTAAGACTTGGAGAAGGCAATAAGGTCAGTGTTCAAGAATGTGGTGGGCAGTATGACTTCTAGATGCTAGAAAAAAAAAAAAGGGAATGGACTCTCTCGTAGAGACTCTAGAAGAAATGCAGCCATGCCTACACTTTGATTATAGTTTGCTGAACCCATTTCACAATTCTGATGTCCAGAGCTGTGAGAAAATAAAGCGTAATCTAAGACCTGAAAAGAAGAAAGTGTCAGCTCTGAGAAGACTAACAGAAAACAGTATGGGAAAAAGCAAAGGGAGAAAGCTCTGAACCAAGACAGAACTTGAAAATATGGGCAACTTGAATAAAATACTATTTACTCTGGAATAAGGGGTGGGCCTGAGATATGAGGCTAGAGCACTGGACATGAGCCTCATCTTGGATGCTGGTAAAGCGAGTAGTTTCTTTCTGCGACATATCCTCCACAAACATCCCTTAAGAAGAATGACTTAATATAAGATATATATTTTTAAAAGGGAATATTACAGAGAATAAATATAAGAAGGCAAAAGTAAGAAAGTGTTAATTTTAGGGAAGCTATTGCAGTAGATGAAGCAAAATATAATGGTGGCTTGGATTTACAGTGGATATTGAGAGCAGAATATAGTCTGACTGGGAATATTCTGAAACTAAGTTTAGCAGACTTAATTATGGATTTGATGTAAAGTTTTAAGGAAGGAAGAAATTGAGGATAAATCTTTGGTGTTTTGTCTTGAGTGGTTGATAGTGGCGTTTGGATATTTAGCAGTGCATGCCACTATTAGTAAAAGACTCAGTTGGAAACAGATGCTGCTACTGCCTGAATGCAAAGCTCTTGTTTTTTACTACAGTAAGCTGAAAAATCATCCCTACTTGGTCCCAGGTTTTCTCTACAAAAAAAAAAAAAAAAAAAAAAAAAAAGTTGTGAAACTGGTACGATTTTTCTCACCTTTGTGATTCTCTGAGATATATGGCTTTTACTCAATTCCTTGGTCTGCACATCAAAAAACATGAACTGAATTAATCTATATCCAATTTGTTACACAAATTTATTCATCTGAAAAATTCAACATTTACACACACATTTACATACACACAGTCAAGAAATAATGAGATAAATTGGAAAGTATATGAATTGGAACCACAAATAGAATAGTTTTTGAGTCGTGGCACTAGCACTTTCTGATATGTGTCATTATATATGTCATTTAACCTTTATGAAACTCAATTTTTTATAAGTAAAAACATATATTAATACTCACAATATTGTTGTAAGCATACCAATGAAATTACTTTTTACTGTAAAATTAAAAACTAGAAGTGCTTGTTGGTTTCTCAGTGCTCTTACAAAAAATTAATCATTGTAACATTTGAAAATAAGTAGATGTGTGGAAAATAAATTAATAAACTTCTTTTCTTCTTCCAATTTCAAATATAAGCACCAACAGCAGTTTGGCAATAATTTTCACGAAGTTAATTTTGCATATAAAACATTTGCAAAGATTATGTTCATGTTTATGAAAGTGAAACTGCTATACATACATCCATGTACACACACAATACATGCATATTGTATAATTCGCTTTTGCTAAAATATATATTTTAGATTTTCTTCCAAAGGAACACATATATCAATCTTATTTGCATTAATAGTTACATAATAATCAATATTATATTTATACCAAGGTTTCAATGGATGTACCATTTAATCTTTCTAATTTTGAGAAAAATTCTATAATTCCAAATCTTTAGTATTAATAACAATGATACAATAAACATGATGGCATATTTATCTTTTAATCCTGGTAATTTTATTTGTATTTAATAAGTGGTACAAAATGTGAAAACTGGGCCAAGTGCTGTAAGTACCATGTATTGAAATTATTTAAATACTAAATTTATGTAATATTAAATAAAATTATAACTATTTAAATACCAAATTACTTTCCGAAAACCTTGTAGTAATCACATTCCTTCTAGAACCTACAATTTCATCAACAGTGGATGCTACTATTAGTTTTTATTTTTGTAAACTAATGAATGTATTATCTATTATCTTAACTTCATTTTTTTTAATTTGAGAACTAGAAATTCTGTTTTATTGTTACCGATCTCTAGAGTGTTGGTTGTTGTTTTTTTTTTTCTAGCCAGAAACGTCTGTGGCTGTGACTCCTTTGTCCAAGATCTTGTCCAGTGTCAGGAAGAATGAGGTAGAATGAGGTAGCAGAGAAGTGAATGTTGAACAAGAAGAAACATTTTGTTCAGTGTTAGTACAGTTCAAAGGAACGGTTTGCTCCTCTCTGTAGGCAGGCTTTCCAGTTGAGTGTTCAGCTCTTAGCAGAGAGGAGGCCCTGGAGAGTGTGACTCTTCTCCATGGCAAAGTCATTCAGAGGTCTCTGCAGGCCTCTGAAGCTCATGTAGCCTGACTTTTGACAGTTGGCAGATACTTCATTCCAAGGAGTTAGGCCAGTGAGGCCAAATCTTTGATTTGAATTAGCACATAGAAACTAGCTCACTTTTTTTTTTTTTTTTTTTTTTTTTTTAAGACGGATTCTCGCTCTGTTACCCAGGCTGGAGGGTATTGGCACAATCTGGGCTCACTGCAAGCTCCACCTCCCGGGTTCATGCCACTCTCCTGCCTCAGCCTCCTGAGTAGCTGGGAGGCTGGCTCACTTTAATGCTCATGACAAATTTGTTCGCACTTTCTATTTCTTAGATTATGTAAAATGTTTATTGAAATCAGTTGGAAATTGGGATGTTATTAGATTCCTTCTCTGTTGGACTTTCTCACAGGAGTAAAGTATGACAGCACATTTCTTTCTTTCAGTTGAAACAAGAGTACCGGCCTGGCGCGATGGCTTATGCCTGTAATCTCAGAAATTTGGGAGGTCAAGGTGTGTGGATCACCTGAGGTAAGGAGTTCCAGCCCCCTCGTGGCCAACGTGGCAAAAAACCATCTCTACCAAAAATACAAAAATTAGCTGAATGTGGTGGCATGAACCTGGATTTCTAGTTGCTCTGGAGGCTGAGGGAGGAGAATCACTTGAACCTGGGAGGCAGTGGTTGTAGTGAGCCAAAATCATGCCCCTGCAGTCCAGACTGGGCAACAGAGTGAAACTCAATCTCAAAAAAAAAAAAAAAAAAAAAAAAAAAAAAATCCAAACAATAGAAAAAGAGGGACTCCTCCCTAATTTACTTCATGAGGTCAGCACCACCCTGATACCAAAACCTGGCAGAGACACAAGAAAAAAGAAAAGTTCAGGCCAATATCCCAGATGAATATCGATGCAAAAATTCTCAATAAAATACTGACAAAACGAATCCAGCAGCACATCAAAAAGCTTATCCACCACAATCAAGTCAGCTTCATCCCTGGGATGCAAGGCTGGTTCAATATAGGCAAATGAATAAACATAATTCATCAAATCAACAGAAGCAATGACAAAAACCACATAAATATGTCAATAGACTCAACACGTCTTCATGCTAAAAATTCTCAGTAAACTAGGTCTTGATGGAAAGTATCTCCAAATAGTAAGAGCTATTTATCACAAACCCACAGCCAATATCATACTGAATAGGCAAATACTGGAAGCATTCCATTTTACAACCTGCAAAAGAAAAGGAAGCCCCCTCTCACCACTCTTATTCAACATAGTATTGGAAGTTCTGGTGAGGGCAATCAGAGGAAAGAAATAAAGCGCATTCTAACAGTAAGAGAGGAAGTCAAATTATCTCTGTTTGCAGATAACATGATTGCATATTTAGAAAACCCCATCGTCTAAGCCCACAATCTCCTTAAGCTGAGAAGCAACGTCAACAAACTCTCAGAGTACAAAATCAATGTGCAAAAATCACAAACATTCCTATACCCAAATAATAGAGGGCCAAATGGTGAGTGAACTCCCATTCACAATTGCCACCAAGAGAAGAAAATCCCTACAAATACAACTTACAAGGGATGTGAAGGACCTCTTCAAGAAGGACTACAAACCACCACTCCAAGAAATAAGAGAGAACACACACACATGGAAAAACATTCCATGCTCATGGATAGGAAGAATCAATATTGTCAAAATGTCCATACTGCCATAGTAATTTATAGATTCAAAGCTATCCCCATCAAGCTACTGTTGGCTTTCTTCACAGAATTAGAAAAACTACTTTAAATTTCCCATGGAACCAAAAAAGAGCCCACATAGCCATGACAATCCTAAGCAAAAAGAACAAAGCTGGAGGCATCATGGTAACTCAATTTAAACTATACTACAAGGCTGCAGTAACCAAAACAGCATGGTACTCGTACCAAACATATACATATATACCAATGCAACAGATCAGAGACCTCGGAAATAACACCACAAATATCTAATATCTACAAATATCTGATCTTCGACAAACCTGATGAAACAAATCAATGTGGAGAGGATTCCCTATTTAATAAATGTGGGAAAACTGGCTAGTCATATGCAGAAAATTGTAACAACCCCTTCCTTACACCTTATACAAAAATTAACTCAAGATGGATTAGACTTAAACATAAGACCTAAAACCATAAAAACCCCCGAAGAAAATCAAGGCAATACCATTCAGGACACAGGCATGGGCAAAAACTTTATTACTAGATCACCAAAAGCAATGGCAACAAAAGACAAATTTGACAAATGAGATCTAATTAAATAAAAGATCTTCTGCACAGCAAAAGCAACTATCATCAGATTGAACAGGCAACCTGCAGAATGGGAGAACATTTTTGCAATATATCCATCTGACAAAGAACTAATACCCAGGATCTACAAAAAACTTAAACAAATTTGTGAGAAAAAAAAAAAACTCATCAAAAAGTGAGGGAAGGATATGAACAGACGCTAGTCAAAAGAAGACACTTATGCAGCCAACAATCATGGGAAGAAAAGCTAATCATCACTGATCATTAGAGTAATGCAAATCAAAACCACAATGAGATACCATCTCATGCCAGTTAGAATGGTGATCACTAAAAAGTCAGGAAACAACAGATGCTGGAAAGGATGTGGAGAAATAGGAATGCTTTTTCACTGTTGATAGGAGTGTAAATTAGTTCAACCATTGTGGAAGACAGTGTGTCAATTCCTCAATGATGTAGAAGTAGAAATACCATTTGACCCAGCAATCCCATTACTGGGTAGATACCCAAAGGATTATAAATCATTCTATTATAAAGACACATGCACATGTATTTTATTATGGCACTGTTCACAATAGCAAAGACTTGCAACCAACAAAAATGCCCATCAATTTTAGACTGGATGAAGAAAATATGGCATATATACACCATGGAATACTGTGCAGTCATAAAAATGATGAGTTTATGTCCTTTGCAGGGACATGGATGAAGCTGGAAACCAACATTCTCAGCAAAATAACACAAGAACAGAAAACCAAACACCACATGTTCTCACTCATAAGTGGGAGTTGAACAATGAGAACATACGGATACAGGGAGGGGAACATTACATACTGGGGCCTGTTGGTGGCAGGGTATAGGGGAGGGATAGCATTAGGAAAAATGCCTAATGTAGATGATGGGATGATGGGTGCAGCAAGCCATCATGACAGGTGTATACCTATGTAACAAACCTGCATGTTTTGCACATGTGCCCCAGAACTTAAAGTATAATAATAATTTTTTAAAAAGAACCTTTTTGAGAAAATTAAACTTTGAGAATTGTTGCCTTATTTGTGGTTTTGGCTTCTGAATAATATCTAAATGTAATCTCATTACACTTTTTTCAAGTGTTTGGTATTGGAGATAATGCTTGTCTTTAGGATTGAGAGTGGAGACTCCCAATTTATGATCAAATAATTTAGCATTATGCATTTGGGACATATCATATCCATTTTAGGATGAGAAGACGCTGTTGCTGAGGACTTACTGTTTAAAGTCACAAGAAGGAGCAGACACAAAATGCAGAAGTGAGTTTTCTGGATGCATATGTATATGTGGACCCATAAAGTGTTATGTCTTTTGTTCAACAAAATTTTATTTGGCTTACATATCCTGTTTAGTGTTGTGGATACAATAAGGTTGAGGAGTCACTCCTTTACTCAAAGACTTACAGTAAAATGGGAAAAGTGGAGGTCATCCCCCATTTCATTTCTCTATAACAGTAAAGAAAATTTCAAAAATAAATTTCTAAAAATATGGAATTTATATTCTTATGCAAATTGTGTAATATATAGATTTAAATGTAATTACAAGATGTTTTACCAAAACTACATGATTGAGATAAATTAAAAATTATTTAATAATAGGAGAAATATAACATGTTCACAGATTAAAAGCAATATTTTTAAGATTTAAAATTTTCCTAAATTTACCTATAGATTCAATACACTCTCAACCAACATCTCCCCATTTGCCTGTATTATTAGTAAAGTTCATCTCATACATGAGATACCATCTTGGATAAGAAAAGAAAGAAGTGAAATGAGAAAACTCAGCATTTGAGTGTTGTGCTTAAGTGACTATTTTTGTTATTGCATTGAACTAAGACAACTTGATTTCTTTTTTATTTTTAATTTTTTGTTAATACACAGTCATTGTTATGTATTTACTTGATTTATTGAATACAATTTTTCCCTATCTTGAGGTTCGAGATGCTCAGGAGGAACATCAGGTAACTTGAAGACATAATAAAGAAGTTAACGATTTATTTATACCTCTGAGTATAATGCAGATACATGTAAGACTTCATATAAAGTTCTTAAAACATAGATCTAATTTGCTTATAAAAAGTTGCACCATTTTTAATCTTTTTAATATCAGTGCTCAATTCATCATCATTCTTCATTTTGGGTATTTCTATTATAAAATTTTATTGACTTTAATTTGGGCATGGAAACACTAGAACAATATCATAAATTATATGTCATCATGCATTCCACTATCTCATGAGAAATCGTTAGAAATGAAGTGCAGTGCATAAACAAATTTATTTAATATGTTATTTTCATTTATTTAAGTGTTTAGATCCAGATTAAAATTGATGAATATAAGCAAGAATCCAAGACAAGAATGCAAAGTTTTGACCAATGGATGAACATTGCTAACATTTTAATCTTTATTATTTTGAGATAAAAATCACGTGTTTTAGATTTGTAACCTCCGTAATTTGTAAACAGTCATGTGTGTGTTGATGTCTGTCTATCATTTATCTATATATGTAACTTAACAATAAAACTATAGATAAAAGAACTGAACTTTATATTATCTTTGCAGTAAGTAATATTTTCCTGGTCATTATAGGCTTTATTAGTCCATTTCATACACTATGATTTCACAGTAATATGCAAAAAATATTTCTTAATAAACTACATTATTAATCAGCTATATACCTGAACACAAAGTTTGAGATAAGGACCAAATATAGCCATTTTTAATAAAATAGTCCAAGGCATCACAATATTCTATGTTCTAATGAGAACCATAGCTACTGTGGATTTAAAATTATTTTTAATTGCAAATATAAAGTATTTTTGAAGCTAATTAACTTCTGTTGTTTCCTAGAGACAAGATATCTTATCCCTTTTGCTTAGCAGGTGTGTCTATATCTTAGAGAAGAATTTAGCTGAGGTTGTGTTTGATTAGATTGATTAAATATGCATTTTACTCCATAAAGACAATTTTTATGTGTATTAGTTGGATACCTATTTCTAAAAACATAGAACTTTTCTTTATTTCATGCTGTTTGCTCCTGTATGCCAGGGATTTCAATAGGGAAACTAGCTGTCTTCTTGAAAATGTGAATATATTCCTAAACATGTTCACTACCTCATCTATGATATTTTGCACCGAGTCAATGCATTGCCCATTTCTTTGTGCACAGATTTTTTTTTTTAAATGGAGTTTCGATCCCATGGTGCAGGCTGGAGTGCACTGGTACAATCTCGGCTCACCACAACCTCCACCTCCCAGGTTCAAGCAACTCTCCTGCCTCAGCCTCCCGAGTAGTTGGGATTACAGGCATGTGCCACCACACCCGGCTAATTTTTCTATTTGTAGTAGAGATGGGGTTTCCCCATTTTGGCCATGCTTTTCTCAAACTCCTGACCTCAGGTGATCCACCTGCCTCGGCCTCCCAAAGTGCTAGGATTACAGGCATGAGCCACCGCACCCAGCCAAAAAAAATTCTGTTTTCACATTTAGCTCATACTGTCCATACAGTTTCTCTTCTTCTTGCCTTCTCTACTCAAGAGTTATGTATCTCTTCATCTTTCTGTAAAAATCATTTTAAATCTTTCTTCTTCATCTCCTATGTCATCTCTTCTCTGATAGAAATAATTGTCTTCTGCTGTATTTAATCTCTTTCTCCATTCAACCTTCATACTACTACTATACCTCTGTATCTCATAGCACCATTCACTTTCTATTTTCTAGCATAGTTAATCAACTTTACAAACATTCCTTGAGGGAGGGATATTTAGTTTATTTATTTTTTTCTCCCACAAAACTAATACAATAGTTTATGTGCAATTGGTGCTCAATAAACACTTAAAATGAGTTATTTATTCAGGAGACAGAACACTAATAAATAAGAAATACTAAATAAATTGTTCAACGAATAAATGAAGTTTACTTTCCCTTTAAGCTTTTTAACCAAAGGTCATGGATATATTCTGAGTTCTTAGTTCGAAATACAAGAATCTAGTCTGATTAGATTAGACAAAATAATAATAATAAAGTACATAATCTCACAGAATCTCTGAAAAGGCTAGAGAGCCCTAGTTCCCTTAACAGGAGCAAAGCCTGAGCATACAGCAGATGCTGATATATGGAAAATACCATCCATCTCTACCAACTGCTCAGCACTCATGAGATGCAAAGCAGGATCACAAGTCTCTGTTAATGTCATCCCTTAGGCTGAACACATTTTAGCTAAATTCTACAGAATTAATGTGTGTATCTTCCTAGCACCCACTGTGAATACCTCTCCTTCAAAAATCTATTGCTTGTGAAAAACCAGGTATGTTTAGCAAGTCATGAAACAACTGTAGTCATTCATTAGTGGTCACAGACTCACATTTAAGCATAACTTTAAAGGTGTCATAGACCTGACACTTATTGTTCTGAATCAACATTGATCTCATGAAGATGAACTGGAGGTTGAAAGCCTGCAATTACCCACCAGCTAGGTACACCATTATTAGGAATGGGAATATACTAATTTGTCCCATAAGATATCAGTCTTTCTCTGGGAATTAAAATTAGACTTTTGTCTACACTACACTGGGTTCTGTCTTCCACCGTAAGACAGAGAATTCCAAGGTTTCCATAATGTGAAACCCCCACCCCTTTTTATGATATGACCCTTGAGTAATTACATCAGCAAATATGTAAATGTGTTATGCTGTTCCAACAATTACTCCTGATTTGGTTACAATTATCTATATATCATCTCTACTGTCTTGGTCCTCTTCATCTTACCCACGAATGGCAGCCCTAGCCTCCTACTTGGAGCTTTCACCATCTTTCCCCCTTCCACACTGCAAACTGCCACAGTCAGTCTTCTTAAGCAGTGGTCTGCAAGATGGCTCATCTCGAATAAAAAAGCTTACACAAGCTCTCTACTGCCTATTACACAAAATCTTAACTTTGCTAACTTTGAAGATTCTCTATAATCTAGCCCCATTTTATATCTCCACATCTGCCTCCCAAAATCCACTAACCCATGCTCTTCAGTGACGTCCTGCGGGTCATCTTCTCACAACTCCCAGACTCGTCAGCCTCACTGCCTGTGTTGCTTATAAGGACAGGCTGCCAGGTACACCTGCAAGGCTCCTATACTCTGCCTATCCACTTCTTATTGATGTGTGAAAAACATACCCAGCTCCTCAAAACCTACCCACCTTCACAGAACTTCCCCAAGTGCCACATCCCATCTGGAGCACTTTCTTTTCTTCACCCCAAGATATTAATATTCTGCACTGCAACTGAACAATTCACTGTATATTGACAGTATGCTGCATTGTGTGTGTCTAAGTGTGAGAGAGCTTGCTATCCTCTTGTATTATTTGCTAATTCAGTATGAACTGGGGAGCCACAGTCACTTCTTCACACTGACTTCAATGCTTAACTAAAACTACACTTCTTTCATGTTAACCCAGTAGTCATTCGGAATAATAAATACTCGACTTTCAGAAAACATTACCATTAAGTCCTCCATTAAGTCCTACGATTACAGGAAAAAAAAGGAAGACAAGTGTGAACTTTCCTAAAAAGGGAGATGCACTACACAATAATAACCCCTATGATCACCCACATGGGTTCCTGTGCTTTAAGGGATAAAGCACTACAGATACTTCATCCTGCTGCCTCTTACACATCCCTCAGGACCACCACTAGTAACAGAGGAATAACCAAGGGATAGCTCTTAAGAAGTATAGCTACAGCCCGACCCAAGCCTCTTGAAGTGCGTATTCTGCATCTAGCACTGGAGAAAAGCCTCGCTATTTCTGAGCAACACCCTACAAAATGTCACCCGAGAGGACAACACCCAAAATAGTTTAGATTTGTGGGTCATGAGTCCCAATGAGCCTGGGGAAATTCACATTCCACACTTGAACTCAAACTTACCCCCTTTTCTCCCCATTTCAGTTGCCAACATCCAAACTCGCTGTTGATTGCCAGCTCCTGCTCCTTGCAGCAGCCCAGCATGCTCTCTGCTGGTGCCAAAATACCCTTCCACCAAACCCCGCTAACTTCTGGAACTGTCCTAGAGGGGTAAGGCAAGTCCCGTATTTTGCTTCCTCTGTGCATGTACTTGTTACTCCTTTAAAAACACATATAATACAGCACATTTTAAAAAGGGGCTCTGGGGAGGGACATAATATTCCTATTTTATACCCTATGGGATATAAAATACTGATAGCTTTTAAAAACGGGATTCTCCTTACCCCTACAGGCCCTCTCCTAGCTTCAGAAAGATGCTGTGGTGACTGTGATGCCACCGGCAGAGAGCATGCTGCGGGGGTCACACAAAGCAGGAGTTGGAGATCTGCAACAGGCTTGGGAGTTGTGGACCTAAAAAAGAAAACAGTTTTAAGTTAACGTGCCCAATGCCCCATCATGCCCTGGGGCACGCAGCACACAAGTCGGTATCTGCAAAAACTCTTTAGCAGATGACCTCTGAAACCTCAGATAATTTGTTCTACCACTAAGTTAACCTTTTTGCATTAATCAAAGCTGTTACCTTATTTCAGTGTGAACAAACGTATGACCCTTCTGGCTCCACACTTTAATCCAGGTCCTATCATAAAGCAGTATGGTGTGTGCCCCTCAAAATAACCAAGTTAAGATGTGAGATAGTGCCAAAGCACAGTTAACAGCAACATGCTATGCTTATAATAAAAACAGAAATGCTATGACGTCAGATAAACACAACCGTAAAATGAATCACAAGTGGACAAACTGAGCTTTCAGAAGAGTTTCTAATGACAGAAGCTAGAGACATAAGACATGTACTTAATAAGGAAATAGGGCATTTGGGTGGTGAAAGGCCCTGCCATTTTCTGAAAGTTCAAGTTTAACTGCATAAAGCTGAAGGCAAAGTAAATAGACAAAGGCCCCAAAACAGAGGGAAAAAGACAACATTCACATGAGTTGTAATTTTCTCCAAACGCCCACAAGGTGAGTATAATGAACAGGCACAGACCATAAAGTTCCAGAAAGACATTACTTATTTTTATAGGCAAAACTAGTTTAGTATGTATCACGTCTTTTTTAAAATTAACTTTGAAAACATTTAAAAACCAGGAAGAAAAAGACTATAGAGCAACTTCTGAAAGCTAGCACAGTATACCTCAGATAACAGTTTGCGTATGTTCCTTTTCAAATATTTTAGAGAGCACATAACATTTTTTAAACCAATTTCATGTGGTTTCAAATGAACTAAAAAAATCCATAAAATCCCAATACTTATATAAGAACCTGTCTTACGGTTGTCTAAAAATTACAGGTGAGCAACCTTTTAATATTAAATCATTACTAGGGTGTCCTGTTACATATAATTCCCTTTGAAAAGCAAGAGTAATTAACAACTTTCTGTAAACAAAGATTTTAATATATTTCATTCACTATTTTTGTAAGTCTCTTAAGCTCCCTACACATACACACACACACACACACACACACACACACACACACACAAAACAAATACCAGGAGAATAAGCTAATGTTCAGAATGTTTTATCGTGATCATTTTCTTTTCTTTTACTAAAGATGACCATCTAGAGTACATCCTAGGATCTACATTAAAATTTGTGTGCAGTCAGTCTCTGATTCTCATGGCCTCAGTGATGGTATAGCTGACAGAGTGTCAGTAGCCACAACCTTCTCACCACACACCTTCTCCCCGTCATCACCAACACTGCAAACTCCAAATTAAAGATTCAATTGTGCACTTGAATGTACAGCATATTCAGTATTTTTTGCCAGAAGCATCAAAATAAAAATGGACTTCTGGATAATCTCTTCCACTAGGAATATGACTGCCCAAACCACCTAAATCCTTACATTCAAATTAAGGTTTTAAATCAAAAACACCTGGTAAAGCATTTCCAAACACTTTGGCATTATCTTAAACATGCAAATAGTTCAAGTAATTATTAAAACATTTTATGCATTTTAAAAAGGCATTTTTTTTCAAAACAAGTCATTGTTCTCACATACAAATGAGAAAATGTTGACAGTATCTGTTTCCCTAAGTTTTTTTAGTACTTCTAATAGGTTTTTCTTGGACTACTGAGTTGGTTCTTAATGCAAGCATCCATATATACATACAAATTACAAATTTCCAATTGAAAAGAATTAAGTTTGAACAAGACTTTACCAATATTCTTGCATAGTAGATGGCTGCAAATATCAGATTGTCTCAACCTTTCTTAAGCTCCTTTAAAATTAGAATAGAGTTTTCTGCATTGAAAACAATTTCACGTATAGTTAACAGTTTTAGTAAATAACATTTTCAGAAATATATTTTATGGAAATACATATAATTAAACGAAATTTTTTCAATAGTTTCTTAGAGTCCCTTGACCCAAGTAAATTAGAAGAAAATGAATTATTCAACCTCACAATAGTAGTTAAACACTAAAACTTAAAATCCCAAGTGCCCTACCCTGACTGGCAGCCACAAGTGAAGACAAATTGCTGGGAAGCTCAGAAAATGTGGCCAATAAAATGCTGGAATTATTTATTCCCAAGCCCTCATTTTGATTTCCACTTATGTTAATACCACCCTGTCCATTTAGAGGTTGACATCAGTATCATGCAAAAAGGATGTGGTGGTTCAAAAAACTTTCAATGTCATTACTCTACAATTGTGGCGGGAGGGGAGTATAGATATACAACCTCCTCTGACTCAGTCCACCAAACTCAGGGCTAAAGAATTCCATCTTGCTTGATGCAGTGGCTCATGCCTGTAATCCTGACACTTTGGGAGGTCGAGGTGGGTGGATCACGAGGTCAGGAGTTCAAGACCAGCCTGGCCAACATAGTGAAACCCCGTCTCTACTAAGAATACAAAAACATAGCTGGGGGTGGTGGCAGGTGTCCGTAATTCCAGCTACTTGGGAGGCTGAGGCAGGAGAATCGCTTGAACCCGGAGGCGGAGGTTGGAAAGAGCTGAGATCACGCCACTGAACTCCAGCCTGGGTGACAAGAGGGAAACTCTGTCTCCAAAAAAGAATTCCATCCCGCCTCTTGCCTCGTTAAAGAATTAAACAAAATTAGAAATCGCAAATTTATATGTGAAAAGGCCACTTGGTCCTTGGATATAATAGCTGAAAATACTTGATAATGAACTTCAATGTAAAGTTTTTACTTCATTGTCCGACACTACACAACAAGTCACAAAGGCGTAACTGGGTGATACTGACCTTTTTGTATGGTACAAGCCAAGAAAGTAAAGAGAAGAAGGAGTTATAGAAAGAAATACTCAGTTTTGCAGGCCTACCTTGAAGGACTGTCAAAAACAAAAACAGAAACAAATCATCATAGCGTAAGGCATTTTTCATAACAGTTGGCCTTTTCTGGGAGGTTCACACATATACTAGGCCCTCATTTATCTTTGCTGAAAGTCAGTCCTATGGAAAACCCAAAACAATATAATGATGCCTAAAAAATATTATGACTTAGGCTACATTCATTCAAATTCGTGAAGAAAAGAAGAAACTGAATTTTCCTCAAGTATTTTAAAAGAAATAAAGTTTTATTAGTTCTATACATTACGCACTGCAGGCTAACCAAAGGTAATTGAGTAGACTTCTTTGGCTTGTTTAAGAGAATGTTAATTTGTTGTTGATGCACTGTATCAAACAACTATTACTAAAGTTTTTTAAAAATACTTATCCAGTGAATTTATTCCACTTAAATGTTACTTCATTCAGTATTCACTAAATACTTACTGTGGACAATACAGCCAGCCAATGTGATAAGCACACAATATATACATCAGTGAATAAAAAGCATAAACCTAAGGTACCAACTAAACAACAACATCACAATCAGTGTCACTCTATGGGGCACTGGACACTTTGTAAGTTTGACCTTTTAATCTAAAAACAATCTACTTGGCAAGGTAGGTACTTTATATCCCAACTTCACAGGTAACTAAAGAAAGTTAAGAGGGTTAAGTGTATTTCCCAAGGTCAGGAAAGATGGCAACTGATGGACGGAGTACGTGAACTCAGACAACCTGATGTCGAAGTCCGAGCTCTGAACCTGGGCAATCTACCATCCCTCATCTCAATCCCAGAATAACAGATCCTAAATTCTGAATTAGCCATGTTCAAATTATGTGGACCTTCCTGCCCACCCCCCGCAACCAAAAAAGGGCTCCAATGCAAGATTTACCTCCTTTTAAACGAATGCCCATTCCATGAATGTCCATACAGTACGCCTTCTGTGTTAAGTGGTAACAGCCACGCTGGGATTAAAGAAATGCGGTAGATAATGTGTAAGTCTGATAATTAAGTCACTGTGTGTACACTTGAATGTGTGCACAAAAGGTATGGGTAATTAAGTCGCTATCTGATATCTCCCAGCATCATCTATGGTTCTAATAAGAAAAGAAGACATAATTACTCATCCTCAGTAAGTTTTTATTAAAAAGGAGGAGAAATAGCTTCTTGTTACTTTTAATCCATTTTTAGGAAAATAAATTTGGTGGAGGGTGGGCAATCTCAATGGCAAGTGGAACCTAAGATGAAGTTAATTTCTCTTCAGCCCTTCTGCTGCTGTACTGTCGGGGAAGGCATGAATAAAGGGTAGTGAGTAGCAAACAACTTATGAGTACAGACCAGGAATCAGAGAGAAATTCCAGGTGTTTTTCCTCCAGCTGGTCACATTTGACAATGAAACAATGAGAGGGATATGGTATTAAACGATAAATAACTTGGCCCCCACATTCACAGCAATAATGGAATTGTGCATTCTCCAAGGTAACTAGTAGTATGCATCCTTAGCTATTCCACATTCAGAACTAGCACTTAGAAAGTAGGCTGTTAGGGACACAAATGATACAGCGACATTATCATCTATGTGGAGCCATAACAATATGTCGAGCCCAGCTAACCATCACCTGAAACACTTTAACATCCCTATCACCCCCAACTCTAAGGAATCTCTGTTATCTGGCTTAACTTTAAGGACAATTTTCCAAGTTTTAATAAAACAGCTGAGGAACCAAAATGAATCAATGTTATTAACCCAAAATAGTACTTATAGCTACATATACTACCTAGAAACTCATTTGGTATAAGTAACAGCTGAAACACCTATGTAACTTTAGGAAACCAAAAGCACGTTTTCCTCTACTGTATGAATGACGGCAATGCAAGAATACACACTGAATTTCCATGGAGAATATTACAGGAGTGAGTTTGCTTACTTATCTGTGAATAAAGAAAGGTACTAACTGCTACAAGGAACCACTTACTATACAAGGAACTCCTCAGTGTTATACTGAATGAAAATTACTGTCTCCATGACCTTGTTAGCATTCTCAGACTCCATGATTATTTCCAGATGGCAAATTATTTGTATTATACTTCTTAATGCCTGGGTTTCTATAAAAATATGATTTTATTGTTTTTCATAAACACACAAAAGAAATCATTTCTTTTAGAACTAAAAGTGAATGCCCTTCTTGTCAATCCTATTCAGAATGTTCTCCAAAGAAGACTGACATCCAATAATGCCACAAGTTGTCTGTCACTTAGAATCTAAGATCACTGAGAGAATGAACAATATTTTATACTTCTTCAGTCTCCCTTTAGGTGCTGAGTTCCATAAAGAACACAAAGTAGGTATTCAGTAAATGCCCCTGATTATAGCCCAAAACATTCCTATTTGCACTCTGTGATATAATGCTCCTCAATGATATTGACTTATTCAGAACAAAACCCTCAAAGTAACTAAGTCACATGGTGACCTATAAAAGCTATGGGAGGGCAGCAGAAGGGTTGGAGATGTTAACCTAGGCTCTTTCCATTGCAATTGATGAAGATCCACTCAAGCTAGCCCAGATGAGAGCTCTCTACTCAGAGCGAACAGGATAATCTAAGAATCCTGTGGGAAGAACATCAGTGCAGTGGGACCCAGGGGAGTCAAGGAAGAGACGGCTGTGCACACACTTCCCTTGGCAGTCTGCTGCCCTTCCCACAGCTTCCCTGTCCTCTGCTTTTCCCAGTTTCCTACCCTAGCAAGTGAGCTTGCCTATGTCAGCCCTAACCTTGCTCTTGTCATTCAGGTAATTCTTTTTTTATTTTTAATTTTTACAGATATATTAGGGGTAATTCTTGAATTATCCATTCACCTTTCCCCTCTACTAACTGCCTCAGTCTCTCAGTTTCTCAACTCTAAATTCTAAAAATGAAATTTGGCTCAATTAATCTTTTCATGCCAGGCCACAAGGATCACAGACTGCCATTCCAAATTATTAGTCCTTCAAAAAGCTAAATAAAGACTTTGCCAGCTATTTTACTATATAGTTCAGAAATCTACGGTGCAAAGCGACCTTTTTAATCAACAATACTTCTTTCTCCTGCTTCTAAGTATGCACTGTCCATAATTCTACCCAGCCTCTTCTGCTCACCTGAGCTCCTGCTTTTGACTAGTTGTTCCATAAATACTTTGGTCAGCGCATTTAAACAAAATCAGACATCTCCGTTTGTAAATAAGCCCAATCAAATGAATACTTCCTAAGAGAATGAAAGCTTCCTAATAGAATACATAATTCCTACCTTTAAAACCTCAGCTCAGTTAGGAACTTAGTTGCTTGATACTATCATAGCCTCCACGTACCCTGTGGAAGTACGGGCTCAAAATACACCTACTAGTGTAGGATGGTGGTGTCCCTGTGTGTTTTGATGGTTGAATATTAATAAAGCAGAAGCCATGGACCCTATCCCCGTAGGCAAGATAACCACACAACCTCACAACCTATCATCCACACTCAGACATTTTTGAGAGTGAAAGGGGAGGCTGTTTAATAGTCTGGCAGGACAACAGACAGGGATCAGGACATAGAGGCAGCTGTGTTCTATACCACAGACTCGATTCTAAGGGAATGCAGCAGCAGAGTTGAGAAGACAACCCAGGTCCCCACATAAAACACAAAGACCCTTCTCCTTATCTCATATAGAGCTATTTCATGAAATGTGACCTAAGGCCCTCGGTTCAATAAGCTGCCATTATTCTAGTCTCAGTGACTGGCGGTACATGTCTCCTCCTCCCCACGCCTCACCTCATTAGCTTTTGTTGTCTTTAACATCGTAATCATACCTACTAATGTGTATCATAAAGGGCATTCACCCAGTTATTTTTACAGTGCCCAAACATACTTTATACACAAAATTTCACCACGGCAAAGGGATTCTCATTTATAGTATAAACAATGAAACACGTCTCTCAATTATAACCCCAAACCAACTTTTTATTTTGTGATTATTAAAAAGATAAAATACCTAATTACTCAACATTTCAAAGCTATCGGGTTTTTTTTTCTTTCATTGCTCCACTAGTCATGTTATTTGCTGTGAGCAAAATCAAATTCAATTTCTTCTTCTTTTTAAAATCTCACAGAGAAACAAAGCTTATTTCCTTCTGCTCATCTTTTTCCCTTACAGCTTCAGTAAACTGAAGGAGAAAAAAATCTTGATCATTCTCATCTATTTGATTATCTTTTAATAAGTACAGAGAAGTAAGAAAATAAGACAGTGGAAATAACTATATTTATTCCCAGAGCAAATATTTCATCATCTGTTGTTCTTACACAACAACTATGAGGATGTGCTGAATACAGAACCTCAAACAAAAACATGAGAAACAGCAGTGTGTGATTTAGAAAAAGGTATCTAAACATACTGCACCCTACTTCCCACATATTTTTGTAGATAGCTTTAATGTGTTGTATTAGACCAATACTGACAACAGAAGCTTCAGCTTCTATTGCTGTTAACACCCTGAGCAATTACCGTAACTCAGCAGGAACCTCTGCCCAGAACAGCAACTATCACATTGTAATCAGCATTTCATAAGAGATGCTGTTCAAACAGGAAGGCACCTGTTAATGTGCAAAAACTGTACAAAGGGGGCTCAAGATCTAATAGGTAAAATAAAAATATTTACAATTTTATTTCACAGCTATATATTTTTCATGGTGCACTGATGTTTGGTTTTGTGAAAATCACACACAAAGACAATGGGCAGGAAAAGGGCAGTAGCAGCAGCCACTACCAAAACAAAACTCTTCAGGAATAAGGCTATACCCGTATTTCAGGTGTCAGTGCTGTATCTGTTAAAAAAAAAAAAAAAAACACTTTGGAAGGAAAGATATAATAAGTAGCAAAGACCTCTAAAAATGGTTTTAAAAAATTCATATAGACATAAAAATTGGATAGAAAGCATTTGATTTACAAGATTAAACTGCAAGGCCGCCTTGCAATGCAACCAGGAAAGTTAAAAGTCACCTATCAAGAATAGATCCATCTTATAAGTAAATAGCACATTTGACTTCATCTTAAAACAGTAGGCATGCAATAACTTAAGCAATAACTTTTTAACAAAGAAAAATAATGTGACTTTTTTTTTTTTACTGAATATACTAATTTGGTACTTGGGCCATTAAAAATGATAAAAAACAAAGGAGATGCAGAGAAAGATCTTTTCAAACTACATTTCTTTAGACTGAAATATCACATACAACATAGTCAAAACAAATATTGTCAAATTACAAAGGGTGTTGGAAATAAGAGCATTCACAGATAGTGATACACATCTCTACAAAGCTAAGGAATTAGGAATTCTCTACCCTTAAGAGTACAGACAGTGGTTCACAATCTTCAAAGTACTAGGGTCCCTTGTAAGATCAAAATGTTTCAAAAGACTCCCAAATGATACTACTTCAGTAGTATTTCAAATACCAATTGTTTGAGGAAAATAACAAACAAACAGTGGTTCCTGCCAGGCATGGTAGCTCACGTTTGTAATCCCAGCACTTTGGGAGGCCAAAGCAGGCAAATCACTTGAGGTCAGAAGTTGGAGACGAGCCTGGCCAACATGGTGAAACCCTGTTCTCTGCTAAAAATACAAACCCTGTTCTCTGCTAAAAATACAAAATATAAAAATAACAGCTGGTTGTACTGGCATGCACCTGTAATCCCAGTTACTCGGGAGGCTGAGGCAGGAGAATCACTTGTTTCCGGGAGGCAGAGGCTGCGGTGAGCCAAGACTGCACCACTGCACTCCAGCCTGGGTGACAGAGCAAGACTCTGTCTCAAACAACAACAACAACAACAAATAGTGGTTCTTAACTGTGTATTGCTTTTAAATAAGTGAAATTTTTAAAAATCATAAAAGCATACTGAAAACAGGCTGAAAAATCATTGTCCAGACATGTGAGATCAATTCATTTACATCAAGCTTAGCATGTTTATTTGCAGACCTCTGCCAAATCTCTGCAGACATCCAGGGATCCAAAGCCTAAAATATGAGAACCACTGGCCCTAAAAAAGCGATTTCATAATGAGGAACATCAACACTTATATATTCAGGAAGAATTTTTAACGAGAAAGTACAGCAGCTATGTCCTCAGTTCTGCAACACATGCACTAAAACTGGAAAGAAAGTACAACAGCTTTACCATGCCCAAGCCAGACTTCTTTCAACCGCTACCCCGGGAAACCCCCACAACAATTTCAACATATACTCCACACCTACCGAAATATTGAAGGAAGTGACAGATTTCCACTGGAAACTATTCTCTGACCCATTTATATTATTTCCCCTACTCATCAATTTACTGAATTTACTTTACTTTAGGCTCTTAACAATGGCTAAGAAGAAACAACCTACTTCAGAAATTCAAGGGACTATCTGAAATTGTCAAAACAGTTACTAAAGGGATAAAAACTTCAGAAATATTGTTTACAATATAAGCATTATGAGAGTAAGTGTTACAAAGCTGAAAAGATGGAACTAGTAACCCTCGTTTCAGTGCTACTGCCACGAGACAGTTAGCACTCAAAAGGTGAACTGGTAACCACGTCAACAGCAATGGAGTAACAATAAGAGATAGCCAATGGAACTGGAAAAAGAGAGAATACAGAGCAGAGCGAACAGCACGTTAAAAATGCTTACCAGTTTGAAGTCTTGAATGCTACAGATGAAATACGGTGTGTTTGGCCTCCGACTCGCGATATACACACAGTCTCTAAAAGAAAAAGAAATTTTAAAACAATGGCATTTACCTTTAAGGAACAAAGACAAGGCCCATAAAGCCACTGCATAAATAAGTGACAAAACATATATCTTTTATCGTAAATTTTTTTCCAAAAGATGATATTAAATTGCAAATATCTTTAGGCTAAAGGAAAACAGCCCTTTGGTTCTTTCTGATTATTTTTCTAATAATTTAAAGAATCTGATGAAGCCTAAATTATTTTCTTCAGAGTCCCTGAAGAAGAAGGGAGGATTCCAAGGGATTATCCATATTCAGATGAAGACATTTAGATAAAAGAAACCGCTTGCTCGAGATCACACATCAAGATGAAATATTGAGTATCTTATTCAGATAGATGCTCACATGTCTTCAAAAAAGAGAAACGTGCTACTATATTTGTAATAAATATTTTGTGAGGAAATAAATGAAATACGCAAAGATGACTAGCTTGAATATGCTACTACAATGACCTTTTCAGCTCATCAAAAAGAGAAAGAAAACTAACCTCTTACAGACAATTTGCCATTACATTGTACCCTAAACACATTTTATTTTCTAATTGTAAACAAAACCAATGCCACTAATCAGAGATGGAATAAAGTAAACCAAATTGCATTTTCTTCAGGGAAGAGGGGTGCTTTCTTAAATTACATTTGACATGGCAGTGGTTGGAAAATAATTTTTGATGCTCTCAATGACTGGAGTGTAAAGCATTGCTTTTTTTTTTGGCTGGTCTCCAACTCCTGGGCTCAAGCAATCCTCCCACCTCAGCCACCCAAAGTGTCAGGATTACAGGCATGAGCCACCATGCTTGGCCAAGGTTGCTTTTTAAAATGCCATGTTAAGACACTTTAATAAAAAGCAATGATTTTAAGGAAAGCAGTGGCTATAGAGAGAGTTAACCTCCTCCTACCCCCATATCACAACCTGAGATCATCATAAAGCTTAGGTCAGGAAAGTCTATGTATTATTTACTGAAAAGTAAAGGCACAGTCAATCAAATCTAGTAACGGTGACCATAATGCCTCATTCATTCATTCATTTTGCATAGAAAGGGCCTCACTATGTTGCCCAGGCTAGTCTCAAACTCTTGGGCTCAAGCTATCCCCCTGCCTTGGCCTCCCAAAGTGCTGATCTACCTAATGCTAAATGACGAGTTAATGGGTGCAGCATACCAACATGGCACATGGATACATATGTAACAAACCTGCACAATGTGCACATGTACCCTAAAACTTAAAGTATAATAATAATAGTAAAAAAAAGAGTTAACATATTTTGTTCCTTTCCCATGATTTAGATGTGCGTACACCCTAAACAAGCAATCTGTGGTAACTCTGAGAGATTCCTCAGTTGCTAAGAAATTCTTACTGCCCAATAGCTGAGTCTAAATCAAAGATAAATACAGACAGTACTGTAACCTACACACATCATTTAATCCTTACAGCAGATTTCTAACTGCTCTAAAACCTCCATTCTGATCAATTTATATCACACAAATACCTTCTCAGTTAATCTTCAACCAAGAAATTGTAGTTGTGAATGCAAATTTGTCTGTATTAAGTTCTAGCACTGACTTTTTTTTGTGGCGGGGGAGGGGTGGAGATAGGATTTTGCTCTGCTGCACAGGCTGGAGTGCTATGATGTGAAAGGGCTTACTGCAGGCTTGCCCTCCTGAGCTCTAGGGATTCTTCTACCTCAGCCTCCTGAGTAGCTGGGACTACGGTCTCATCACACTCCCAGCTAATTTTTTACTGTTTTGTAGAGACACAGTCTCACTATGTTACCCAGGTGGGTCTCCACATTGCTCAAGCAATCCTCCCGCTGCCTCAGCCTCTCAAAGTGCTGGGATTACAGTCATGAGCCACTGCGCTCAGCCCCACTGCCATCTTTTGAAATTTAAAAAACTCCTATGTGGGAGAATGAAAATCTGGAACTTGATGTGAAGTTCAGAACAGTAACAGCATTCCTCAGTAAAATGATTGTTCCAGATTACGGACATAACACAGTGAAGTATTTTCATCTCTTTCTCAGAAAAACATAAAAATGTTAATCTGCTAATTACATCTCATACGAAATTCATGTCACTCTTCACAGTAAAAGTAACTTAAACAAAATGATTTCACCTAGGTTTTACTGTCTTCTGTAAGAAAATATCGTGTTTTTTTTTTTTTTTTTTGAGACAGGGTCTTACTCTGTTGCCCAGGCTAGAATGCAGTGGTGCAATCATGGCTCACTACAGCCTCGACCTCCCAGACTCAAGTGATGCTCCTGCCTCAGCCTCCTGAGTGGCTGGGACTTACTCTGTTGCCCAGGCTAGAATGCAGTGGTGCAATCATGGCTCACTACAGCCTCAACCTCCCAGACTCAAGTGATGCTCCTGCCTCAGCCTCCTGAGTAGCTGGGGCTACAGGTGTATGCCACCAGGCCCAGCTAATTTGTAAAAATTTTTTGTAGAGATGAGGTCTCACTATGTTGCCCAGGCTGGTCTTGAACTCCTGGGCTCAAGCAATCCTTCTGTCTCCGCCTCCCAAAGTGCTGGGATTACACTGTGCCCAGCCTAAAAAAGGTGTCTTAATACACACAATACATCAAATGAAAAGGAAAGGCTTTGCTAGTGTTCAACAGGTTTTGACTCACTTGTTTCCCTGATCTCATCTAAAAGTTGAGTCTGTCTTTTTTTGAGCAATGCTATAAGCCACAATATACTGGCATGACCATAATACATTTTTGGAAACACCAAGCAGGTTAGATGACTTCTTCTATTATCGTTGATTAGAGAGCCTGAAGCTCAAATTTTTGGAAAAGGAAGTTAGCAGGAGCAATAAATCTCTGATCTTCAGGCCTTTTTTTTTTTTTTTGAGACAGAGACTCGCTCTGTCGCCCAGGCTGGAGTGCAGTGGCGTGACCTCGGCTCACTGCAACCTCCACCTCCTGGGTTCAAGCAATTCTCCTGTCTCAGCCTCCCGAGTAGCTGGGATTAGAGGTGCACACCACCGAGCCCAGCTAATTTTTGTATTTTTAGTAGAGACAGCATTTCATCATGTTGGTCAGGCTGGTCTCGAACTCCTGACCTCAGGTCATCCACCCGCCTCAGCCCCCCAAAGTGCTAGAATTGCAGGCGTGAGCCACCATGCCTGGCCTAAAGGCCATTTTTAAAAAGTACCTCTCTAGAGTCTGGTCGATCCTGTCCCAAGGTAAAATTTCCTGTTTCTAAGAATCTTAAGGTTTACTTGTCTCCACCAAACAGTCAATTCTGCAGGGTCACCACAGTCTCATTTATGATTGAAGCTAAACAATGTTAAAATGAGCAGACTTATCTATAAACCTTAGTGCCTTTGTCCAGTTACCTTCTTATGAAATATTTCTGACAGAAATATGATATCTGTCATTAATTTTAATATTTTAAAATCATTATGAACAATCAATATCTTTGGTTATTTTTCTTTTCTTTGTTTCTGAATTGCCAATTAATAGCCTTTGTTCAGTAGGGTAATCATCTTTTTCTTATTGTAGTAGGGGAACCTCCTATAGAGTAGGGCTTTTAAAACTAATATAGGCAGCAAATATTTTTTCCCACTTCACTTTCTGTCTCTGTTTATAGTGTCTTTTACTTAGAGATTTTAAATTTTATATAATTAAATTTGATGATTTTTATCTTTATGGTATTGTCAGAGACATTTGAACCAGAGAAACTTCATCTTGAATAGGGGCTGGGTAAAATGAGGCTGAGACCTACTGGGCTGCATTCCCAGACGATTAAGGCATTTTAAGTCACTGAATGAGATAGGAGGTTGGCACAAGATACAGGTCATAAAGACCTTGCTGATAAAGCAGGTTGCAGTGAAGAAGCTGGCTAAAACCCACAAAACCAAGATGGCCGTGAGAGTGTCCTCTGCTCATCCTCACTGCTACACTCCCACCAACACCATAACAGTTTACAAACGCCATGGCAAAGTCAGGAAGTTACAACATATGGTCTAAAAAGGGCAGGCATGAATAATCCACCTCTTGTTTAGCATATAAACAAGAAATAACCAAAAAAAATGGGCAACCAGCTTCTTTGTCTATGGAGTAGCTATTCTTTTATTCCTTTACTTTCTTAATAAACTTGCTTTCACTTTATGGACTCTCCCTGAACTCTTTATTGCATGAGATCCAAGAACCCTCTCTTGGGGTCTGAATCAGGACCCCTTTCTACTAACGGTATCACACTTGGAAAGGCTTTTCCTATATAAAGATTACAAAATATTCTCTTCTGCTAACTTTTATGGTAAAACACTTTTCTCTTACAAATTGTAATCCAACTGAAATCCATTTGTTTTTGGTATGGCTGAAGGGAAGGATATAATTGCTCAAACAGATAATCAACTGTCCTAATGATCACTTATTGAATAATTATTTCCTCACTGAGATGAAGTCACCTTATACATGTGATTTTTTGGAGGGGCTATGGATTGTGTTCCATAGGCCTCTTTGTTTATTCTTGAGCTAGTGCTTCACTCTTTTAATTGGTACAGTTTCACAGCATATTTTGAAGTCTGTGGGAAAAAGTTTCCTTTCACAAATGGCTATTATAATACAAGAGAGTTCACAAAAGATTATGGCAAAATACCACTCTCCAACAATTTTGCAAAACTAAGTAATTTTCTGCTAGGTTAGAAGTAAATGATTTGTCCTCAGCTGCTGCCTGGTGAGAGGGCAAGCAGAGGAAGAACATATGTAAAATTTAGAATATATTAATAAGGCAGAACCAGCTCAATACTAAACAAATTATAAGGAAACTCATTTGGCCTATAGTCCCATAACTATGTCTTCTCCCAATCTCTTAATTTCTTAATTTCATCAGAGTAACAGTAGAAAATCTCTTAATTTCATCAGAGTAACAGTAGAAAAAGAAAGATTCCAACTTTTGGCTCTATAGTCTATTATTTTTTATTTAGTTTCTTCTTTCAGAAGATCAGTTTTGTACCCTTAGATACGAGGTGAAAAACTGCAGAGGGTCATTCCCCCAATTTTGATGTCCTTCTTTAATTTTTCAGCAATTGCAAAACAGGTCTTTAGTTTGTTCATTCAACAAACTACTAAGGAGCATCATCTAGGTATAAGGTATTTTGTTGGATCCACTATTAAATAACAGTATCTAACCTCAATCTGAACCATCAGATTAGATTAATTGCTCTTCTCTGTGCTCAGAATACCTGTCTGTACTTCTGATGGGCACTTATTATGTTCTGCTGAAATGATCTGTCTCTCTAGTGGCTTGTTAGCTAATTGAAGGTAAGGATACTGTCTTATTCATGTTGTTTCCCTAATACCGAGCATGGTGCCTGGTACACTGGTGCTTTAAAAAAATTAATCTAGTGGAAGTCTACAAGGTGAACTGGAAAGAGGAGAATCTGGAAACAGGAAGGTAAATTGAAAAGCTTGTTCCACTGTTTTGGGCAGGAGGTAATAAAAGTCTGAATTATTGTGGTGGCAGTGGAAATGAAAATGACGGAAAGGATGTGAGAAACATTACTGAATTATTATATAAAGCTAAGTTTAATTAGACATGCATTCACTTACAAGTATTAAGCATGCATATATAACAGGGAGAGTTCTTACTTAGAAAGTCTTTCATGCTAGAGAAAGGAGACAAAAACAAAAACAAAAAAAGAAAAAAGAAAAGAAAACAGCATTAGCAAGAGACTGATTTGTATTATTTCCATCTATAAATGCACTTTTGAAATCAGATGGCTGAACTTCACAGCTGGAGGTGGGGGTGCCATTTAAGAAAAGCAATCAAATTGACTACACAAAGGTGACTTAGCCCTAGTTCACACTTCTTTGTATGCCATGACTCACTAGATTTGAGGCATTAGGGATAGCATCTTTTTAAACTAGAAGTTAGCAAAATGTAAAATGATCAAAAACTGCCCCCAACTCCCCGCCCAACTAACTAGCCAAGCTTGTGTTCTAGGAGTGACTATCACAGACTTTCTATGTGACATTTGGCCTCTCTGGATCTCAACATTCATTCTATTAATTTCCTTCGTTCACAAACTCCCAACCTTGCCCTGAGTGAATGCTGCAACTACAAATATTAAAACTCAGGAGACTTCCTCAGTTTCTCCTAGGTTGCTAGTGAAAGTAGAAGAGTAAGGGAGATGGGAGAAAGTCCCATCCTAGTCCCTAGGATGCTGGTTAAAAAAAAAAAAAGTAGGTACTCTGAGGTCTCAAAAGGAGTTTTATAGATACAACCAGTAAGCTTGGTCATTGTAAACAAATCAAACAACAAAAAGTGCTTATGTCTGTGTTTGACATTTACTTTTTACTGTAGATGACCTTTACCCTCCTATCCCTTCTTTTTTTTTTTTTTTTAAGAACTCTGGCAAATAAAAATTCAATTGATTTAAATGTACTTAATTATTTCCCTTTCTGAAGGGTTAAAGAACCACAAAATCTTCAAGACAGACAAGAGGAGGAAGAGAACCAAAGGTCCAATAATCTACAAAATGGATAATGAATCCTTGAACTTCTGAGAAGTCACTCAATGACACTGCTTTGCACTAAACAGTCCCTGGAAGCCACTGGTTTGTCAAACAACATAGCAGGACAACCCAACACACCACACCCTACAGCTGTCCAGGAGAGGTATACAGTGACAGCACATATGACTAAAGAGGACTGAAAAGAGTCACCTTGATAAACATGACATTTCCTCATGGAATCTCTCTTTAAATCAAGGGTTATACTCATCAGAATAATCCTGCACACTTTTGCAAAATGTACATGTCCTAACCTCAGTACTGGAGATTCTGTTTCAGTAGGTCTAGAATGCAGCTTTCCTATATGTATTTTTAAAAAGTAACCCAGGTGATTCTGCTGTACAGCCCTGGTTAAATACCGCTGGACTAAATGAAGGTTTTTTGAACATGGAGACATGCCCCCATTTGAGGTGGGGGAATCATTAGGACTCATTAAGAAAAGTATATGGTATATTCTCATACATTGAGGTGAGAATCCTGAAAGTTGGAAATCTAAAATTCAGGACAATTCCAGGCATTTTTCCTGTCCCACATTTATATATCTAATCTCCAGTGGCACTTACATGTATACCCCACACTTTCATTGCCTACTTTCTCAACTTACCTGAAGTTTTTTTTTCTTGATATCTTTTTTTTCAAAAAAGAAACTAAATTTTAATCACCTCTCAAGAACTAACACATATACAGGGCTGGGTGCAGTGGCTCACACCTGTAATACCAGCACTCTGGAGGCAGGAGGATCACTTGAGCCCAGGAGTTCAAGACCAGTCTGGGCAACATGGCGGGACCCCATCTCTACAAAATAATTTTTAAGAAGTTAGCTGGGCATAGTGGTGTGCACCTGTGATCCATGCTACATGGAAAGCCAAGGCAGGAGGATCACTTGAACATGAGAGGTCGAGGCTGCAGTGAGCTGTGTTCATGCCACTGCACTTGAGCCTGGGTGACAGAGTGACGCCTTGTCTCAAAACAAAACAAACAAAAAAAAGTATGCAAGTGAAGCTGAGATCCTGGGCTATGGGTTATGTCACTCATTAGCTTTGTGAGAAGACCTAGCATCTGGGTGGATTAAAATTCATGGTCCAGGAAAACTATTTATTGTGACATGTCAAATACTTGTGAATAATTCAGCCTGAACTCCATACCAGCAAATGCAAAACATCTGTTGTATTTAAGAGCCCACTGTGTGCAGAGCCCTGTAGAGGAGGCACTGAGGAAGAAGCAGAATAAGTTGCACGACAGAACCAGGAGAGCACTGTGAACATAATTAACAAGTTCGCCTGAAGCAATGTAGGGAAAACATGAGAATATGTGCTATGGAGATAACAGTGGTAACCCATTGGCTTCAGCTAAGAAAACCTCCTAAAAGATAGGAGTTTTGGGAAGATCATATTAGAGAAACACATACAAACACATATTTTTTTCCTGATAACAAAGATCCAGAAGAGATACATACATTCTTTTAAAAAACATATTGTTATGGAGGGAACATTTCCCTAAAATTCCATCTTATTCCTAATTATATTTTTAGTACCTACAGGGCCAGAACACAATAGGTGTTCAATAAACACTAACTGAACTGAATTGTTAATGCTCTGAGAAGTGTGATGGCCTTGGCTAGACCTGATTTCTAATTTCTGCTCTGACATCTAGCAATGTGACCTTGGCAAGTTACCACTTATTCTAACAGTAAGAATTAACTGTGATAACTACAAGGAAGTGAACTCTTAAAATGTCAGCTTCCCCGCCACCATTCCTCTGCTTTCATTTTTTAAATTGTAAGAATATTTTATTAGGTCAGGTGCAGTGGTTCACGCCTGTAATACCAGCAGTTTGGGAGGCTGAGGCAGGTGGATCACTTGAGGTCAGGAGTTCGAGACCAGCCTGGCCAACATGGCAAAACCCCATCTCCACTAAAACTACAAAAATTAGCTGGGTGTGGTGGCACAAGCTTGTACTCCCAGCTACTTGGGAAGCTTAGGCAGGAGAATTGCTTAAGCCCAGGAGGTAGAGGTTGCAGTGAGCTGAGATAGCGTCACTGCACTGCAGCCTGGGAGACAGAGTGAGACACTGTCAAAAAATAAAAAAAAAGAATATTATATTGGCTACTGATGCTGGTTAGAGTACCAACTTAAAACTTCATACCTTTGGTTCAGGGAATTGAGTTCACATGTAACCAAATGAAACAATAATTTAGAAGACCATTTATTTTCTCTCAGTGCTTCTGACTAGAACAGCCTTCAAACTATACCCTTCATATGGGGGTAGCATTGTTGACACTCTTTCCAAAGATGTACTTTCCACATCGTCTTAGGTATGGAAAAATGACCTGTTTACAATCAAACTGGTCCCTTGGGCCTTTTCTTCCTCCTATTGAACTAGGAGCTCATTTCTCCATGGTGTGCAGACTGAGGCCTAACTTTCTGACAATTAAATCATGCTTTTTTGCTGACTTTTTCTTGAAATGTGAAACCTCACTTGAATTTTTTTTTTTTTTAGTTTCTTCTTTTAAATATCCTATTTGTTGGGTAAGATTTTACTATATCTTTAGTTTTAAATTCTGCTGTGTAGACTCTGGCAGCTGCCTCTATGGTGACAAAACAAGCTTTTTTTTTTTTTTTTTTTCATTAAAACAGGGAGATTAGGATTTTACCAGGCATCAATCTTAGCCATTATCTATAAATCAAAGCATGCTAATAATTTCCATTGCTTTACTTTTTAAATGACATTAACCCTTTTCATTTAGAATGTTCTGGAAGCACAATTAAGCCAAGAAAGTTTTCAGATATATGGCTGTATAGTATGGCTGTGTGAACTGTATGACCTTCACTGAGGAGGTTGACATAAAATACAAACACTTAAAAATTGAAACACACAAAAAATAGGTTAGCACTATCAAGCAGCAATCAGAAAAAGCCCCCAGGGTTCCTGGATATGAAAAGGCAGATTCCACAGGATTTTCAAGAGGCCTAGATTAATTTTTCCACAAATGAGAGCACGTGGAGGAAGGTAATGATAATGGTGCTCACACTTGTGATTCCCATACCAGTTTTTGTCCCTATAGGCTTACTGTAGGAGGTGTTCCCTACAGCCACCTAGGAAGTTGATGACCTACACTCTTACTTCTGCTTGCCAGGAGTAACTGAAAGCAAACACCACAGTCTGTTGTTTATTAGCTTTTAAAGGCTTGTTAACATTCCTTGTTAACAATTTCTTTTTGGGTAACCTTTTATAAAATGTGTAAGTAATGAGTGATCCAGCAGACAAGGCAGTAGACAATTTACCTAGATGCAGATATTAGAGAAAACAGAGCTTGCAAGTTAATCCTTGATCTTTCCTTGCTATCTCTAATTCCCTCCAGCTTTTACCTGACTTTTGGAGCTATGTGGAATCCTTTATTTTTTATTTTTTTAAAATATTATTGCCGTCAGGGGCTAGCCTTAGCAATGTCCTGGGAAAGTCAACCCTACCAATTAGAGGAGAGTAGATAAATCTCCTAAAACCTCAGAGATTAGTGAGCTTTGGATGCAGTAGGGATAACACAGTTAACTTAATACAAACAATATTATTTCAAAAAAGGAAGAAAACTGGACTTCTAAGGGTGAATTATTCTCACTGTAATAGAAATGGTTTCCTTTCAGGTTTTTAGCCTAAAAAGAGTAAGGCAAGATAGCTTAAAAGTATATAGGGTTTAATGTTTAATTCCCCTAATTCTGATAAAATGGCTTAGGTTTTTAGATCATACTTCCTAACTAATTTTCATTGGTGGAATACCTCTAGAAACTATTGTTTTGCTTGGCTTCTTGATACCCTAGATAATCCGGGGTTTGATGAAAAAAACACTAGTTGGATTTAGGGAGAGAGAAGATGGGGTTTCTTGGGTAAAGAAGCAGAGTGGCTGGATTGACTCAGAAGACTTAACTTGAATTTTTCCTCTTCATCCTCCTGTCATTCAAACTAATTACAGATCACATCAACTGTTAGACTAACTCGACTTCATTCAAGAAAGCTGACTGCCAACCCTGCAGGGTGACTACTAAGTAAATCTAGAGGAGATAAGACAGAGTGGGAGTTTGCCTAAGTAATCTCAGGGGAACAGTAAGCCAGGAAGTGACATCAGAAGAGGTAAGCAGAACACAGAGTAGGGAAATGAACACTGAAGCTTCTCCCAGAGAAGAGGATTCTAAGAGGTCAGCTGAGTGGGCAGGAAATAAGGCGAAGTCCTAGAACATAAGGCTTAGGGACTTCAGCCGAATCGATGATCCTTTAGAGGCTAGGAATGTGGACTCATCTTATCTATGCTCTGGCAATGGTCCCATCCTTCCATCCTCCTCCTCTGTATACTCCCTCTCTCTTCTCAAAAACACAAGTTAGTCTACTCTGTAAGTAGAGTCTGAATAGCTTATCTGCACATGATGATATCATATATTTTAGAAAAGGCATGAATCTTTTCTCCAATTGGTAGGTTAATTCACAAATCTATTATGCTGTATGCTCTAATCTGGAAGTCTTAGAACTTCTCTAAGTGTTTTTGTCAAAGACTGTTTTGCTCTACCTTCTATTGAAGACAAATGATGGCCACTAAAATGAGACTCTCTAGTGTGTCTGAACTAGATAGAAACTGTTCAAAGAAGGAATTACTTTCACAGCTTTTATGGCCCAACTGGGGACAACAGATAATGTGAATGAGACTCTAGAGAAGAAGAGACTAAAAGCTGCTCAGAAACCAATATGAATACAGAGAGTAGAGGTAAAAAGAATGATTAGCTGGATAGACCATAGTTTTAAAAATGTCCCAAAATAAGAAGCAGACTTCTTTCTTTCATACCTCTTGAAATTCTCCCATAATAATCTCATTGCTTGGGCCTGTTTCTCATAAAAGAACAGAATGAAGATCACCATTAATTCAGATGGCAATCCTAGAAAGGGACAGAAATCAGACTGGTTTTGATTTGTGAAATGTGTAGGGCCCTCAAAACACCAGAGACTGGCTTAGAAAAATCCCCACAAAAGCTTTCAACTTGAAAGTTATCAGGAGTTCAGGAAGGCACATAATTAAAAGCAAACTCCTTCTACCAAGTTTAAAATAAAACTGTGGCTCAGGAAAGCTGGGCCCAAGGGAAAGGAATGAGACCAAGTCACATGTCTGCTACCAAGGCTGAAACTGGTTTAACTCATTTTCCTTTTGGAGTTATGGCTTGACCCCACAGTGATGGGAAAAAACTTCTATTTACATTTTCTCCCGAAGAGGGAATAAGCAGAAGGAACATTTTATATTATGTTCTTGTGTACTAGCTGAGCCAGAGGAAAAAATTTGAGCTATTCTGGGGTGGTCTACAGAGAACCATCTTCTTTCCCTTCAGTGTTCTCAGAATATTGACTGTTGATGAACAAGCCAATGATGTGAGTGTGGCTGCAGCAAGGACCCTTCAAATTTTCAGAGGTACTGCAAACCTAATCATGGTCTGAGTTAATTGCGAAATAGTATAATTTTGTAACTTTTGAGTTTAAGAATCATTCTGGTTTCATATGTAAGTCCAAGAGAGACAAAAGTTTTCCATCCTTCTATCTTAAGGAAAAAGATTTCTTCATAATTCAAACAGACAAGATTCTTAGGAAACTTGAAATAAGGAGAATCTACCAGTCTCTAACTTTGAAGTGAAGCCTTCATTGTTCTAGTAATTTATCTGGGGATCCTGCATAATCTAGAAATAAATGTGAGGGTGGAACAAGAACTTCCAAGGTTTATGCAAAGATGTGACAGTAGAGGGCAATGATAATGAGGCCTATGCTGTTTTTTATATCAAAAAAATTAATATCATCAAATTTTCAATTTCATTAGTTTTCTATTGCTGCCAAAACAAAATTTAGTGGCTTAAAAACCCATTTATTATCACACAGTTTTGTAGGTCAGAAGTCTGCACAGTTCTGCTGGGTTCCCTCCTCAAGTACTCAATGGTCTGAAATCAAGGAGTCTGCTATTGGCTTTTATCAGGAGCATCTGGGGAAGAATCTGCTTCAAGCTCATCCAGGTTGTTGGCAGGAATCCAGCCCTGTGAGGTTTCAGGTACCCACAGCCTTGCAGGGTAGTGGCTGCTTACTGCTTGCAGAAGCTCCTACATTCCTTTTCACATGGCCCTTCTGATTTTCAAACCAGCAATGAAGCATTGAGTTCTTTTCGCACTTCACATTTCTCTGGCTTCCTGTCCATCATCTGCTGAGAAGGCTCTCTGCCTTCACAGGCTTATGTGATTAGCTCAGGCCCACCCAGGAAAACCTCCCTAACTTAGGTCAACTGTGGTATGTAACAGAACAATCATGCGAGAGCTATCTTGTCATATACATGGGTTCTAGAGATTAGGCGAGGACCTTTTGGGGAGGCATTTTAGAAATTCCAACTATCACAAGGATCTCCCTTATAAAAAATGGTCTAATTTATCTGTAACATCCTAAAAGAAACATCCATAGCACATGGCCTCTCAGCTGCACTAGGTGATTACATACATTCAGAATCAGGGCAATACCAAAAGTGCTGTCTTATGCAGGGAAAAAAACAGGCGTCCATGTGACCTGGTATACATATGTGTAAGAGAGTATACTTCCAAGGAAAAATTAACTTTTAAAAGCAAGTATTAAATCACATATGTCTTCATCATATTATATGTCTTGATTTGTCTTTACCGACTACTTAATACATATAGAACAAAAAGTTAAACATAGTCAAATACAGTATTTACATTCAGTTCATATTATAAATATTTCTGAAAAATCTCATATGCCAGATTGTGACTACCCTATCAATTTAAGGCATGTAAAATGTTAAGGCATGTAAAAATGGTATCATGTAACATCATCTCATATATTGCAGCATATGTCACTATATTTTAAAAGAAAAACCATTAAGTTCATTAAATGATAGAAATAGACTCATCTTTTGTTGTCTCTATTGTGCTACCTAATATTATTAGAATTTTAAAGCTCTTAGCATCTATGCAGACCTGCACCTCCCTTTTGTGAATATTCCCAGCTTCTGAAGAATTTCTGGATCTTTTGGAAACTCACAAAATGCACTCATTGTAGAAGGAAATATATGGATATATTAAGGCCTCCATAAGATACCTAAGGCAAGCCATTTTATATGTATAATTGAAAACTCTTGTGATTCATAAATGCATTTGCAGCCTCCGGCATATTTTCCCTCTAGCCTTTCACATGCTGTGTACTATATAGGATGAAAATGACCAACAGGGGAATGAGGAGCTCTAAAACTTGTGTGGCTCTAGCACATGGGTCACGTTTCTCACATTTAATATCTATGTTTACTTTCCCCATAGCTTGGAGTTTTAGGTTCACACAGATGTGTATGGGCATCTGAAACTATGAAATACATTCAGATGATTTAAAAAAAACACAGCCTCAGTGAACACCTGAGAAAAGAAGCCTGATCAGTCCCTCCAAAATATTGTTAGAATACAGCATAGAGTATATCGTAAATTTTAAAAGTCCTTATTTAGGCCTTAAATCCTACTGTTTGAGTTTCACTCCATTTCTCTAATTGAGATTCCAGGTCTCTCCCCACTAGCCTGTCATGATGTTACTGACCACCATTATACTTCTTTAGGAAGTAAGCTTTCCTTGAAGCCTGGGAAGAGATGGGTATTTTCATATGGTAAATGTCACAGTCCAGCAGCCTGTTTGGGTAGCAGTAACTTTAATTTTATTTGGACTAGGCTGTGAATCAAAACTTTTACAAAGGAATTAGTGAGGCTCTCCAGACCTCACATTTCATGAGGAGATAAATATTAATACTTGGGACCTAAGTAACATAGGGTAGAACTTTTTATTTCTGAGTAGATTCCACAGGCTTTTTCTCTTTTGATTCCCACAAAAACCAAAATATTAACTCATATATTTTGGAGTGACCGATATACTAGCAAATTGCAATAAACAGGAATCTGAATTGACTTGGGAAGACCTATGGTTAGCCTTCATGTTAGAAATAAGATTCTCAAGTGTGTGTGGCCTCTGACTCCTTTCCAGACGGCTAAATGGGATAGGAGCGGAGAGATCAAATCTCAAGCAGCAGCATTCATTCCCTGCATTTACATTAAGCACCTGTATGTGCCCAGCCTTGTGAGTAGTACTTACAGGAATAAAATCGACAATTACAGAATCTAAGACATGGCTCTCTGATCTCAAAGAGCTCTTCTTTGAGGAGGTAAAATATGCACACTCATAAAACAAATAGAATGTAATTCAAGAAAGTTGGCTGGGCGTGGTGGCTCATGCCTGTAATCCCAGCACTGGGAGGCTGAGGCGGGTGGATCATGAGGTCAGGAGATTGAGACCACCCTGGCTAACACAGTGAAACCCCGTCTCTACTAAAAATACAAAAATTAGCCGAGTGTGGTGGTGGGCACCTGTAGTCCCAGCTACTCGGGAGGCTGAGGCAGGAGAATGGCATGAATCTGGAAGGCAGAGCTTGCAGTGAGCAGAGATCATGCCACTGCACTCCAGCCTGGGCAACAGAGCAAGACTCCGTCTCAAAAAAAAAAAAAAAAAAGCAATTGATTAAATGCAATCAAATGTTAGACCATCTAGTACATACAGTAAATAAAAAGGGGTAGTTAGGAAAGGGAGAGACCAATACTGACTAGATATTCTGGGCAAGGCGATAATGGAAGGAACAAACTTAGTGGATACATCAGCTTGAAGTCTGAAACTGGATGGTCATGAAAAATGACACTATTATGTGTGACTTGTAAGTGATCTTACATAAGTTGGGGCCTTGAAAGGGCCACAGTCATCCCAAAGTGCTACTCTGCCTTGAAAGATGAAATTTAGAAGGATAAAGAACTGAAGCTTTCTTTGATTCTTCCACTTTCGTACCCCTAGTAGGGAACTTGAGTCTTCAAATGCACAAGTTTCTTATTTAGGGGGCTAAACCACCTCCCAGAGCAGAATAGGTATTTTAAAATGTAGACTTTTGGGACAGGGGATGCTTTTGTAGTTTATTTTCTTGGTTTTGGCAGGGAAGGGTCTCCTCAGATGAGAAAAATCTCAGTAATTCAGGCCCTGCTAATTCAGAACTTGTTACAATTTAACAGGTCCTGAGTTTTATCATAGACACTTGTAAATACTAAAATTTTATATATATATATATATATATATATATATATATAGAGAGAGAGAGAGAGAGAGAGAGAGAGAGAGTCTTGCGTTGTCAGAGTGTACTGGCATGATCATCGCTCACTGCTACCTCTATTTCCTGGGCTCAAAGTGATCCTTCTGCCTCAGCCTTCTGAGTATCTGGGACTACATGCATGCACCACCACACCTATTTTAAAATGATGTAAAATTCTGACTTTGGCTGGGCACAGTGGCTCACACCTGTAAGCGCAGCACCTTGGGACGCTGAGGCAGGAGGATCACTTGAGGTTGGGAGTTTGAGACCAGCTTGGTCAACAAGTTAGTGAGGCCCCAGCACACCTATAGTCCCAGCTATTAGGGAGGCTGAGGCAAGAGAATTGCTTGAGGCCAGGAGTTTGAGACTGCAGTGAGCCATGATGGTGCTACTGTACTCCAGCCTGGGTGACAGAGCGAGATCCTGTCTCAAAAAAAAAAAAAATTCTGACTTTTTACTAATCTAGGTTTGTTTGTTCCTGTTATTCTGTTACATTTTTCCTTAAGATAGCTTTTGTTGTCATCATCTCTCTTTCCAAGTCAGATTCAGTAGTCAGGGATACTGGTAATAATCTAGGAGCTATTTAAAGAAGAGACAGTAGTTTCACTAGAACAGTTACATGCCTTACTGGTTAAGGCTGAGGCTCTTGATCCAGATAGCTGGCTCCAGCATTTACTAAGTTATGTGATCTTACATGATTACTTAACTTCTCTGTTCAGTGTCCTTGTCATTAAAATGAGATAGTTAACTTGGTGTTTATGGTTATCAAACGTATTAAATGAGACAATAAATGTAAGTGCTTGGTACAGCACTGACAAAGAGTAAATGTTCAATAAATTTTAGCTATTGATATTACTACAGTCCTCCATACTTTTTTTTATTCTCTCTCGTCCCTCTTTGGTCTTTTGGTTCTCCCAATGTTTGTTGGCTGCAAGAGGAATAAGCTCAAATAAATTCCTCAGCACTCAAGTAAAGGGTTTTGATTATTTGTAGATTTTGATTAACCAGGCTAATTCCTACTTCCCTTTCTAATCTACACACATTTAAGGTCATTATTTTACTGTCTGGATGGATATATGTACTTTCAGACAACCAACTATGTAAAGTTGATTTTGGAAATCAATGCAAAACATTTTTTAAAATGCTATAATATACTCTCATCTATTTTATAACTTTATTTAAATCTAGAATATTTAACTTTTCATACAACTTTTAAAATAGCCACTTGCAATTTTATGTACAACTCCTATATGAAAATGTTGCTTTCATAATGAACTATGAGAGGTTAAAGTCCAGACACACTTTCAGTATCTTTATCTAATCATGTCACTGGTAGAACTCTTTCCATGCTGTGTAACCAAAGAAGGCTGTTGGATTTTGGAACTGTTATGAGAACTAACATTCCAGTTGTGGATAACCGTCACTCACTGCATGATAACCAGGTCAAGAATGGAATAAAAAGGAGGCTTAAAAGAAATAAAAAGCTGATGAAAGCCAACTCTGATTGTTTCCCTTTGGTCTTCTTATAGTAATAAATTGCCAGCTCACCCAAATATTAACAGATTAAGAAAAGAAATTAAAAACCAATGCTGAATAGTCTGGGAACTTTTCCAAACTTTAAAAAATAATCCCTTGTCACACAACTGGTTAGGTACTGAAGACAAAACTAGAATGCAACACAAAACTCATAACCAATTGACCCTTAACTAAATTTCTGAATCCTTTGAGAACTGAAACTCATCACCGTAACATAAGTTTGACCACAATACCTCTGAACAAAGAAACCAGATACAAGACCTGCTGTCTTCCTGCATGTGATTCCACTGGTGATGGAATAGGAAAGCACCATTAGAAAAAGAAACATATCTCTTATCTGCTTGTGGTTACTCCTCTTGAGGTTTACTCTCAGCCCCTCCTTATGTTACATCTACTCCTTAGATAAGCTCACCACTCTTATGGCTTCAACAATAAATATCAGTATTTTTAGCCCATAATTTTCTCCCAAGTGTCAGACCAATTACTTTCTGGAAATCACTATCTGAATGTCCCAAAGTACCTCTAATTCGACATTCCAAAAGTGAAACCATTTCCCCACTTGACAGCGTTTAGCCTCCTGTGTTTGCCAACTCAATTTTGTCACACTATTTTTTTTTCTTTTTGAGACGGTCTCATTCTGTTGCCCAGGCTGGAGTGCAGTGGTACAATCATGGCTCACTGAAACCTCGACCTCCTGAGCTCAAGCTATTCTCCCACTTCAGCCTCCCAAGTAGCTAAGAGTATAGGCATGTGCCACAATACCTGGCTAGTTTAACAATTTTTTGAAGAAACAGTTCTTACTCCATTGACCAGACTGGTCTCAAACTCCTGGACTCAAGCAATCCTCCCATCTCTGCCTCCCAAAATGCTGGAATTACAGGTGTGAGCCCTGCACCTGATACTTATCATACCATTTTCTACCCAGTCACCTAAACCAGAGACCTGGTAGTCACTCCTGACTCTGCCCTCTCTCAGGCTCATCCTTATCCCCATTCTATCAATCCATATCTTATCAATTCTACCTTCTAAACAACTGAATGCTTCTCTATACTTCCCAGAAAAAATATCTCTGACTAGGCCCTTAACATTTCTTACCCGGAATACTGCAGTCAAAGGCCAGTGACCTGATCATGTCCTGACCCTCCTCCCAGTCCAGCTTCCACAGCTGTCAAAGTTATTTCTCTAATATGCAATTCTGAGCACAGCAACTTTACTTCAAATCTTCATTCCTTTATTCTTTATCCACAGGATAACTCCCCAAATGCTCAAAATTATATACAAAGCCTCACATGACCTGGGTTTGCTAAGCCTCCTGCCTCATTTCTTATTACATTTCTAAATATATCTTTTGTTCTAGCCACACCGACATGCAGCTCTCAGAATAATGCCATTATGTTCTCATATTCTTTTTCTACCTTTGTAATGTACTGTTTTCTTCTTTGTCCATCTACCTTCTATTGTTCTCCAAACTTCAGGCTAATGTATTAACCACATGACTGATCTAAAACACCCTGAACTTATGTCTTTATTAGAAAATTCACCTCCCTGGTATTCTAATTCTTGATTTTCTTTATCTCCCCAATTAGACTGCCAATTCTTTGAGGGCAGGAACTGTATCTTTCATTTATGAATTCTGGTGTCCAATATAAAGCCTACTACAAAGCAGATGCTCATAAAATGTTGTGGGAGGATTCACAATAGGGCAGGTGGCTTTGATACACATTTATCATGGAACTAAAAATTAGAGTAGAAGGGCAGGACACCGCTTGCAGGAAAGGGAGCTGATGTCTTCGAAGCTCCCAGTCTCTCTGGTCAACAAACCAAGACTTCAGATGCCATCTCCCCCAGCTCTATGTAGGACATGAGTTAACTAGGCCAGTCTCTACTAAGAATTCATGTAATGGTGCTAAAAACTCTCAATAAATTAGGTATTGATGGGACGTATTTCAAAATAATAGAACTATCTATGACAAACCCACAGCCAATATCATACTAAATGGGCAAAAACTGGAAGCATTCCCTTTGAAAACTGGCACAAGACAGGGATGCCCTCTCTCACCACTCCTATTCAACATAGTGTTGGAAGTTCTGGCCAGGGCAATTAGGCAGGAGAAGGAAATAAAGGGCATTCAGTTAAGAAAAGAGTAAGTCAAATTGTCCCTGTTTGCAGATGACATGATTGTATATCTAGAAAACCCCATTGTCTCAGCCCAAAATCTCCTTAAGCTGATAAGCAACTTCAGCAAAATCTCAGGATACAAAATCAATGTACAAAAATCACAAGCATTCTTATACACCAACAACAGACAAACAGAGAGCCAAATCATGAGTGAACTCCCATTCACAACTGCTTCAAAGAGAATAAAATACCTAGGAATCCAACTTACAAGGGATGTGAAGGACCTCTTCAAGGAGAACTACAAATCACTGCTCAAGGAAATAAAAGAGGATACAAACAAATGGAAGAACATTCCATGCTCATGGGTAGGAAAAATCAATATCGTGAAAATGGCCATACTGCCCAAGGTAATTTACAGATTCAGTGCCATCCCCATCAAGCTACCAATGACTTTCTTCACAGAATTGGAAAAAACTACTTTAAAGTTCATATGGAACCAAAAAAGAGCCCACACTGCCAAGTCAATCCTAAGTCAAAAGAACAAAGCTGGAGGCATCACACTACCTGACTTCAAACTATACTACAAGGCTACAGTAACCAAAACAGCATGGTACTGGTACCAAAACAGAGATATAGATCAATGGAACAGAACAGAGCCCTCAGAAATAACGCTGCTTATCTACAACTATCTGATCTTTGACAAACCTGAGAAAAACAAGCAATGGGGAAAGGATTCCCTATTTAATAAATGGTGCTGGGAAAACTGGCTAGCCATATGTAGGAAGCTGAAACTGGATCCCTTCCTTATACCTTATACAAAAATCAATTCAAGATGGATTAAAGACTTAAATGTTAGACCTAAAACCATAAAAACCCTAGAAGAAAACCTAGGCATTACCATTCAGGACATAGGCATGGGCAAGGACTTCTTGTCTAAAACACCAAAAGCAATGGCAACAAAAGACAAAATTGACAAATGGGATCTGATTAAACTAAAGAGCTTCTGCACAGCCAAAGAAACTACCATCAGAGTGAACAGGCAACCTACAAAATGGGAAAAAATTTTCGCAACCTACTCATGTGAAAAAGGGCTAATATCCAGAATCTACAATGAACTCAAATAAATTTACGAGAAAAAAACAAACAACCCCATCAAAAAGTGGGCAAAGGACATGAACAGACACTTCTCAAAAGAAGACATTTATGCAGCCAAAAAACACATGAAAAAATGCTCATCATCACTGGCCATCAGGGAAATGCAAATCAAAACCACAATGAGATACCATCTCACACCAGTTAGAATGGCAATCATTAAAAAGTCAGGAAACAACAGGTGCTGGAGAGGATGTGGAGAAATAGGAACACTTTTACACTGTTGGTGGGACTGTAAACTAGTTTAACCATTGTGGAAGTCGGTGTGGCGATTCCTCAGGGATCTAGAACTAGAAATACCATTTGACCCAGCCATCCCATTACTGGGTATATACCCAAAGGGCTATAAATCATGCTGCTATAAAGACACATGCACACGTATGTTTATTGCGGCATTATTCACAATAGCAAAGACTTGGAACCAACCCAAATGTCCAACAATGATAGACTGGATTAAGAAAATGTGGCACATATACACCATGGAATACTATGCAGCCATAAAAAATGATGAGTTCATGTCCTTTGTAGGGACATGGATGAAATTGGAAATCATCATTCTCAGTAAACTATCACAAGAACAAAAAACCAAACACCACATATTCTCACTCATAGGTGGGAATTGAACAACGAGAACACATGGACACAGGAACGGGAACATCACACTCTGGGGACTGTGGTGGGGTGGGGGGAGGGGGGAGGGATAGCATTGGGAGATATACCGAATGCTAGATGATGAGTTAGTGGGTGCAGTGCACCAGCATGGCACATGTATACATATGTAACTAACCTGCACAATGTGCACATGTACCCTAAAACTTAAAGTATAATAAAAAAAAAAAAAAGAATTCATGTAATGGGTCCTAATGGGAAAGCTACTTTTATTCCCACAGGTTTTACTATTCTAGGAAGATTCCTTGGGCTTAACAATTACTGCTATTGATTTTCCTTGAGTGAAATAAAAAACCCCAAAAACAAATACACTCCTGGTTTTAATTAGGCAGAAAAAAATGGTTAACAGATTGCACTCTTAATTAGCATTGTTCATCCAAGTGTTTCTCATTCCATGACAACGGATTATAAAGTGGAGTAAAAATGGATTCCAGATTGGTAGTGCATCAGATGTAGTGTTGGATGTATAGAGGATATGATAATATGCTAAAGAACTGTTTGGTACTTGTCAGAGGAAGGCACAAAGCACACGCAAGAAGTAATTATCAACACTGACAGTCTGGAAGGCAAAGGGGCAGAATGTCTCTGGCTTGCTAACCAAAGTTGTTACGTAGACAAGCTCTGATGAAGGCAATAATCCTTTATCATCCAATTATTTATCAAATGTACCCTAATTAGTTTGTAGGACTGGTTATAAAACAAAGCTTATTGATTAAATGTTCCCTTTATGCACATTAATGGCTGACTGAAAAATATTATGTAAAATCTCTGTAATTTTTTGTTTTTGTCATTTTTTAAAATTGAGATGTTAGAACTGAAGGAATAGCAATCCAGACTAAATGGGAAAATGCTACTGATCTTGCTTTATAAATGCAGGTCAAATCCTATTATAACAAATACCAGTTCAATGAAAATGTGCCTAATTAAAAGATTCCCAGGGTTCAGCTGATGACCCACTTACTTCAAGATTTATTCAATATAATAAATATCAGATAAGCACTACAATTTGGACATCCTCTAGTATTTGTTTCCTTTAAATATACCCTGCATTGAAAAAATTTTAAATTAGCAAATAAGAAAAATTTGAGAATACTGACCAAAGATTACCTGGCTCTTACTTTTAGGATAATTTAAAAATGCTAAACCATCTAAATTGAGTAGTTCCTAATTTATAGAATTTATAAACGTTAGACCCAATAATATACATAGTAATTAAAAACCAAGAGCTACAAGTGTCTAATGTATTTGCAGTTCAGAATTTTTTCTTTAACTACAAAGACTCAAAAGAAAAATAATTTTTTTTATGTTGGAAAATTACTGTCAAAAGAAAGTTTTACTACTAATTGTATGAACCCAGCATCTTATATTAGGGTTATTTTGTGGTATGAGAAAAGAGACTGAGCTTTCAAATTCTCATCAATATCTACCTGGTGTGGTTCCCATTAGAAATGCAAGTGAATCTGAAAGTTTTTCCACTTTTCCTGAGTAACAAATCAGAGATGATCAGAGCTGTTACTAAGGGAACTTCTCAACTTTTAGACACAAAAAAGATACTGAACTAATGGAAACTTCATATGAAAGCCAAAAGTAGCAGTAAAAAAAATTATTTCATTATTTAGGATCAACAGACTCCAAAACAGCAATATTAGGAGCATACCACTTATAACAGTCATTCTTAGTGTCAGTAGGAGCGAGTGAGGGCATGCCAAAAGGATGGATGAAATTTTCTCTAGTGAGGAAGAGGGATGTGTTTGTTTGTTTGTTTACTTATAGACGGAGTTTCGCTCTTGTTGCCCAGGCTGGAGTGCAATGGTGCAATCTTGGCTCGCTGCAACCCCCGCCTTCCGGGTTCAAGCGATTCTCCTGCTTCAGCCTTCCGAGAAGCTGGGATAACAGGTGCCCACCACCATGCCGAGCTAAGTTTTTGTAATTTTAGTAGAGATGGGGTTTCACTATGTTGGCCAGGCTGGTCTCGAACTCCTGACCTCATGGTCCACGAGGCTTCAGCCTCCCAAAGTGCTGGGACTACAGGTGTGAGCCACTGCACCCAGCCCGGGTGTATATTTTTAAAAACCATGTTTAATAGCATAATTTTGTGTTCAGAGAATTAAAAATATTTATTATTTTCAAAATACAAAGTAGAGAAGGTAAACAAAAATCTTTTTGGCTGGTGAGGACATGCACTATCTTCTACATGAGTGATTTTTCATTAGGGAGTATATCAGCTGCTGTTACGAGTTTAAAAGTAAACATATATAATAAAGGTTTGTTTTCTAGTCACTGAAAAATCATCCTGCCTTTTGTTTTCTCAAGTTAAAAATAATAACTTGTTTGACTTACAGTTTATAGTTTGCCTTTACTACTGCTTGAACATTTGACGAAAGGTACAGTGTCCAAAATATTCTCTCCATGTGAATAGCTATTATTTTAAAATTCTCTCTGAGGATATTTTCCTTATATGGGGGCATTTACTCTTTAGCCCTGTTAACAACACTCAAAAAACAATCAAACTTTTAACTGCTGGCTGAAATTTCAATCTTCCGTTTTGAAGAATGTTGGATCAGGTGCTGTCCCTCTGTAACTCTGTGCCATCTCTAGAAGAAACTGTATGTATGTATACAAACAAGTCAAAGAAGTTTGGAAGAGGACAGTAAGAGAGCTGTCCTGACTTTAACTCTGAAATGCACACAGAAACTTCCCAGTATCTTTACTGTAAAGACTCAAGCATTTCCACTTTTCTAGAGAAATACAAAGACCCTGAAGCCCACAAGCTCTCAGATTCTGTGGGCTCCATGGTCCCAGAGAGTATGACTGGGATTTGAGAACCAGGCATAGGAGATTCAGTTATGGCCTGCCAATTCCCTCCCTTGGCCTATAAATACAGTTTCCCTCCTTCCTGCAATTTCAGTTTCCTGTGTCTCCATCAAGGATACATTTTGGACTCCCACAGCTACTTAAGCTTTTAACTGTCATCTTTGTCCTTTAGCATGTTCTTAAACTTGACCTTCAAATATATTTGAGACGTACTCCAATGTTGCTGGGAATATGGGGTTTTAGAGTCAGAGAGCTTGGTGCTTTAATCAAGGCTCTGCTGCTTACTAGTTGAGCAATGCTGGGCAAGCCATTTCTCTTCTATGTACCTCAGTTTCCTCATATGTAAAATAGGGATACCAATACCCACCTTTCAGGGTGGCTGAGGATCAGCCAGTTGCAACCAGGCATCAAAAGGCATATGAGCACAACACCACCATCACAAAACCAGTTGTTAAAATACACTCAAAACCAGTTTTTAAAGACTACCCTAATTAGTTGGACATGAGAGAAAATGAACTAGGTTAAGGGAGATCTTGCGAGATGAAATCTTCATTTTATACCCAGTCCTTAGTGTCAGCAGCCACCAAATGAGTCTTGCATATCTTTCTCTGACATTAAAGACATAAGCAACATAATGGAACATGAGTGGTATATGAAAATCAACATTCTCTTTATTATAGTCTCAAGTCATTTGGACACTGGAAGTTAGTTAGAGTAAGTTGATGGTATTGTAGGAATCCACAGCCAGTGACCACTAAAATTGGGAAGCAGTATCTTATTAAGCCGTCTATGTTTTAGTTTCCTGTAATTCAGATTTTCTCCCACTGTGACCTCTGTCTAAAAGGCAGGGATGAGGGGTGGTGAAACGAGGGTAGGGAGGTTGGATGGCAGCTGTTAGAAGTGAGACAAGACGAAAGCAGTACCTAACTCTAAGAAAGCAAAGGAGAAACAGAAAGGGAAAATGGAGGAAGATCACCTAACAGGTTATTGTTGACTGCTCACCACATTGCTCTGGAACTATGGTTATAGTGGTGAAGAGACATTAATAAGGGGCTCTTTACAACTAAAGGTACTACACAGTATAAGAGGGAAGGGAGCAAAGTTAAACACTAACTGAAGTAAGGTGTTCAGTTTTGCGGACCTCAATTGGTAGCCACCAAAAAATACCCAACAGCTAGTGGGGTGAAAGCATTCTGTGGCTCCTTGGGAAAAAGAGGTACCAGTCTATGTGTTGAAGAGACACTCCTGGAACTCGATGACAGTAACATATATATTGGAGCCCCTCTTGGTGCTCTCACAAAAACTTGTGAATAAAATAACTTCGTAACAATATTCTTTTGGTATTCTCATCCCTAGCTGAGGTCTTAGACCAACATGCCATATACCAAATTCCACTACATGGTAATTTATACTGGTAAGAAAGACATTGAAAATGCATACAAAATAATTGGGGAAAAAAACCCCACACTAGTCTATCCAGGCTTCTTGCAAATTTTCTCCCCATAGCTCCCTAAATAAGGAAGCTATGGCCGTCCTTCTTCTTACTCTGTATATACAGCAAAGCACAATCTAGTTCCTGAAAAAGTAACTGCTACATTGCCTGCTACCTAATATGCCCATCAGAGCTTCTCATCCCTTGCTATTGGTAGCAGTTGTTGCTTTTGTCAGCTTCCCACAGAGGAAGACACTAAATCAGATGCAAATGCCTATATGTAAATCTCTTCGCTGAGACATTCATTAGAGAAAATGGAGAAAAGTCCCAAATGGCTCTACCTAGGACATCGCAAACACCTCCATACAGCTGGTTGTCAATGGCCAAGAGTTAGTTCTTTGGCTTTTAAGCAAGAAATTTCCTGAAGGTACTTGGTGATTAAGGAGTAAGATTCCAAGTGGCCATAACTCCTTGCTCCTTGCTCATTTTGGTCTTTCTCACAGACAGACATACAAACTAGGCAAAAGCATACTCTACCTCACATACATACACACACAAATACACACACAGAACTTGCTAAACTGAAGTTTAATGTATATAGTTGTGTGGCCATTTAGGAGGTTTTTCTCTTGAAACATAGTATTGACCCATAAAACACAAGAAAGGCAGTGACTAAAATAGCTGTAGAAATTAAGAAAAGCCTTGTAAGATAAAGTGATAAGGACTGTAAAATCTTACTGTTAAGCAGTTTACAACTGATAGTTAAAAGCTAAAAGGCAGAAACTGTAGCCCGACATATTTAAGTCTGCTTTTACTTAAGACTACATTAAGTATTATGAACCATAACCTCTTGCAGAGAAACTTACAGGGTCTTTACTTGCAATTTTTTTTCCTGTACTGATTCCCATATGCTCTGAAGTCCCTTTGCTCTAAACCTAATGCCCCAAGTTATATATACACACATTCTCTACCTTTGACACAGCTATGAACATATGTAAATAAAAAATGCTGCTTAGTCAGAGCATCTTGGCAGTCAGGGAGGGAGATGCCGGGGGAGAATCAGACTGAGGTTTCCTATTCCTAGTGAATTCTTTACTTCGGGTATATAAAGAGGACATGGTTCCTCAGGATGCAGATAGACACGCAACCACTGGATTCTTCACACAAAGCTGGGAAATTTCCCCTTTAGGTTACCCTCACAGAATCTCTCCTTTTGACTTGATGCAAGATGACTTTGGATAGAACTAAATAAAGGATAAAAGCTGCCCTGTAAATTATAGTCTTGAGCTCTGAACCAGTCCCCAGTTACACAGAGTCTGAGTTCCATCAATATTTTCAATTCAGTTTTGACCACAGGTTCTCAGGACTGGTAGCTTACCGTAGAGGGTATTGTGCTGAGCAACACCTTTTATGCCTAGATTAAGTCCTTGATTCTCCTCAAAGCACACTTCTTATTGAGGCTTGCTCTCCAATAAAACCTGAGTGTAGGTTCCTGATGACACCAGATTAAATACTGGAGGAAAGACCACCTTGGATCCTGCTGGCAGTGAGTCTGGGATCTACTATCACTTTATCCAGAGGGAAGAAATACAAATCCTGTGGAAATCATGCTGTCCTTCCTTAGCTTGACTCCACTGGGCTGTAAGGCATTTGGAACTACTATGATAAAATCAGGTCAGACAACTTAAAAATCAAAAACAAAAAAACGATAAATAAGGAACCAAGAGTTTATAAGAAGGAAGCAGTCTGAGGAAGTCAGGTTTCCCTAAGTCCTCCCAGATGAAGCTGCTTTTACATATAAACACTCACAGTCATACACACATCTTTTCCCCTCCCCTCTTCTATTTTCTGACATTCCAAACTCCTATTCACTCAGTGAAGAATGCTAGAGAGGAGCCAAGGGCAAAGATTCACTTTCAACTCAGAATTCGGGTTGCCACTTGTAGGAGGAAAAGAAAGCCTGCCAGCTTCTAGGAATAAAGGGAGGCTCTTTGGGGGCATGCTCAGGGGCAAACCTCACCAACCTTCCAGTGTCCCCTGCCTCAGAGTAGGCAGCAGTCTCTAAGGCTGATTGCTCTGACTACTATGAGAAGGGGGATTTTTCAACTTCCAGATCTCTTAAGTAACAATGCCCAGACAGAAAAATTAGTCAAAGCACCTTCAGGCCCTTAATGTTCAATTTTAATGAGATGCCATTCCTGTTGCACCGTGAGGAAGCAAATTGAAGCTCTGGCTCACTGCAAAGAAAGTTATCTGTCCATTAAAGACATTACTGGCTGGATCTGTAAGTATAAAGCTTACCAGAGTTGCCTAAGATGCCACAATCGGGAAAATGACAGTGGAAAGTGGTATAAAGGTGAGGGAAAAGAAAGAAGGGCCAGAAATGAAGAGAGAAAACAGACAGTAGTGCAATTGCAAGGCTACAAGACTCAGTAGTACAGGGAAAATGAAATTAAAAAGAGAGGAATTTATTTGCATCGTGTTAAAGGATTTTGGATTTGACCTGGAAGAAACATCTAAAATTTAATCTTTTGCACTCTGTTGTTACCACTACACTAACCAAAATTTCTAGGCCAAATGTTTTCTAAGCCAACGGGTTTATCCCCAAAGTAACAACCGTCTTTTCTCTGGACTCTTGGAAACTCTAACCTGTTTTCCCTTTTTCCACATGAAATTTATACTTTTCACTTCAAACTTTCTCAACATGCTATTCTTTTCCCTCTAATTGCCTTGACAACTTCTTTACTCCTATGATTAACTTTGTGAAATTAAATCAAGGGAAGTGATCAGCTACTTGGAAGTTGGTCTGAGGAATATAGGTTGAAAAGAGTTTTACAAACTCATTCTTTTAGATTGAGAGTGAATCAGAACCCCTTTATTAGGGATCCTGGAAATTACTCAGTCTTCCTTAAGAAGACTGATAAATTCTATCATAAACTAGAATACACTGTGTCTCAAAGGCCAACTGTTGCCAGGTGCGATGGCTCACGCCTGTAATCCCAGAACTTTGGGAGGCCGAGGTGGGTAGATCACCTAAGGTCAGGAGTTCAAGACCAGCCTGACCAACATGGTGAAACCCTGTCTCTACTAAAAATACAAAAAATTAGTCAGGTGTTGTGGGGGGCACCTGTAGTCCCAGCTATTGCACAGGAGGCTGAGGCAGGAGAATCACTTGAAACAGTGAGGCAGAAGTTGTGGTAAGCCGAGATCGTGCCATTGCACTCTAGCCTGGGCGACAAGAACAAAACTCTGTCTCAAAAACAAACAAACAAACAAACAAAATAAAAAGCAAATTATATTGGGAATTCAGATCGTATATGATATATATTATGGATATAGCTTATATAGCTAATCTCATCTGATAAGGTGAGTCTCCATTAGATCTTTTCACTTAAAGAAATACTGATGTAAACCTAAATACTAACATTCCCATGCTTGGTAGCATGACTGGCTAGGGAAAGGTTAGTGACACTTTTCTGATATGTTGAATGAAAGTCACCAGTTTATATTATTCCTTAAAGGCATGGCAAGAACAACTTGATCAGACACAGTTTCCTGACCTGTTTCTGTAAGATTCATACAGTGATTTCACACTCACTGGCAATTAGAGAGGGAATGTAAACCTCTTTTACTCCAAACTGGCCTCTTTGTCTCTTTTTACTTCTATCTTATGTCCACTTCTAGGAAGTAGTAACAATGACAAACTCTTTTATATTTTATAAAGTGTTTTAACATATATTATCTCACCTGATCCTCTCAACCACACTGAAAATGTATACTACTGTACAGTCATGACCTGCATAACTGATGTTTCTGTCAACAAACCACACATACAATGGTGGTCGCATAAGACTATAATGGAAGTGAAAAATTCTTATCACCTGGTATTTACTTTTTTTTTTTTTTTTTTTTTTGAGACAGAGTCTCAGTCTGTCGCCCAGGCTGGAGTGCAGTGGCGTGATCTTGGCTCACTGAAAGCTCTGCCTCCTGGGTTCACGCCATTCTCCTGCCTCGGCCTCCCAAGTAGCTGGGACTACAAGCGCCTGCCACCATGCCCGGCTAATTTTCTTTTTTTGTATTTTTAGTAGAGACAGGGTTTCACCATGTTAGCCAGGATGGTCTTGATCTTCTGACCTTGTGATTGGCCTGACTTGGCCTCCCAAAGTGCTGGGATTACACGCATGAGCCACTATGCCCGGCCTAACCTGGTATTTACTATACTATATTTTTAATCATTATTTTAGAGTGTACTTCTCCTTCTACTTATATATAAAAAAGTTAACTGTAAAACTGCCTCAGGCAGGTTCTTCAGGAGATATTCTGAAGAAGGCATTGTTATGATAGGAAGTGACAGCTCCATGCAGGAAGACCTTCCAATGGGATAAGATGTGGAAGTGAAAGACAGTGATACTGATGATTCTGACCCTGTGTAGGCCTAAGCTAATGTGTGTGTGTCTTAGTTTTTAATAAGAAAGTTTTAAAGTTAAAAAAAAAAAAACAGATAAAAGCTTATAGATTAAGAATATAGAGAAATATTTTTGTACAGCGTTATGTGTTTGTGTTTTAAGCTAAGTATTACTGCAAAAGTGTCAAAACGTTAAATTTTAAAAATGTATAAAGTAAAAAAATTATAGTAAACTAAGGTTATTTATTACTGAAGAAAGAAAAAACTTTTTTATAACTTTAGGGTAGCCTAAGTGCACAGTGTTAATAGTCTATAGTAGTGTACGGTAATGTCCTAGGCCTTCACTCACCACTTGCTCACTGACTCACCCAAAGCAACTTCTAGTCCTGTAAGGTGCATTCATTCATGGTAAGTGCCCTATACAGGTATATCATTTTTATTCTTTTACTCAGTATTTTTACAATGCCTTTTCTATGTTTAGACACACAAATGTTTATCATGTTCCAGCTCTACAATATTCAAAATAGTAACATGCTGTACAGGTTTGTATCCTAGGAGTAATAGGCTATACCACATAGCCTAGGTGTGTAGTAGGCTGTACCATCTAGGTTTGTGTTAAATTCACTCTGTGATGTTTGCTCAGGGACGAAATTGCCTAACAACTCATTTCTTAGAATGTGTCCCTGTCGTTAAGGGACTCGTGACCATATTACTATCTTACAGATGAAGAAAGCGAAGTTCTGAAAGGTTAAGTGTCTTGGCCAAAGACACACAGCCAGTAAAAGGGGAACAAAATACAACTGCCTGAAGAATAAACTTTGGTTGATTAAAGTAAAGTAAAAACAGATCTGAAAAGATCTACCAATTCAAATCCTTCAGTAAAATCCTGGGTATTTGAGACACTTGCAGGAACACATCAGATATACAGAGAAACAGAGAAAAATTCTCCAGAAAGTTGAATGTAAGCTCTTTCTTTCTTCACTTGTCTTTTTGTAGATTTAATTTTTTTCAACCCAGCCAACAAGCATTTATTGTTCCTTTCTGACTGTAAAGATATTAATTCCCCTGTAAAAATAAGAACTGAATGGAAATATTCTTGACCACAGACTTCTACAGGATGAGCTTTGCAAACAGCCACTTGTTTAGAAAATAACTCATTCCAGATAAGCAGGATAGGAATGCTGAGTTCATCTATTTTATTTCTTGTAGGTAAAAAAGAGGGAAGAAAAAAGTCTATAAACTTTAGGGCGTTGCTATAATGGAATTAAGAGCACCAGGTAGTCAGCTCAACAGAGTTTCCAACAAATATAAGAACTATCAAATAGAGGAACTGCATAAGTTTGTTTTTGAGATGGGACATATCTAATGTGTGAATAAACCAATAAAATGTCTCCATGATGTGAATACTAATCATCGACTGTCATTGACTCAACTCTCCCAAAAGTTAGTAAAGGAATAAATTAATGAACCAGTTGAGTAATTTCTACTTTTTCCTCTTTTTATTTTTTTAAATTAAAAAAACCCAAATGGCATGGTTTAAGGGTGATGTTTGATAAAATGCTCCCCAGTGATGATTTCCAATGCTAGCAATATACCATGGTGCTGTACACATGGTTTGGGAAGGTTGTGTATTTGAGGTCAGATATCCTGGGTTGAAATTCTAACCCCTGCTTAACTGACTGATATGATCAAGTTCTTCAGCCTCATTGAATCTTATTTGGTTCATCACCCAAAATAGTGATGAGGATGCTTATTTACAGAGTTGTTATATGGTTTAGGATACACACACACACACACACACACACACACACACACACACACAATCATCCATCACAGTGCCTAGCATGTGGTCATGCTCAATACATGGTCATTATCACAAAAAAAACTTGGTTAACATGCATGTGCATTTATAAAATATATGTAAGAATCTAAATGAAAATCTGAAGCAAAGAGCTTAAATATCAGTTTTTATATTCTATGCACTTATTTTCCTTGTGATTATGTAAAAGGTTACTGAAAAAGATGACAGAATCTTCTTTTCAAATGCTTTAAGAAAAAACTTATCTCTACCTATTTTCCTCCTTCCCTCTTCCCAGCTTTCCTTATTTCTCAGAAGGCAAAGAGCCCTGACAATAAGAGGAGGGTATAGTGGTGAGGTAGTAGCCTGGTCTACTTGGTTCTAATTAGGGGATTGCCTTTACTCAAGGGATTGAGCAAATAAGTAAACATATTGAAAATGGCAACTAGGTTTCTCATTGTTAGAGAAGGCAGACATAAATACAAAAAAAAAGGGAAAGCTAGAAAGAACCCCATGTTGGTATGAACTTATGATTTTCAATATAGAAAGATAAAGAAATAAAGACGTAAATGTATGTGTATATGTAAGCAAATGCATCCATATGTATGTCTTTCCTAGCTCTGTCCACTGAAAGGGGCCTGGGAAGAGCAACACTAGAGCAGCATTTAGCATACCTAGTGCCCAGATCATTGTTTCTGAATGCCACTTTCTACTAAGAGGAACAGGGCTCCCTGGAGAAATGGCTAATTCCAGAGCTGGGGTAAGGAAAGAAAATGAGCCTGTTCTCTTGCACTAGAAGGTGAGAAAGTCCTCAAACAATACTTAAATGATATGACGCAAGGACACAGAAGCCTGCTTAAAAAGCCAAACCTGTGATAATAAGAGCATCATAATAAATAATGACAGCAATGAATTATAACCCACTGACTAGGAACCCATGAGTAGACATTGATATAAGTAAATGAGTGAAAAAAATAAATGAGAGGAGAACAGCTTCTTGCTTACAATAGAATGCCTACTAATAAATGTAGAAGGGGTAATAAAGTTAGAAAAATTACCATTTGGCAACCATGACTGTAAAATCAATCCAAGAAAGAAGTATTAATGGATGTTCAAAGTAGTGGGTAAAAGTAGAGGAGAAACTGGAGTTTACATAATCTCAAAGGACCACATCTCACAACATTTATTAATCACAAAGGAGGAAAAACTAACTTTACCATGGAGAAACCTGGCAGATGTCATCTCAATCCAGTCATCAAAGACGAGACCACTAGTAACGTGACAAACTGACAGCATGAAATGAGAAGAGCACAGTATCACTTCTATGACATTGTGGCCAAAAATGCATAAACTGGGTCTAATCATGAGAAAACACTGAATAAACCTAAACTGAGGGACATATATGACTGGCCTGCTATCTTCAAAAATATCAAGGTCAGCCAGGCGTGATGGCTCATGCCCATAATCTCAGCACTTTGGGAGGCTAAGGAGAGCAAATCTTTTGAGCCCAGGGGTTCAAGATTAGCCTCGGCAATGTCACCAAACCGCGTCTCTACCAACAAAACAAAACAAAACAAAACAAAACAAAAACAAAATTAGCAAGGCATGGTGGCGCCCACCTGTAGTCCCAGCTACTCAAGATGCTGAGGTGGGAGGATCCTCTGAGCACAAGAGGCAGAGGATGCAGTGAGCTAAGATCACACTACTGCACTTCAGCCTGGGCAACAACAAAACAAAACAAAACAAAACACCCCCAAAAAACCAAGGTCATATAAGTCAAGGGAAGTCTAACTAGAGATACACAAAAATTCGGTATAGTGATCCTGGATTGGATCTTTCTGCTGCCATGGACTTTATTAGGACAACTGGTAAAAATGTGAATGTGTCATACTTGTAATCCCAGCAATTTGGGAGGCTGAGGTGGGCAGATCACCTGAGGTCGGGAGTTCGAGACCAGCCTGACCAACATGGAGAAACCCCATGTCTACTGAAAATACAAAATTAGCCGGGCGTGGTGGCACATGCCTGTAATCCCAGCTACTCAGGAGGCTGAGGCAGGAGAATCATTTGGACCTGGGAAGCAGAGGTTGGGGTGAGCCGAGATCGCACCATTGCACTCTAGCCTGGGCAACATGAGTGAAACTCCAGCTCAAAAAAAAAAAAAAAAAGTGAATGTGATAAATAGGTAAAGGATATACAGCAATTCTTTATTCTTGAAATATTTCTGTAAGTTTAATAGTGTTTAAAAAAATAGAGTTTTTTCATCTCACTACAGTGAGAAAAGGGCACAAGGAAGTGACTTTCTTTTTTAATTCCTGACAACTTTGAAAGATAGTCTCTCTTTACAGAGGACTCTAAGATTATATGTTCACCAAAGAATTGGGTTTGCTAATGGAAACAGGCAGTCACTTGGGCTGAAGGTACAATGAGACTCATTATTAGGTTATGAATCAATTTAGTGGCCACAACCAGATCAATAAAAAGTGAATAAACAGAATAGCAAATGTTGGAATGCATTACACATAGTAGACTAAGGTATAGGTATGTTTTTGTCAAAGGTGTTTGAACCAGAGGAACTCTATCTTGAATAGGGGCTGGGTAAATAAGGCTGAGACCTACTGGGCTGCATTCCCAAGAGGTTAAGGCATTCTCAGTCACAGGATGAGATAGGAGGTCAGCACAAGATACAGGTCACAAAGACCTTGCTGATAAAACAGGTTGCGAGAAAGAAGCCAGCCAAAACCCACCAAAACCAAGACGGCAATGAGAGTGACCTCTGGTTGTCCTCATGACTCATTATACACTAATTATAAAATATCAGCATGCTAAGAGACACTCCCACCAGTGACATGACAGTTTACAAATGTCATGGCAACATCAGGAAGTTGCCCTATATGGTCTAAAATGGGGAGGAACCCTCAGTTCTGGAAATTGCCCACCTCTTTCCTGGAAAACTCGTGAATAATCCACCCCTTGTTTAGCATATAATCAAGAAGTAACCATAAAACCAGCAGCCCTTGGGGCTGCTCTGTCTATGGAGTCATTCTTTTATTCCTCCACTTTCTAAATGAACTTGCTTTCACTTTACTCTATGGACTTGCCCTGAATTCTTTCTTGAGTGAGATCTAAGAACCCTTTCTTGGGGTCCAGATTGGACTCCTTTTCTGGTAACAAAACCACAAGGTCCTTTAAGGCCCAAAGGAGATCAACAGTTAGGTGGACATTACCTAGTCTTTCAAAAATGTCTCTGTCTCTTCCTCAAATAAATTTCTTGGTAGGTTAATTTATAAACTTCTGGGTAGGTACAATATACAGTATTTTAGTTCAGATTTAGGTAAGAAGGTGATGAGTCAAGTATTACCAGTTAAGAAGTACAGTTGAAGATCTCTGTTCCTCCTTTTGGAACAGGGCAGTCATTTTCAGTCCATTTATGAATATAAGATCCAAAGAAAATATTTTAATTTTTATTTTCAACTGATACTTTTCTTCCATCAACTAACAACTATTAAGTTCTTATTCTGTGCAAGGTACTATTAGGGATAGCGATACACAAAGTACTGTAAGACATGATTCGTGTCTTCAAAGAGATTATAGGAAATCTCAAAATTTGTATCACTACAAAGATCTCCATAATGTTAAAAAATTAATATCAAGCCCTACTCTTCCATATATTTTACGTAAATAATTTTTGATCTCATACTAAACAAACAATTTGTTTTTAAAGGAGACCATCAACAGCACACAGCCAAGTCGGAAGATAGTCTAGAATTCATAACAGCTTCATTTACTATTCTATGCTTTTATAGTGACGTTTTATTACTGGGTACTTAGAAGGGCCAAAAATATTACTTGGGGGCAGGAAATAAGAAGTTCTAAAGGAAATAGGAGGTTCTTTGTCACTTTTTCTTCTCTTTTGATTTTTCCATCTCAATCCTGTTTTAATTTATGCGATGTGAAAATCCTCCCTTTTTGGGGGTGATGGAGAAGATCAATAATGATAACTCACATTTAATGTTGACTCCTGCACAGATGCTCCTGAGTGAGGGAGACATATTAGGGACTTTACCACAAAATGAATCATTTTAGAGTAAAGAGTCAGCCTTAATTCCACATGTAAGAAAATGCAGAACAGAGTCACGCAATTCTTTCAGTGTAATAAAGGGCCTTTGACATGTGTTCTTTGTGAACAAGCAAAAAAGCTAAAAATCAGACCAACAAAATATATCCACTAATGGCTTATACATAGTCTAGTGGGTTGCTGGGAGTAGGGAGAAGAGATGGTGCTATTTTGGAGTACAAGGCAGCAGCAGAGAGGCAAAGCAAGACAGGATATACAAGTTGCACAGCATGGAGCTCACAATAACTTAACTAGCTGACAAAATGTTCCCAATCTTGCTCCCATATATTTAAATAATCATGCCCTAGTGTTACGAATGTTAAGTCTCAGAAATTCATTTAAGGGTAAGATATTATAAAGGTCCTTTAAGAAAATCATTCTGCAAACCTGTCCTAGAATTGGTTCAAGAGTTTAGTATTTTGCAATTAAATTTAACTTTAGCAATGGCTTACAAAAAGCAGAAATGAAAACCTATCTCTTTTTAATGTGAACAATTCCCCATTCACACTTTTTTTGTAGGCCACACAGGCTAGAAACATCAGTAAAGGTATAAGGGGCAGGTTTGTCACGGGGAGGGGAAGGGGCAACACTTACCACAAGAGCTTTTGAAAATATGTGGGGACACTGATTGTCACAATGATTGGAGGGTGCTATTGGCATTTCAAATGCCAGGCTCAGGGATGCTGAATGCTTGCTATTCTGGAAACAGACCCACATAGTGAAGAACTACCCTGCCAAATGCTCATAGCACCTTGACGAGAAAAAAAAAATGCTTGAACTGATCAGAAGCACTAACAGGGTATATTATATCTCTTTTGATTAGCTTAAAATTAGCAAAAGGACTCTATATAGTGTCAGTTAAACACTGAATAAGTAGCTTTAAAACATATGATTTATCTGAAATTTTTGTTAAGACTATAAGTATTTAGTACAGTTAAGAGTTAGGGAGAATTAGGGAGATAGTTTCCTCAAATTCATCAGATATTACAATTTAAATATGTGCAGTAGTCCAGAAATTATATGTCAAGAAAGGTGTTTCAAAAACTTAAGGAGAAAGGTACGGAGGAGAAAGGTACAGAATTAATTTTAGAATAACTTTTAAAATAAATAAATCCATTTAGTTCTCAAAGATATCTGTGATAGTTAAGTTGTGCTTGTAATCTGTATGCCAGGCCAAACGTATTACTGCCTGGTAGCAACACACTTAAATTTAAGCTCACAAGTTTGATAACGATCAGTTTCTTGAAAATGTAACCTATAACTTAAAGAAGGTTCAGAAATTCTATGTAAGTTTTTAAATTGTCATCAACTTGATTTTTAAAAATATTTTGTTAGTTTTCTTTAAAGCCTATAAATGAGGCTGAATGGTCCACCAGGTGTTAAGAAAAATAATTATTTCCCACTTTTAGTTAACTGCAGAGTTTTAAGGAAAAGGCCCTATGAAAAGTGATCTATGCATGATTCATCTAGAAATTTAAATATTTCAACTAGTCTTCATAGTTGTGAATTTGCAGTTGATCCAGAAATAAAGCCTGCTCTGTTCATCTGGGTTTACTAAAAATACTCCCAAACTTAACATCTAACTTCTTTTTTTTTTTTTCAATAATAACATAGATCCTGGAAGAGTATATGAAAGACTCTTTCTGGTCAACAATGAACTGGCATGCACCCTTTTTGCTTTGCAGATACTTCTGACATATGCAATGTAAATGTTTATTCATTTATTAGTTGTCTATGTGCCATCTATATACAGTTTATCTTCACGTTCTCAGGTAAACATACTTTAAAATAGTTGAAGATGCAAGATGCCATTGTACTACTAGGTTTACCCTCTCATTTCCTTTATCCTCAACTTATTTTCTTTGTGTCATCTGAATCCTCCAGATATCTAACTTTTCCTTTTTATGCCTTTCACATTTCCACTGGAGATCACTTTGTCCCCTTCATTAAGGTTCTGTCAGGAGAGATTTAAGATTTGGTTCTAGCTAAAAAATATGGCAGTAGCTCTGAAGATGACATAAAAGCTTTTCCCTATGCCTAAGATTTCAAATATATGTATACATTTGAAAGAAAAAACAGGGAGAGCATTATTTTTTTGTCCAGATTATTTTTGCTCATTGTAGGTAAAAAACAATCTGTGCATATATGTAAAAAACAAAAACAAAAACAAAAAAAACAAAACGAAAAAGAAAACCTTTCAGTCCCTACATAATAACTCAGAAATAAAGTTTCTTCAGCCAGCTATGGGGATGGGGGAAACAATTCCCAGGGTACAGATGTTAGTGGTCCTGTCAACTCTGTCATTCTCACATTGCAATGCCAATGCAATCCCACATAAACACAATTATGCTGAGGCAAACACTGTTGCAGAGTATGAGAACTACATATGCACTGTTCTAAGAAACACAACTTGTGAGGTTCTTGAGGCATGGCAAGGTTTGTGGCAAACAGGACCAATGTGAGAATCAAATTTATTGGATTCCTAGAGTCTACTGCTTAGCATGCAATACAGTAAACAACTAAGCTCCATGATGACTGAATTGACTGGCATACAACAACCACAAATTGTTCTCTTTGAGCACAAAGGGCATGTAAGAGCTAACAGATGAGTGTCCCAGGCATGGTTCTGCGTAGTTTGTATGATACTGTATATGATGTTACTAACTAGGCTGGTCAGTTTGGGTGGTGATAACAGTGTGTTACTGGAGTTAAAGTTACAGAGTCAATCTCTATATGCTTAGTTAGCACCATATTAAAACAAAACAAAATTTTTTCCATGCCACAGACTATTAGTGACCTAGCTATCTTACGGATACATGCTGTTGGTCATAATACAGACTGAGAGTGTCCAAAACCCATCATTACAACTGGAATTAAAATAACTGGAATCAAAGATCAAAGCTGGTCCACACAGAAGGATGAGCACGAAGTCAAAGGTCCAGTCCTTAAAACCTATACCACCTAGGTATAATCAGATGTCTTTTTCTAGTGCTGTTTGTAGGAAGTATTCAGACTTTATTTTGGTTTTTCTTAGCCTCAGTTCTTAGCCTCTTTTTGTTGTTACTAAACAAGTTGGAGGCGAAACAATCTAGTGTAGATTCTGGTTTCCTTCTTTTTATTTTCTGAAACAGTTTATGTAAGACAAGTATTATTATACTTGTTCCTTGACAGTTTGATAGAATTCATCCCCCAAATTACTCTAGGCCTGGTGTTTTTGGCAGGAGGTTGGGGAGGTGGTGGTTAAGTATGATTAAATTTCTTTAAAGGTTATGGGACTTCTTTGTTTTGCCATTTCTTCCTAAGTCATTGTGATATTTTATATTTTCCCAGAAGTGTCCACTTAAACTAAGTTTTCAAGCTTATTGTCATAAAGTTGCTCAAAATAATCTTATATTTTAAATATGTTTATCTTAATTTTGTCCCTATTTCTCTTCCTAATACTATTTGTTTACACCTATAGTTTTTCTCTAGATCAGCTTTTCAAAGGTTTACTGCATTTTACCCTCCCTGATGGGGCTCAGTGTGCGCAGCTGGAAAAAGTAGATGCCCTGGTTATGCATGCAGCTCATTTGTTGTACATGTTGCTTTAAGGGACCTTGAAGACTCTTCCCTCTCCCTATTGTTGCCAAAATAACTGCCTCTGATCTGTTTTTGTTTGCATCCCAGGCCCCAGACTAGCATGTAAGATGCCTTTGAGAAGTCCTAGAACACTGCAGTCAAGGTGGACGTTGGAAAATAAAAAGGCTTATTGAATTTTCTATCTTTTCAAAGAATCAGCTCCTGGTATTAACACTATTTCTACTGCTATTCTGTTTTCTGTTCATTAATTTCTGCTTTTATCTTTATTTTATTTCATTCCTTCTACTTACTTTGGGCTTACTCTGTTTTCAACTTCTTGAGTTGAAAGATTAACTCATTTATTTTCACTTTTTCTAATTTTTTAACCTTAAACATGTATTTAAGGTTATAGTTTTCTCTCTTTAGCTACTTTACAAGATCTAATGTGGAGTAATTTCATTGTCGTTCAGCTCTAAATATTTTGTAATTCTCATTATAATTACCTCCTTACCCATGCAGTATCTACAAGGAAGTTTATCAGAAGTATTCTTTTCTTCTTCAGCTAACTTTTTGTTGCCATTACAAAAAAACTATAACCCCTCCATAATCTCAATTCTGTATCTCCACATCCTATTTTTCCAGCTTATTCTTTCTACTAGGGTGATCCTGAACTACTGTGCATTGTTCAACCTCATGGAATCTCCACTGACTCTCATGCTCTTGATGTCCCTTCACTCTCCTCTTTATCGAGATTACATTCCATGATTTATCATTATTATCATCACTCTCCCCTCTCTCCCTTTATAGTGCTTGGCAAAACTACAACCTTGTTTAAATCCAATTTTCTGCCTACTCCACACCTGCACCTGTGCAACTAAATGTGGCTGGAAAAAAACATACAACCATGCTCATTGGTCTCAATTTAAATTCATTACTTTGAACCTTTAGTGGACTCTAATGCACACAAAGATACTTCCCTAGTCCATTTACTTTCCTAGATAAATACTTTACCCCTTTCCCTTTTAACTCAAACACCCAACACTTCCTTCCTCGTGTTCTTTCTTGGCTGCTGGTCTTGCTTTCTACTTCACTAAGAAAATTGAAGCAATCAGAAAAGAACTTCCACAAACTATTACCACATTTAACCACCCTTTACCATCTTCTCACTTGTTACCATTGATGAACCTAACGTGCTTCTATTTGAAGTCAAATCCTTCAACTTGTACTCTAGACCCTACTCAAGGACCTCATTACAGCAGTTCTCCATTCTTCCTCCCACATCATCTTTTTGTTGTTGTTGTTCTCCATTGGTATCATTCTCACAAGCAAACATGTAGCTTAAAAAACACCCTTTTCTGGCTGGGTGTGGTAGCTCATGCCTGTGATGCCAGCACTCTTGGAGGCCGAGGCGGATCACCTGAGGCCAGGAGTTTGAGACCAGCCTGGTCAACATGGCGGAAGCCTGTCTCTACTAAAACTACAAAATATTAGCCAGGTATGGTGGCGGGCACCTGTAATCCCAGCTACTCGGGAGGCTGAGGCAGGAGAATCACTTGAACCTGGGAGGCGGAGGCTGCAGTAAGCCAAGATTGCACCACTGCACCACTCCAGCCTGGGCAACAGAGCAAGACTCCATCTCAAAACAAAAAACATCCTTTTCTTGACTCTCCCCAAAAGCTGCCACTCCATTTCCTTGCTAACCCCCATTCCTGAAAAACTTATCTCTAAAAAAAAAAAAAAAAATAGCTTTTCTCAATGTTTTCAACTCCTCTCTTCTCAATGTGGCTTAAAATTACTTCAGTCAGGCTTTCTGTCCCACTATTCTAACAAAACCACTCTTATCAAGGTCTTAATGTTATCAAAATCAATGGTCAGTTCTTAGTCTTCATCTTATATGACCCTAACAGCAACATTTAACACTGTTGACAACTACCTCTTTCTTGATACATTTTTTTTTTTTCACTCACACTGGAAAGGACACAAGATACTTCTTGGGCCCTCTTCCCTTTTCTGTATTTTCTTTCTGTTATCTGATACAGTCTTATAGCTCTAAATATCATCTAAATACTCTACAGCATTTTGGCAGATCTGTTTAACCAAACTGCCAAAATTTCCAGTTGGAAATCTAACAGTTATCTCAAACCAACATATCTAAAACTGGATTCTGGCCACGTGTGGTGGCTCACACCTGTAATCCCAGCACTTTGGGAAGCCAAGGTGGGCAGATCACTTGAGGTCAGGAGAGTTCTAGACCAGCCTGGGTAACACGGTGAAACCCCAACTCTACTAAAAATACAAAAATTAGCTGGGTGTGGTGGCAGACACCTGTAATCCCAGTTACTCAGGAGGCAGAGGCAGGAGAATCACTTTGAACCCAGGAGGCAGAGGTTGCAGTGAGCCAAGATCGAGTCACTGCACTCCAACCTGGGTGAGAGAGCGAGACCCTGTCCAAAAAATAAAAAAAAAAAAATTGGATTCCTAAGAAGTCATTATATGAAAAAAATACTTCCACGTGCATGTTTACAGCAGCACAATCTGCAATTGCAAAAATTTGGAACAAGCCCAAATGCCCATCAGTCAATGAGTGGATAAAGAAATTGTGGTATATATATATACACCATGGAATACTACTCAGCCATAAAAAGGAATGAAATAATGGCATTTGCAGTGACTTGGATGGAATTGGAGACCATTATTCTAAGTGAAGTAACTCAGGAACTGAAAACCAAACATTGTATGTTCTCACTCATAAGAAGGAGCTAAGCTATCAGGATGAAAAGGTGTAAGAATGACACAGTGGACTTTGGGGACTCAGGGGAAAGTATGAGAGGGTGGTAAGGGATAAAAGACTACACATTGGGTACAGTGTACACTGCTTGGATGATGGGAGCACCAAAATCTCAGAAATCACAGTAAAGAACTTATTCATATAACCAGATTACCTGTTCCCCCAAAATCTATGGAAAAAAAAATTAAATAAATAAATAAATAAGATTGGCTTCCTAGTTTTCTTCCCCAACCTGCTTCATTTGTAGCCTCCCCCATGTCAGTTGATGGAAACTCTATCCTATCAGTTGCTTAGGTCAAAAACCTTGGAATCATCTACAATTCCTCCCTCTTTCTGTCACACCCCACAAGCCCTTCCAGGAAATGTTGGCTCTACCTTCAAATATATCCAGAATCTTACCAACTTTCAACAACTGTATTGCTACCATGTGATCCAAGCCCCTATCATCATTTCTTGCCTGGATTACTGAAATAGCTGCTCAGCTGCTACCTTTGTCTGAAGTCTAATCTCAACACAGCAGCTTGAATGATTCTTTTAAAACTTAAGTCAGATCGGATGGGCATGGTAGCTCACATCTGTAACCCCAGCACTTTGGGAGGCCGAGGCAGGCAGATCACAAGGTCAGGAGTTTGAGACCAGCCTGACAAACATGGTGAAACCCCGTCTCTACTAAAAATACAAAAATTAGCTGGGCGTGGTGGCCTGCACCTGTAATCCTAGCTACTCAGGAGGCTGAGGCAGGAGAATCGCTTGAACCTGGGAGGTGGAGCTTGCAGTGAGCTGAGATGGTGCCAATGCACTCCATCCTGGGCAACAGAGCAAGACTCCATCTCAAAAAAAAAAAAAAAAAAAACTTAAGTCAGATCACATCACTCCTCTACTCAAAATCCTGCAATGGCACCTCATTTTGTGCATAGTAAATGACAAAGGCCTATGACGCTCTACATTCAGATGATCTGATTCTCTTTCCTGCTACTCTCACCTGTCATTTATTTCATGTGTCAGTACTTTCCCACCATATGGCCTTTGCTCTAGCTGTAACCTCTTGCTAGAGGACCTCACTACACTACATCTGAAGAAATGTTCTTCCTTCAGATATCTTTGTGGCTAACTTCTTCTGCTTCTTTAAATCTCAACCTGTCAATAAGATATACTCAGACCCACTGTTTGTATTACAACCTGTACTTTCTCCATCCAATCCTCTTTATTCAATTCTCCTTTTTAGTTTTTTTTCCAAACTGCATCAGTGTCTAACATATTATATACTTTATTATGTTTGTTGTTTATTGTCTGCCTTTTCGTCTTACTCCCTGCTAGAATGTACACTTCAACAGGTCAGGATTATTGTCTATACTGTTGACTAAAGGATTCCAAGAGCCTCGAACAATATCTGGCAAATATTGGACAAATACGTATTTGTTGAATGAATAAGTGAATGTTGATTTTTCATTTAGCATGGTCACAATACACATGCCCTATGTGTGCTATATATCTGTTAGATTAAGCTGGTTAATTATGTTGTTCAAATCCTTTATGTTCTTGAGTATTTTTGACTGTTTGATATACTGGTTTCTAAGAGAGGTGTGTTAAAATCTGCAACACTGACTGTGGATAGGCTATTTCTTGATAATTCTGTCGGTTTTGTTTTATATATTTTGAGAGTATATTTTCAGTATCTAGAGTCATTTTATATCATCTTCGTGGATTGTTACCTATTTATAAGCGAGACATATATTTCTGTCATTTGATGTTTTTAGGCAAAAACATGTTCATGTTTCAAATGATGTTCATGCTGCCACCTTTCACTAGGTGGTAATCAAGAGAAAATTTTTCCTGTCCTATACTTGTATTTTTTTATCTTTCAGTGTTACTTTTAAAACAGCATATGGAAGGATAATCTATCTCTCTGGCTTTGTAGATTAATTTATATTATGATTACTTACATGTTTTATTTTGTATTTCCTATTTCCATGTTTTTCCTTTGCTTCTTTTTATCTTCTTTCCTGCCCTCTATTGAATGGAGTGATAGCATTTAAAATATTACCTATCTTTTCTCTTTCCCCTACTGATTAAGGACTTGTACCTTCTATTTCTATATTTCTATTACTGTACTGGATACCCTTATATTTAACATACTTATTTAAATATATATTTTTTAAAAGTCTATAACATTAATCTGTATCTTTTCTACTCAAAACAAGGACTTCAGCACACATTTACATCTTTAATACCATATTATTATTGCTAAGATTTAGTTCTAGCTTTTGAAGCATATTAGCTTTATCTCATATTTTAACACTCTTTGCTTTTGTATTCCACTTCTTTCTGCATTTATTTTTGTCTTTGCTGAAGAACATCCTTTAGTTCTCTTGTCACCAAGAGTTTGTGAGTTGAAAACTTAGCTTTGTGTATCTGAAGATGCGTTTATTTTGCTCCCACTCTGTATATAAACCACTGTATGAAACTGTAAGCTCACAGTTATTTGTCTACAGCACTTTGAAGATACTAGTCAGTTTTCTGGTATCTACTGTTGCCAAAGCCTACTGCCAGTTTGACTACCATTCCATTATTCAGAATTTTTTGTTATACTTGTATTCAGAATTTCAGATTTTCTCTTTATCATTAATTTCCTATGATTTTATTATCATGTATGTAGTTGTGGATTTATCTATCCTGTGTTACATGTGGCAGCATTTTCTATTTTGAAGACTCAGCTTCATTTCTGAAAAAATTCTTAGCTGCAGTTATTGTTATTATTATTGCCACTTTTTTATTCATTCTTTTTTCTCCTTTGTAACTCCTAGCAGATGTATGTTGGAGCTCCTCAGGTCATCTTTCATGTCCATCTTTCTCTTTCATTTTCTTCTAACTCTCTCTAAACTGCATTCTGAAAGATTTTCTCAGTTCTTTTTCCTAATTCTCTAATTTTCTCTTAAGCTATAGAAAGTATGTGCAGTCTAACTGTTCTTTTACTTCAATATTGTATTTTTACATTTCAATATAATATTTTTCACTTCAAGATGTCTAAATGCTTCTTTCTCACAGCTTTCTCTTCTTGTTTCATTATCTATTCTTCATTCTGTAAAATGTAATTTCTTCTGAACATATATTGATAATTTTAACTTATTTTTAAACTCTCATCAGATTGTTCTTCTTTTCTCAGGTATAAATTCTCTAATTTGTTGGGTTCTCTTGACTGCTTTTTCATGATCTTAGGTTTTACTGGGTTCTTTGTAATGTTTTGGGGGCTCAATTTTTATGATAACTAAAAAATGTAAGTACCTGTATCTACAGGGCAGTTTTAAGTTGCCTCAGCTTAAATCTGATAATGTGCCAACCTTGAACCAGACCTTAAGTTGGTAGCTCTGGGCCTTCTTTCCTCCTAGGTAGCCCAGTTCTGAATTTTTAGCCCAAAAGTATTTTGGGTCCAAGTTCTATCTTGAGTGGTTTCCTGCGCTTGCTTGTGACTGCCAATTATTCTTTACTTCCGCTCAGGAACAAGCAGCATATTCCTGGCTGTGACACTGCTGGGATAAGTTAGATTAACCCAGCTCCTATTTGTATTGTGCTCTTGGGTCCTGGGTTCATGCACAGACAGGATCATTGCAAAAAAACCTGGTCCCAATTGCCCATATCCATTCATAGCACCCCCCGATCCCCTACCATCACAGTGGCTTTTCTATTACTGGCCAAAAGACACTTTCCTTTCTTATTTTTAAGAATAACTATGTATTTTTAAAAAACTTTAAAAATATTTATGCATAATTTCTCTGTTTTTGAATGAGAGGAATAAGATTCAGGAGTATTCACTCTGCCACCCTGACCTAGAAGTCCCAGAGTAGCTTTCACTTTTGAAATAACAGCAGTTCAATTTTCCTGACCTCACCAGTCTGTAAACATTAGCATATATACCCAAAGTGCAAACTTGAATAAGCTGTAGTAGAGACAAATTTCCATTATTTGGAATTTGTTTACATTGAAATAAATAATAGATGTACTAGGAAATCAGAAATGGAAGGAAGATGACTTTTAAAAGGTTAAGAAACTTGGGACAGCAGCAGACTTTACTGTAAAGCTTATGTACAAACTCCATCACTGCTTCCCATAAATGGAATCAGACTGAGCAAAGAAGAGGGTACTTTCCACAGCACCAGGAAGAGCCACTGCAGCCAGCAGAGTCCTGTAATAAGTACCAACCTGCACTCCTGCACCTGGAAGACAGCCATCAGCTTAGTGGAAAGAATGCTGGACTGGGAATTCAGAAATGTTCTAGTTCATTTTCTACCACTTAGTCATTGTACAGCTTAGGCTAAGCCAGGCTCTCTTTTGGGCCCCAGGTTTTCCATCTGTAAAATAAGAGAGTTGGGCTAGAACAACTTCTGATGTACCTTCCAGAAATAATTTTCTATGACCTTAACAGTTTGGTACTTTATAAGTAGGTTGAGTCCTCCATTCTTCAGCTTGCTCAGTAATAATCTGCCAGGTAAAAGAAGAAAATCATGTGTTTCTGAAATCAGTTTTCAAATCAAATGAAAGAATCACTAGATGCATATTTTTGTTTGATCACCACTCTACAAAGGAACAGCCTGGTAGCTGGGTGAAGTTTCTGTGTGGGTGTACACACAATCTAAATTTTAAATAGAAAAAGCAAACCAACCCAGACCAAAACAAAAACCCTCCATACAAGTCCCAGACACAACAAATGGTAAGAGTTCTTTTCTACAAACATGTCTGTTTCTAAGAGCTGAGAAGACCAAAAAAGAAAAAAATGTATCAAAATGACCAGATATAAGTGTAGATAAAGAAAAAACTAAGGAGCATGCAGCAAAGTTACAGGATATGAGAGATTTGACTCTGCACACTGCAAAGTCTGTACAATTAGAAATTTCATGCTAACAGAAATGTAGGGAAGACAATGAGAAAAGAAAGGATAAAATTGGAGTTCCACTAGATGGAAGTTAAGAGTGGATTAAGAATTTTTAAATTGAGGCCAGGCACAGTGGTTCACGCCTGTAATCCCAGCACTTTGGGAGGCAGAGGCGGGCGGATCACTTGAGGCCAGGAGCTTGAGATCAGCCTGGCCAACAGAGCAAAACCCCATCTTTACTAAAAATACAGAAAAAAAAATTTAGCTGGGTGTAGTGGTGAACACCTATACTCCCAGCTACTCAGGAGGTGGAGGCATGAGAATCGCTTGAACTCTAGAGGCGGAGACTGAAGTGAGCCAAGATCATAGAACTGCACTCCAGCCTGGGTGACAGAGTGAGACCCTGTCTCAAAAGAAAAAGAAAAAAAAATTTAAAATTGGGTTGAAGTGGCAAGGAAAACTCAAGATTAAATCTCAGAGCTTTCTAGAGCCTTGACTATCAACCACAATAAAAATTTATATGAATTGTTTAATTTCACCACAATGCAGTAAAAAACCAAACTGATTCAGATTTTATAGGTCTGAAGGATGGAAAGTTGGCACACAACTAGCCATAATCCCGAGTCTTCAAATAACATACTAAAGACATACTGTTTTCAAAAAAAACAACAAAAAGCATCTTATCATCTACATTGCTATTTGTGAGGCACAGTGTATTGCATCGACACTGCTACGTATGTATAGACAGACTATATTAAGGGTGAGTGTCCAGCAGATTTCTATCCACTATTGCATACTTCCACCACAGCTGAAATAGCCAATCAGTCAAAAGAGAGGGATAAAGTTCTCTGACAAAATTCCCACTCAGTTCACGAAATAGCCACTGAGCAGTCTTCACTTTCATGCAAACTTTTTGTAAGTGTGTTACTAAAGCATCAAGGGGGGAAAAATTACACAAATAACAAGGCCTCATTAAAGAGAATTTGGGAAATAAAGAAAAGCAGAAAAAAAGTCACGCTTAGTCTCATCACAGAAATACAGCCACTGCTAACACTTTGCTCACTTTCTCCCTGGTCTCTTTACCTGGGCCTGCTACATCCTTATGGTTGTAATCATATGATATATACAATTGTGTATCTAGTTCATTTAGTAATACTATACTGTAAGCATTTATCCAAGTTATTATACTATCTTTGTAACTCACTTTTAAATGGCTGCCTTATAATCCACTCTATTTTAAGGAAACACCCCTAAATGTTGGTGGGGAATGGTAAAGCAAACTATGATTCACAGTGTTCCATTAGACGGATAAATCATAGTTTACTTAACTGCTGCGAGAATACTGCACAGTAGGCTGTTTCCAATATTTCCGCTATTATAAATAGCTAAACCAGCTAAATCTGTTTTGTTCAATAGTGCCTAATAGCCTTCCATATAGTAGGTACTCAAGTATTTGTAGAATGAATATTTACAGGGCTGCCTATATAGAACATACCTTTTGATAACAATTTTTGTGCATAAAATCCCCCTCCTTCCCATATTTAGAACTGTTTCCCAGAGATACATTTTCATAGGGTGCTATTCTGGGTCAATTTTGGACTTTTGTCAATCTAGCCATTTGCTCCTCAGAAAATAATGACTAATTTGCATTCCCAACAGTAAAATATGGGAAGGCCCGTTTCACCACATTCTTAGCTAAATTGGGCATTATCTTTTCAAAGTCTTTGCCTATCATGATTGCTAAAAAAATATTACTTTGGACGGGTGCGGTTGCTCACGCCTGTAATCCCAGCACTTTGGGAGGCTGAGGCAGGCAGATCATCTGAGGTCAGGAGTTCAGGACCAGCCTGGCCAACATGATGAAACCGCGTCTCTACTGAAAATACCAAAATTAGAGGGGCATGGTGGTGGTCACCTGTAATCCCAGCTACTTGGGAGGCCGAGGCAGGAGAACTGCTCAAAACTGGGAGGCAGAGGTTGCAGTGAGCCGAGATCACGCCACGACACTCCAGCCTGGGTGGCAGAGCAAGACTCTGTCTCAAAAAAAAAAAAAAGATACCTCATTATAATTTTAATTATAGTTTTGAACACCAGTAAGGTTACACACTTTTTCTTATGAATGTTATTTGTCTATTTTGAAATAGCTTTCTAATAATCACAATCTAAATCTACTTTATTCCTGAAAGGTCAGTTGTGGGTTGCAGTAACAACAAAAGCCCCAATATTTTTAGGAAATAAATTCTGGAAGGAACTTAAGGAACTAACGTAAATACATTGCTGAGAACAGTTTATTCACAGAGCAAGTCTGGAACACTGTAATGTGCTTTTACTAATGGTAAAGTTGGAGGCTAGAGTTCTCAGTTCCTCATTCTTTCTTCATATTTATCTGTTATATAGTTTTGTTTTTTTTGTGATATTTGTCTGTGGGTGCTGCTGTAATTTGCGAGGGGAGAGCTGGGAGGAAAAGATTCCTTTAATACTTCTTCTAAAACTTTTCTTTTAGGAAATCATTCTAGATTAACCCAGAAACTCTTAAGAGCTGTTTTCCACAACTGTACTCTGTAAAAACTTCTTTAGCCCAGATAATCTTGGGGTGACTTAGCAGAACTTTGTTAACCCTGAATTAGACTTTCTCTCTGAAAATATTTTGTAAACAAGTAAGCTAGACACAGAAAAGGCAGAAGCATATTCAGAGAAAAAATGTAGGTCTGGGCAACATTACCAGTAATGAGAACCTGATGAAAACTGACAATCACACCTCACTAACTAATCCAATAACTAGCTCTTTTCATAACTGTCAGCATAACATGTGGAAAATGCTCCTCTGCAGCAGAAGTATAATTGCCTTTCATTCCTTCGAGATGCTCTTGCAGGAGTAGGCAAGAATGTTGATCTGCCATCTATTCTTAACAAGGAGAGAAAGCAGAAATGTGGACTAAGGATTGTTAGGGGAAAGCAATTTAGATGGAATCAGGTACTACAATGTGCCAAATGATATGATGATTAGATCTGTTTGAACCCTGTTTAAGCCTTTATGAGGATTTTTTTTTAATGGCAAACTATCTTGGAGCTCTGCCCACAAGGCAAATGGCTACTAACCAAAGACTATTTATTTGCAGAAAATCCATCAAAGTCGTTACATGCAGATGAGTCACAAAGAGAAGATATCATCCTTTCATGATCCCCAGCCCCACTTCACCAAACTGCTCTCACAAGTCAGCAACATCTCCTTACTGGCAAACCTATGATGGCTCTCAAACTACTGGATGTGATTACAGAGGACTATTGGTAGCTATAATTTATCTTTCCAACCCTTTATCTCTTTCTCTTCTTTTGATAACAGAATCCGTATTTCCTGTGGGGAATCTATTCCACTTAGCTGACCCTCTCCTAACCCTACCCCTATAACAAGTGGTAGCTGCTGCTCTTGTTTCTTCTTCATCACTATGACCAGCACTACCACTATTGTTATCATTATGATCATCATGGCGGCTAAGATTTATTGATAATTTACTATGTGCCAGACACTGTTCTGTCCACTTTATATGTATTATCTCATTTAAAGAAATGACCTATGTGATAAGTACTATGATTTCTCTCATTTTAAAGTTGAGGAAACTGAGACACAGGGAGTATATAATTTGGCAAGGTTACACAGTAAGTAGCAGAGGAGGGACTTGAATTAAACTTGGTTTCAGGGTTCAGGCTTCACTGCCTCTCTCGCTAAATCTCATCTAATTTCTGGCTATAGAAATTGGTTCAGGGAAGTTCATCTGATGCAGGAAAGGTCAATCGGATATACCAACACTACGAGGCCAGGTGTCGTGGTGCACACCTGTAATCCCAACATTTTGGAAGGCCAAGGTGGGAGGACAACATAAGCCCAGGAGTTTGAGACCAGCCTAGGCAACACAGTGAGACTCCATCTCTACAAAAAATAAAAAGAATTAGCTGAGCATGGTGGCACACATCTATCGTCTCAGCTACTTGGGAGGCTGATCACTTGAGCCTAGGAGGTAGAGGCTGCAGTGACCCGTGATCACACTATGGACTCCAGCCTGAGTAACAGAGCAAGATCCTGTCTGCAAAAACCAAAACCAAAACCAAAACCAAAAAAAAAAGGTATATGGACACTAGGATAGAGAAGGTCTTTCTTCCTCTGAAGCCTATGCAAAGAAGGCAGCAGGGATCTGATAAGTTTCAGCTTCCTAGATTTAGCTATGCCTGAAGCTAGGCCAGGCTAAATATGCAGATTTTCTAGCTACATAAGCCTATATGCTTGAGCTATAAGAAGTTAAGTTTCTGTCACACTGAGTCTTTGAAAGTTTTCATTCCCTTGTTTGGTTGAATACTACTCTTTTTTTAAAAAACAAACACTTTTATTTTAGGTTCTGGAGTACATGTGAAGGTTTGTTATATAGGTAAACTTGTGTCACAGGGGTTTGTTGCATAGATTAATCACCCATGTATTATGCCTAGTACCCAATAGTGATCTTTTCTGCTCCTCTCCCTCCTCCTACCCTCCACCCTGAAGTAGACCCCAGTGTCTGTTGTTTCCTTCTTTGTGTTCATAAGTTCTCATCACTTAGCTTCCATTTATAAGTGACAACATGTGGTATTTGGTTTTCTGTTCCTGCATTAGTTTGCTAAGGATAATGGCTTCCAGATCCATCCTTGTTCCCACAAAAGACATGATCTCACTCTTTTTTATGGCTGCATAGTATTCTAAGGTGTATATGTACCATATTTTCTTTATCCAGTCTGTCACTGATGGGCATTTAGGTTGACTCTATGTCTTTGCTATTGTGAATAGTGCTACAATGAACATTCACATGCATGTGTCTTTAGGGTAGAATGATTTATATTCCTTTGAGTATATACCCAGCACATAGACCAATGGAATAGAATAGAGAGCCCTGAAATAAGGTTGCACACCTACAACCATCTGATCTTTGACAAAGCTGACAAAAACAAGCAATGGGGAAAAGACTTCCTATTCAGTAAATGGTGCTGGGATAACTGTCTAGCCATATGCAAAAGACTGAAGCTAGCCACCTTCCTTGCACCATATACAAAAATCAACTCAGGATGGATTAAAGACTTAAATGTAAACCCCAAACTATAAAAACCCTGGAGACAACCTAGGCAATACCATCCTGGACATAGAAATGGGCAAAGATTTCATGACAAGGACACCAAACGCAATCGCAAAAAAAGCAAAAACTGACTAGTAGGATCTAATTGAACTTACGGGCTTCTGCACAGCAAAAGAAACTATCAACAGAGTACAGACAACCTACAGAATAGGAGAAAATATTTGCAAACTATGCATCTGACAAAGGTCTAATATCTAGCATCTATAAGAAACTTAAATTTACAAGAGAAAAACAAAACCCAATTAAAAATGGGCAAAGGACAGGAACAGAGACTTTTCAAAAGAAGACATACATGCAGTCAACAAGCATATGAAAAAAAAGCTCAATATCGCTGATCATTAGAGAAATGCAAATCAAAACCACAATGAGATACCATCTCACACCAGTCAGAATGGCTATTAGTAAAAAGCAAAAAAAAAAAAAAAACAAAAAAACAAAACAAAACAAAACAAAAACCAGATGCTGGCAAGGTTGCAGAAAAAAGGAAATGCTTATACACTATTGGTGGGAGTATTCACTGTGTAAAGCAGTGCTGGCAATTCCTCAAAGAGCTAAAAGCAGAACTCTCCTTTCCAGGCTCTTTTCCTTCTTCTCTGACCATTTCCCTGCAGATCTCTTCCATAGGTACCTCTCCCCTTCTGCCATCTCAAACAGTGGTGTGCCCTGGCTCTGTTCTAAACTGTGTACTCTTTTCATAGCAGTGGCCCTCCTTAGCACCCCACAATCATTCTGATAATTGGCCTTCCCTGGGGAACATGTTCCTTTTGCTTGCCCTTGCTTCAGAATCATTGAGACATTGAACCACAGTTACACAGTGAGTACCTCATATCCATCAGAATGCTGGGGAAGAAAAGAAGTTGGGAATCACTGTTCTAAAAGTTAATCTTGGGAAATGTATTTTTCATAGCTTAAAACTATTATCAGCAACCTGATACCTTCCAACTCTTTATCTCTAGCCCTGGAACTTCCCTATACTTCATACCCATGTATCTAATTGCCTATAGGACATTTACTTTCTTATGTCTGATAGGTACCTTGAACTCAGCATGTCCAAAAGCAAAATCATTATCTTCATCCCCAAACATATTCTTCCTCCTGAATTCTCAATCCTATTAATGGCATATTATCTATGCAGTCATCATAATAAAAAATGAATATCATGCATTGCATTGTTCTCTATTCACAGAAGACATATGTAAATACTAGATATTCTTGTAAATATAATGAACAAGAAACAGGCTGGGCATAGTGGCTCACGCCTGTAATCCCAGCACTTTGGGAGGCTGAGGCGGGCCGATCACCTGAGGTCAGGAGTTCAAGATCAGCCTGGCCAACATGGCGAAACACCATCTCTACTAAAAATACAAAATTTAGCCAAGGATGGTGGCTGACGACTATAGTCCCAGCTACTTGGGAGGCTGAAGCAGTAGAACTGCTTGAACCCAAGAGGTGGAGGTTGCAGTGACATGAGATTGCACCACTGCACTCCATCCTGGGCACTGGAATGACACTGCATCTCATTCCAGACCCAGCCTTCAAGGAGTTCAGTTAGTTGGCAAATACAACATAGTATGATTACCACTCCATATTAAAGATAAATTCACAGTGCTAGGGGAAACCTAGTCTGGTCCAGGGAGGGGGTCAAAGGAAGGCTTCTTAGGGGAGGTGGTGCTTAACCTAAAACATGAATATGTTTTTAAAAAGTGGAGTAGGCAGAGGAAGAGGCAGTAAAGTAAGAGGAAGAGAATTCTAAAGAATGAAAATAACATGTATGAAAGCTCAAAGATGGGAGGAGGGGAGACTGATGAAATACTACCATATGAGCTGCCTTTATTTATTTAAAAATTTACCAAATGTAGGCACTGTGCTAAACCCTTTATATACATTATTACTGCTGTTCCTTATATCAAGCCTATAAAACAAGGATAATAGTCTCATTTTTACAGATTAAAGAACTTTCAGAGCTCAGAGAGGTTAAATTACTTTTCCAAGACCACCCAGCTAATAAGAGACGCAACAAGCTTTGAACCTAGGTCTTCTGGCTCCAAAGCCAATTCCATGCATCTTCCCAAATACCTTGGGACTGATCTTTATGCTTTTATCATCCACATCTAGTAAAACATCAAATTCTGCTGAGTTTTCATATTTCTTACCTTGTTCCATTCTCTCCATACCTACCATTAGAAACTCAGCACATTATCTTTCACCTGGACCCTAGGCTCTAATTGCTTTCTAGGTATAAAGGGGTATGTGTGTATGTATCACAATAAGTCAGATCGGCATGATCTCACTTTCACAACAAGAGATTCAACAAGTGTCTGTATATGTATCACGGAAGAAATATTCCTGCTCTTTTCTAAGGCTAGCCCTGGAATATCCTAGAGCCTAGTCAAGTGACTTCTTTTCTGCTTTAATTATGCTTTTTGGTGATCTCACCCAGTCTTCTGACTCAAAATATCAGCACTAAAGCAATGACTTCTACATCTGTATTTCTCCAGCTTTAATGTCTCCCATAAAGTCCAAATTCCTAGTTGACAATTGTCTACTTGACATCTCAACTTGGATGTCTAATAGAAATATCCCTCGCCCTATTAAAATGTGAGTATTGCAGTAGGCAGAGGCAAGAGAATTGCTTGAATTTGGGAGGTAGATGTTGCAGTGAGCCAAGATCATGCCATTGCACTCCAGCCTGGCCAACAAGAGTGAAACTCCATCTCAAAAAAAAAAAAATTGTGGTATATATACATCATGGAATACTACTCAACCATAAAAAGGAATGAAATAATGACATTCATAGCAAATTGGATGGAGTTGGAGCCCATTATTCTAAGTGTAATAACTCAAGAATGGAAAACCAAATACCGTATGTTCTCACTTGTAAGTGGGAGCTAAGCTATGAAAAAGCAAAGGCATAAGAATGATATAATGGACTTTGGGGACTCAGGGGGAAGGATGGGATGGGGATGAGGGATAAAAGACTACATATGCCGGGCACGGTGGCTCATGCCTGTAATCCCAGCACTTTGGGAGGCTGAGGCAGGTGGATCATGAGGTCAGGAGATCGAGACCAGCCTGGCTAACACGGTGAAACCCCATCTCTACTAAAAATACAAAAAAATTAGCCAGGCATGGTGGTGGGCACCTGTAGTCCCAGCTACTCAGGAGGCTGAGGCAGGAGAACTGCTTGAACCCGGGAGGTGGAAATTGCAGTGAGCCGAGATTGCGCCACTGCACTCTAGCCTGGGTGACAGAAGGAGACTCTGTCTCAAAAAAAAAAAAGACTACCTAGTGGGTACAGTGTACACTGCTTGCGTGATGAGTGCACCAAAATCTCTCAGAAATCGCCACCAAAGAATTTATTCACGTAACCAAAAACCACTTGTTCCCCAAAATTATTGAAATAAACTTTAAAAGATTCTGCTAATATATAAAGTATACATTATATATTATATTGATATAATTGTTATATTTATATTAATAAAGTATATTATAAATTATTGTAGAAATTTGGATATAATTTATATTGTATTATAAATTAATAAATATAAATTATATTATAAATTAATAAATAGTATAATATTATATTATATATTATAATATATTAGTATAAATATATTATATAATATATATACTTGCCTGAATAAAACTTGTATTGGATAACTCCAATATCTACAATACATATCAAAAATAAATAAATAAATAAAATGTGAGTATTATGAAGTCAGGAATTTTGTCTACCTTGTATATTTTTGCATCCCTAATGCATAGTGCCTGACACATAGTGGCTCATCAATAAATATATGTTGACTGAATAAACACATGCTGCATGAGAGCAAAAGACATCCCAAATGGGACTCGATTGTCCTAGAGGGTCTTTGAGAATTTGGTACTCTAGGTTAAATGTGTATTTCGGGAGGACAGAAAGGAGTAGTGGTTGGCTCTAAGCTCCTTTAGTGTGCTACAGTTAATCCTACTCTTTAATGATTGACCTACCTGGGATGTTAGCAATCCCTAAACATTATACCTCTAGGAACACTATCCATCAGACTTGCCTGTTAAGAATCACTTTGGAAGACCTTTACAATATAGATTTTCAGGACTTCCACCTGCTACCACCATGTCACCTCCGTATCCAGAATCTCAAGGGGAGAGGTCTAAAAATCTACATTGTAAACAAATAACCCCAGTGATTGCTATTGACAAGTTTGAAGGAGACTACTATAGAAGCTTTACCCATTAGGTTATTATAGTTGAAAATGGCTCAGCTTGCTCGATATCAGTATCTACACACGCCCTTAGCTCTAAGTCAAGAACTCCAGAAATGATACATAAACTGCCCAAATAATATTTCGTTAGTTTTAGTCCAAAGTACTAGAGGTCACCAGTGATCTAAGAGAAGCCTTCTCATACAACATGTCATATATGGAGTTTTCTAAATGTATATATTCTATGAAGGCACATCTGTGTGAACATTTATTCTCAAGAAAGGATCTGATTTTGTTTATTTGGCACAAAATTAATTATGCCATCCCATGCTCAATTCCCACACCTTATATGAGTCTTTACTGTGACATATTAATGTCAGTTTTCATCACTTTTTTCCTTAAAATTGTTGAAGAATCAGGATTTCAGCTTCTCTTCCCCCAAATCCATCCCTCCTAACTATCATTTCAAGCAAGCACAGGGTCATCACTTTGAAGATTTCTGTCATCCCCTCCACAAATCCCCAAAATGTTTTTCCTGCACATATTCAGTAGACTAAGCGCTGACAAGGCAAAAAGACTAGTAAATTCCATAATCTACTCCTAATTAAGGAATTCAAATGACAACAAACAATTAAAGTGAATGACAGCAACTAACAGTCTTCTGACAGGCACTGTTACAAGAACCTGTGAGCCTTAAAGGCAAACTTACTTATGGTCATAGTCTACAAAAGCTGAATTTCAAGTATTAAGTGATTACATATTCCCAATTATAATCTTAGCTAACCTCAAAGACTGGTCCTTGGGAAGTAAAAAGGAATAGGATCAGATGAGAAAAACAGATAGGGACATGCTAGGAGAACCATTTCAGGCTTTCTCCTCAAAAGGTAATGAACTAAAACATAACAGAGAGACTATATTTAAAATGACATGGAAGCAACTCCCCCTCTCTCCTTCACTTTCTCATTCAGGAAGTTTTACAGTTTGCTTCATTAATGCTGCCCCAAACAACATTTATCCCTCTAAACACATGATGTTCCCCAACAAACTGTTGCTGATAACAAAGAATCAGGGGAATTGGCACAATGCTGAGTTATCAGAGAAGTGCTTGGATGAGAGAAAATGACATTTGGAGTTATGTTGACATTAGCAAATACCTTCTGTATCAGTAACCTAGAGCAGAGGCCAGCAAACTGCAGCGTGGCCTGCAGACCAAATCCAGTCCACCGGCCTGCTTTTGTAAATAAAGTTTTATTGGAACATAGTCACTCCCATTTAGTTACATATTGTCTATGGCTGCTTTCCCATTACAACAGTGGAGTTCAGTCATTGCAACAGATTACGTGGCCAGCAAAGTGGAAAATATTTACTATCAGGCCCTTTTCATAAAAAGTTTGCTGACCTACAGCATCACATGCCAAAAATGAAGTGAGGCTGCTACCACTGTCCCACCCCCAACATGTTCTGCTGGAGAACAGGTGTAAACATCTGCTTCCCCTATCAGCCTCAGAAAGGCAGAGTGTTGACTCTTCACAACAGCCAGCAAGTAGTAGCTATACCAGACATTTGGAGAAATGAGAAATACAGCATTCAGTCACCATAAACAGCCCCATGTTTCACCCATTTGGCATATCACTTTTGAAAGTCCTCCAACTCCTAAAATGCCATCTTAAAGTATACAATGTTTTATTTGGTGATATAATACTCAAACATGTTGTTTGCCTCTTAAAATGCTTCTGTTTCCTGAAAAAAATTTTCAGAAACATAGCAAGAGCTATAAGCTCCAAGACCATAAGTACTTGTATTATGTATTATGCTAGGTATTAATTTGCCAATGGATTTTTAAAACTTCCCTGCTTTCCTCTTGGTAGCCAATAATACTGACATAGTTTAAGGTGTAAGAGTGCAGGTTGTAATAAAACATTGTTAAAAATTTAAACTATAAAAAAGTTAAGAGTTTCTTAAAAGTACATATTCTATGAAGACACAACTGTGTGAACATTTATGTACCTTAAAGGATCATACTAGGTTACAAAACTATGGTTTCTCTATGAAGAGATTTATGTCACTAAATGGCTGCTATCTGCTTTACTGAAGACTGAGACAGTATGGAGAAAAATTAAAATTGGGAGGTAGTGGCCATTCATCTTTACATTTTTACAAGCTTTATACAGGAAGCTTTACAGCTTGTGATAGGTAGTCCAACTATCCTACCTTTGAGATTCTACCAAAATAACACTTCTAAAGGTAACGTCTATTAGTACCTTAAGCTCAACATTCCTGCTGGGGCAAACCTATAAACATTCCATTTGCTGAAAAAGGACTTCAAATCCCACATCAAGCTTTCTACCTCAATCTTGGGGCTAGAACTCTAACATTAGCTAAGCCTAAGCCATAGGTTAAGGCTCTCCAGCCATGCTATCAACAGGATAAATGAATACTTCTATAACCGAGGTAACTCTTAGACTCCAACTGAAAGAGAAACAATTATTCCTGGGGCTCTCTATGATCAAAGCCATCATAGGACTACTTTGATAAAAGAGTTGAACCTAAGTGCTTTGAAGACAACCTTATAAAACTGTCATCATAGTAATGATGGTGTCCCAGGAATGCTCAAGTTGACAATGATCCTTTTCTAAAGAATGTCATTAGTTGGTTTTGAATATGTTTTTTAAAAAGAAAAACTTTGGAAAAATACCAGTAGGAAATTCACTAGAATGTTAATAATTTCTTCTGAAAAGTATGGTTATGGATGGTTATGGACAATTTTTCTTAGCTTTCATAGCTGAAACAATCCCTTTTCATAACAAATATTTTCAACACCTCCTTACTATCCTGAAATAAAAATCACTGATATAAAACTTACATAAAATCATTTAAAAAAATAACATAATATGAAGAAGAAATAAGAGCAAAGCACTTTATAATAAAATATGTATTTTAATGTGTTAATGCTTGGGCCAGTAAACTAGAAGGCATAAAGAAGCAGTCAGAGATTTGGATGCATCATATAATTATCATGGAGGCGGAGGTTAAATGCAGATCTATAGAACGTGTGGCATGATGTACTCATTATGTAAGTGGCATTGCTGTCAGGGATAAATAAAACTAAGAGCAGTTTCTCCTCATTTACATGGTGGTTGAATTTTTAGAACTGTCTTCCTCCCCACTGCCCCTCAAAAATGAGCTTAAACATAAAATCAAGTTTGTTTTTAGACTCAGATAACTGATAGGTTTTCATCTATGACTGTCAAGGGAGACAGTCAAAAGTCAAGCAAGCTTCAGGATACTTGTTTGATATGGGGCATTTTAGGATATCTAGCATCTCTCACCCTTTCCATTTAATGCATGCAGAACATCCCCCATCGCTGTATTCCCTGAAAGTAGCCCTATGAATTTTTACAACTTCCTCTAGCAATTCTCCTGCTGCTTTTGAGAGCTACTGCTTTATATTTTTCTATACTTCATGAATTTTCTTTAATGAAATTTACTATCTTTTATAAACTTTTTTTTAAAAAAAGCTCTGGCAGAGTTTTAAGCTCATCTGTGTTCCTATAATAAAAAGACATAAGGTCACAAGTCACTAACACAAACTAATATCTTGAAAGCAATTGGAGGCAGAAGAAATCAAAAAAAGAAAAGGTCAAGAAGTTAAGTATACTATCCTTAGTAGCTGGATAAACCTTTCACATCTTTGGATGAGATGCATGAGAGAAGTCCAAACAGATACCTCAAAGAACAATTTATTCTATCTTAAAAAAGATTTATGATTAAAGCAGAATTCACTGATGTAAAGGGACACTAGTTCCAAAAAATTACAAGGTCTCAAAGGAATACATGTGAGCTTTGATTACGGAGATTTCCTGGGCAACAGCACGACCTAAAATTAATAGAGTCCATAAAAGGAAGATGCCAAAAGAAACTTTGTGCTTAAGATGGTTTATACAGCTTGGGCTACAGCAAGACACAACCCATATATAGAAAATCACAGCATCTGCAGTATTTTAAGAAACTATAGTTGCAAAGCAAGAGCAAATGTACAGTGAGAGGAAAGATCCTTCAAGGCCAGTGTGGAGTCAACCACTAGAGAAGATTCTTCAGTGCATGCTGGATAACAGGCAGCTTCTCACATACTGAGTTGGTTGGCTGCCATTTCTCAATCTCTATCTTTTTCCCTGGGACTGCGCATTGTCATCAATTGCAGAAATCCAGGACAGCTTGCTTTTCTACATGTGGAATGCCTGCCAATTCCCAGAAGCTGGCTACCGCAAGACGGTTTATTAACAGCAAAGGCTGTTAACAGCCATTGCTTATCAAGTTTACCCTTACTTTTATATCCTTATGAACATTATCATGTTATCAAATTTCTCAGACTTTTCAAAACCCTTTCATTCTGGGGACGAGCTATCTTTTCCTTTTTTTAAAAAAAAATCTGCCTAAAGATTAAACAGGTTAAGAGGAGAAAAATCTATATTTTATTATCTCTCTAAGTCTGTTAAAAGCAACAGAGGCTTGCTTAAAAAATAGATTTTGGTTGTTATGTAATATACTGCAAAAAATATTACTTTACTACATAAATAACTATTAGATAGCTCATGTACCATGTCTTTAAACTTAGTCAAACTGTTGTTCTAACTCCACAGTGCAATCTTGTCTGGGAAATACCTTACCATATTAAGCAATCGAGCCCCAGAGAGAGAGGAAAACGAATCAGACTTAGGATTTTACCTAAAAGGAGAATGGCAAAAATACTGACTGGTGGTGGAGAGTGGACAGAAATTTGCTGGATACCCTCCAGCAGATAAAGTGGTTTCACAAGATTAAGTAACAATATTAAAAAATTCTGCTCGAGCGAAAGGATCCAGCAAATAGCCAGAAGCAATGCTGTGAAAAATTGGAGAAAAAGGGCTGCTATTTACTCAAAGGAAGAAGGTGGGAAAAAATAGTAAAGATCTCTGAAACTAGGACTGTTGGAAGCACTGGCAAAGAAGCATAAATGGAATGGGTTATTTAGGCATAAAAATGAAAGCCTGCTTGCTTGACAGAGAAGTTGCAGGGACTTGACTTGATCAGATGCTCAACAGGTTCCAAACACAATTTGAAACATTTAGTTCTTGTTCCTTTCCTTTCTACTCATTTCTTTCCCCCTACTTCAGCAATCTCCTTTAAAACTTATTCCTCAAAATTCTTCAGTTATGTGTCAGAACACATGTTGGAGTTATAGAGGATGTGGGGCTACTTCTGTGACTCTCCAAATAATCCATTCTTTAAGGATAAATTAATAACTTCAAAATCACATGATCCTAAGGCCAATAAAAGTATTCCGAAAGCCTTACTCTCATCCAGATGTAGGAACTTATAAATTTGGAAAATAATTTAAATGGATTGTAATCATCTCTGTTTAAATGTATTAGCTCATTTTCATTTCACAATTCTAAGAGGTAGACTATTATTATCCCTACTTTACAGATGAGGAAACTGAGGCATAGAAAGGTTAAATAACCTATCCAAAGTAGTTAAATGGTTAAGCTGGGGTTAAATGCAGGGAGTCTACCTCCTGGGTGTGTCCTCTTAACTATTATGCTGTATTATTTGTCATAACATTATGTGATATAAGAGATATAACAGATATAAAGATACAAATTTGGAAGGTAGTGCAACAGCTGTGCACTAGGACTACAACTATGTGACACTAGCAAGGTACTTAATCTCCTGGGCCTCAGCTGTTAACTTTAAAATGACAGTGTTAACTAGGTGGCCTTTAAAGTATTTTTTAGCTTTAAATTTAGTCTATAACTGTCATTCTAGCCACCCCAGAGAAATCAAATTTTAATATACAGTAACACATTTTAGGTGTTGTTTTATTTCTAATAAAAGTTTTTCCAAGAGTCTTCTTTTTTTTGGGGGGATAGGGTCTTGCTCTGTTGCCCAGGCTGATGTGCAGTGGTGCGATCTTGGCTCACTGCAACCTCCGCCTCCCGGGTTCAAGTGATTCTCATGCCTCAGCCTCCTGAGTAGCTGGGATTACAGGTGGGTGCCATCACACCCAGCTAATTTTGTATTTTTAGTAGAGATGGGGTTTCACTGTTGACCAGGCTGGTCTCGACCTCCTGACTTCAAGGTCCATCTGCCTCGGCCTCCTAAAGTGCTAGGATTACAGGTGTGAGCCACCATGGCTGGCCCCAAGAGTCTTCTTAACTGAAATTGAAGTGACAGTTATTCAAAGATGTAATAGAGCTGAAGAAAATTTGGCAAAGGAGACCAAGAGGTAAGTTAACAGATCATTTGCAGACATAGTAATTAATAGAATCCCTCTGATGTAGTAAGAAGAGTCTTATGACATCCCTGGACTCCAAAGGCCTCTAGACAAGTTTGCAGAAAGGAAGAAATTTCTAGTTCAAAAGACACCAGAAGATGCCCTGTAATGTCCAGCTCTCCTATACCATTGCACGGCCCATTTATAAACAGACTGAGCAGATTTCATGGGAAATAGCCCTTGAAAAAAAAAAAAAGGTAAAATAAGAACAATGATAAAACTGCCTATTGTTTCATGTGTTTTGTTTGATTTCGTTTTGGAAAAAGGGGGAAACTGCATCCATATTCTCAGGGTCAGGTACCAGGATTGCTCAGTTTCCTTTCTGATTCTTCCCCTTCTCCTCACTTTGAATTTCGGAGTGCTCCAGGGCTCTTTCGGCCTCTTCTCTGTCTACATTCATTCTCTTCGTGGTCACATTCAATCTCATGGTTTTAAAATACAATCTTTAGGTTTACTGATATCCAATTTGTAGTTCCATCCTGGCCCTTAAACCTGAATTGCAGATTCCTATATCTAACTGTCCTCTTGACATTTCCATGTGGAAATATGTCAATTAGACCTATTAGATTTAACAATTCTAAAACCAAAACCAAATGTCTACTTTTCCCCCACCAAATGTATTATGTATTCTTCTTGTAGTATTCTCCATCTCAATTAATAAAATTCCATGCTTTTAGTTGCCTTAGCTAAAACGTCTTAGTGTCAACCTTGACCTTCTGTTTTCTCACCTGATATCCAAGAAAACAGCAAATCTCATTGGTTCTAACTTCAATATATATCCTGAATATGACAACTTCTCAGCATCTTTACTGCTTGCTATTATCCTGGTACAAACCACCGTCAGTTTTCTCCTGGATTACTGTATTATAATGGCCTCCTAACTGATGTCCCTGCTTCCACTAACGTCCTCCCAGAGTACATTCTCCAAAATAGCAGGCAGTAATCCTTTAAAACATAAGTATAATCATGTCACTCTTCTGCTCAAAACTACAAAAGCCAAAGTTCTTATAACTTATCAGTCTATGCCATTTGGCCTTCTTGCACATTCCACTCTAGCCACACTGGTTTTTTTTTAATCTGTTCTCAAGCATGCCAGATACCTATCTTAGGGTCTTTGCAATTGCAATTCCCTCTGCCCATAACACTCTACCCTACATGTCCACATAGTTTCCCACCTTGCTTCCTTTAAGACTAGGCTTAAATCATATTTTCTCAGTAAGGCCAATCCTGACCACCCTACTTATAATGTCAACCTCCTTCCATGTTGGCACTTCTGATTCCTCCTTAGCCTACTCTATATGGTTTTTCCATAGCACGTATCACCTTTTAACATAGTATTTACTTTACATATTTATGTTGTCTGTCTCCCCCACTAGAATGTAAATTCCATAAGAGCAGGGCTGTTTGTTCATTGTTGCATCCCCAGAATCTAGAAAAGTGCTTGATCATAATCGGCGCTTAAAAGCACTTGTTGAATTAAGATGCTTACAAAAGTGAAGGCAGGACAAAATGGAAAATGCATTTAGTGGCTTTTGGTATATTTCTATTTATTTCTATGGCATTAATTTTCTGTTAAAGTTCAAAACTCAGCTCTGCTAGCAAATTCCAATTGTGTTCTTTCATTTAGTTTGAAAACTTTGCATTTAATAGCTTGACTCTTTTAGAAGACTTTTACCAACAGATCTCTCCACGAGCATACCCCCAGTTATCTAAGGCAGGTACCTTGATATCTATAATTTAGTAACTCTTTAACACTATCTCCTTTACCAATGAGTTCTGAGGGATGATTAGTAATCCAGACCTACTGATTGCATTCTGGATGGGGACAGCTATATTGCTAACTTTGAGGGTAAGGTTTCAGTAATTTTGTTCAGATTGAGTGCCACCTGATTTATCTAAAAGCAACAGAGATTCTAGGGGAAAAGAAAAGTATGAAAAGTCTTACTTCCTGACATACATAACTACCCACCTATGTCAAGGATAGCAGAAGAATGCTGATGCTCTACCCACTGAATCCTGATACTCTGAGTAGGCTTTTAAGTTGTCCTTCAAGAAGACGTTCCTTCACTCAAGGAGGTGAGATGCTACTAGCAAGTCAATTCGAACATGTAGCCTGCTGAGTAAAAAAACCAAATGGATGAATAGGGAATAGAAAAGGATGTAAGTCCTAATTTCAGTTTTGCTTCACTACAGTCAAACAAAGAGGTTCCCTGAAAAAAGGTACAGGTTGCTCACCTAGCAGAGATGTCATGCCCAAATAATTCTTAATTTCTCTGAGCCTCAGTCTTCTTAACCATAAAATTGGTTCCTAATCCAAGATATCTCTAGATCCTCTTCCAATCCTATGATACCAAAAGTTGGGAGGCAAGTACCTTTACTACATTGAACCGGGTCCTTCAACAATTCCTTAAAAACAAAAGCAATTTGTCTTCTGCTCAGCTTCTTTAGTGCACCATTCTGCCTGTTCACCAACATCTTTTCTGTTGACCACTTGTGCCCTCTAGTGATAAATTCAATTATACAACAGGATTGGCTTGGAAAACAGCTCCAGAGCAAACAGGGAAAACCGTAAGAAAGCAACAGATAAAACTCAATGTAAAGAAAATGGAATCCAGGTCAAAGATGCAGGTAAAAAAAGATGGAAATAATCCAAAAGGTCATTATCTTCTGTGGCATACCTATGCTTGTTCCCTCCAGGGCAAACATTCTATGTGATTACTACTATAGTAAAGAAAACAGCAAACACACTGCTGAATATAAAAGCATTTTCAGATATAATTAGAATAACCCTATTCCTCAAATTAAGATGCAGATTATTTTTCATTTAGAAAGACAAGGGATCTATTAAGATTCTCAGAGACTGTCATATACCTAATGTGGATAAACAAAACAGAATTGTTTTTAAACACATCTGTCAAGGAGATGCTAAGATGTCAATTTTATATATTAATTGCTAGTTTCACTGGTTCATGGATTTACCAGTGGAGATGGGTTCAGACTAAAACTATGCACTGTGTTGGGCTTAAGTAGGGTCCCCAGCCTTCTAAGCATGTTCCTTGCTGTTCCCAGCATAGCAATGCATGACTAGTCTATCACATACTCTCTTTTTAAAAATTTTAAATTGTTGCATTACAATAGTACATATTTATGTGGTACAAAGTGATATTTCAATACATATATGCAATATGTAACGATCAAATCAAGGTAATCAGCATATCTAGCATCAAAAATAATTTATGTTAGGAACATTCAAAATCCTCTCTTCTAGCTATTTGAAAATATACAATAAATTATCATTAACTATATTCACCCTTTAGTGCTATAGAACACCAGAACTTATTCCCCCTACCTGTAATTTTATATCTGTTAACCAACCTCTGACTGTCTCCCTTTTCCAGACTCCAGTAACCACAATCCTACTCTCTACTTCTATGAGCTCAACTTTTTAAGATCCTACATATGAGAGAGATCATGAGGTATTTATTTTTCTGTGACTGACTTACTTCACCTAACATAATGGCTTCCAGGATCATTCATGTTGCTGTGAATGACATAATTTCATTTTTCTTTATGGCTAAATAGTATTCCACTATGTACATATACCACATGTAATTAATCTGTTCATCTGTTAATGGACATTTAAGTTGATTCCATATCCTGGCTATTGTGAATAGTGCTGCAATAAACATAGGGGTGCAGATATCTCTTTGAAAGACAGACAGACAGTGAGAGTGAGAGAGAGAGAGAGAGAGAGAGCAAGAGCCAGAGAGCGAGAGCACCAAATCCTAACCACTAGACCACCAGAGAGCGTCATCTCTTTGATACACTGTTTTTCTTTCCTCTGGATAAATACCCAGTAGTGGGACTGCTGAATCATATGGTAGTTCAATTTTTAGTTTTTGAGGAACCTCCATACTGTTTTCCATAATGGCTACATTAATTTATATTCCCACCAATAGCGTATTAAGAGTTTCTTTTTCTCTATATCCTCACTAGGTTTTGTTATTTTTTGTCTTTTTGATAACAGCCATTCTAACAGGTCAGATGATCTATTTCATTGTGGTTTTGATTTGCATTTCCCTGACCAAATATTCTATTGATAGCAAACATTATGGCCACTCCTGGCCATAAATCTTACCTGTATATAAATGTTGGTTACATTTTTCTTGGTATATAAAAAAGGAAATGAACTTCAATGACCTCAACAGAGATTTAGTTTAAACAGCAGAAAGGTCTTAAACCACGTTGTTGTCACTGCTATACAAGTGAAGTATTAAACAATCTTCTTTTGAAATCTTTAAGAAGGGGGGAAAAACCATAGATATTTTGAATCATTTAGGGCTAACTCTGACTGGAGGCATAAGATAAAGATAATAACCATTGAAGCTTCCTTTCTACCATTAAAATTAAATATTATTGGCTGGGCATTGTGGCTCATGCCTATAATCCCAACATTTTGGGAGGCCAAGGCAGGAGGATTGTTTGAGCCCAGGAGTTCGAGACCAGCCTGGGCAATGTGGTGAAACCCCATCTCTAGAAAAACTCCAAAAATTAGCTGGGTGTGGTGGCTTGTGCCTGTAGTCCCAGCTACTTGGGATGCTGAGGTAGTAGGATCACTTGAGCCTGGGAGGTTGAGGCCGCAGTGGGCCATGACTACACCACTGCACTCCAGCCTGGGTGAAAGAGCAAGACCCTCTGTCAAAAAAAAAAAAAAATTAAATATTACTGCTGGTTGATTTCTATCTTTTCCATTCAATTCTCTGTCCTGAGAGGCAACCATTCTTCTGATTTCTATCACCATAGATTAGTATCGCTTATTCTTCAGCATTAATGATGAAACGTTTTAAGGTGATGGAAAAGTTCTATATCTTGATTTGGGTAGTGGTTATACTGGTACATACAAGTGTCAAAACCCAGCAAACAGTATATTTAAAATCTGTGCACTAATTGTAAATTATATTTCAGTTTAAAAAAACCAAGATATTAGAGTCTTGGGAAGAGATAACTTTAAAAATAATAGATATCATCATTCTTAAGGAGTGGACTAGGGAAGAGAAGGAAGCCAGCATGACCTCAATAGCAGATATAGTTTTATTGAACTAAAAACCAAGAAGGGAAAGAGCTGCCCTGGCTTCTCAACTGTATCCATGCTGATTAGCTAATAGCACCATTTCAATAGAATGCCCTCTGCTTTAACTGGCTCATTTGTTGTTGCAGAGCTGAGTCAACTGTACTGCCTGAAGGATGAAAACGGAGCTGGGGTAGAGAGGTGGTCATAAGATGCTACTGATTGTCTTGAAATAGAAATGTAGGAATTTACACTAGGCCATGATCAGGCATGTGGCTCTGTAGGCCCATACAGATAATGGCATCGTGCCTGCTAGCATTAGGAGAGAGTGCTCAAGGGAGAAAAAAAGTTAAGAATTTAACTGAAAGAAATGAAACAAGCAAATATAAGACTTTTACAAAAAGGATGCCTCACCCTATGCTGATTCATTATCGGCCTTTCTTCTTGCACTATTGGCGAGGCTGGAGATTGGCACTTGGAATATATTTCTTATAGCAACCTTAGCTTATCTGCATAAATTCAAATGTACCAGTCCACAGATAAGGGGCTGTTTATTCTTTCTGATTCACATTGTTGTTTTCTTGACACATGGTAAACACTAGTAGATGCCTTATGCAATTGGGTGTGTGGAGTATTTTTTAGTCTGACAAATGCCTTTCACATCAAACTGCAACGGTCTCTGCTTTTCTTCATACTTTCAAGTCAACAGTCCTAAAGTAAAATTCCCTAGGAAGTACTGCATCAAGATCATCTTAATTTTCCTTACTTGGTACCCTCTAGGCTAGGATTTTCCAGTGCCAAGGAGTTTAGAAAAGTAGAAAATAGAATTTTCACTGGCAAAAGACATTCTTATGACAACAAAGCCTTCCCTTTTGCAATTCCCTGGATTTAAATGGCCTACGTATGGATAATGTTCCATTTCAGTACTCTATTCCTAAGTTATATATGCTTTGAGTTATAATTCCCCAAAGGAACTTTCCTATATTCACTCTTCCTATCTCCAAAAGCCTTTCCAAGCCCCTTGAAGAAACTAAGAGTTGCTGTAATTCATACACGTACACACATGCATACACTCTTGCCCCAAGGAACCTCTATATACTATTTCCACACCTCATAGCTTGCCTTTATGAAATAGCCCCAGCTTCAGCCAAGGGCAGGCAATTCTCACCTATGTCACCATTAGTCATTAAAGGCACTACTTTCTGGAAGGCTACTATTGTCTGTTTTGGATCTAGACAAAAATATAGGCAGATCAATGACAATATATTATTTATATCTTCTCTGCTAAAGATGAGTTAGATGTTAATTTTCAGTACAGGTTATCAAATATACTCTGAGAACATACTTCCAATAAGTTGTAGGATACGATACAAAACGTCATCTTTTTACATAATTTCAATAGAAAAGCACATGTATTTCAATTAATTTAGTCAAAACCAAATTCCTTACTTCTTGGAAAACAGTACTGAAAAGAAAACCACCACCAATCTTGTCTGAGTGGCTTACAGGAGCCTCGAGTGTCTTCAGAAAAGCTGAACTTAGGCCTTTCACTGCAGGGAAGAGTTGGATGTCAGGCCTTAAAAGGCGAGAGTTATATAAGATGCCAGATGTTTAATCTTATCTCAAAGTCAAATATAAACGACTTGGGGACTGTCTGATGTTTTACATTCTCCACATTTATGTCCCTCTCTATTAGTGTGGATCCAAAAAGGAACTGGTATCACTCTTCACTTTTCATTCAAAGATTTCAAAGTACTTCATATAATCCAATGACATAGTCACAAGAGAGAAAATGATGGATCCTATAACAGTGTGAAAGACTGGCAGCAGGCATAGAAAAATGTAGGAAACTGGTTCAAGAGTATAGGCATTGTTACACCACATGAGAAAATAGTACCATAAACTAATACCTGCTCCATCTCTTAGAGGAATGTCTATCTCCAAACTCCCTCTCAACTAAAATCTGCATAAGTCTTGCCCTTTCTTCTACTAAAATTACATACAAGAGCAAGACTGTGCTCTCAAGAGACATGCCTCACTGGCTTGTCACTTACCCATGTTTCTTTGACCTCTTCAGAGCCATCAGTTTCATCCTCCTAAAAAAGAAAAGGGAAGAAAATCAAGAGGCTCATCATCACAGACATCCTTGAAAACAACAAGGTCAGATCCCATCAATTATGCATCTTGGCATTTCAAACATGGGCAATGAGAATTGACTTCCAAGTGATGCTCTGTTACTGCTACTTTTCACAGCCATCACAGGCAGGCAACTTAGAAATGTCACCTGTAGTCTAAAAAGTCAAATCGACCACAGTTGGTAAAGGGATATCTTTAAGACAGACAGACAGACAGACAGACAGACTTAATTTCATCTTTGTCAATACTTATCAGTCAATTTGGCCCTAAAACAATGAAATATTTTTATCTAAAAATAATTTATAATGGATGACTATTACTGTCTCATTTCTTGTCTCACTGAATAAAGTGTGTCCAATTTTCAAAGGAGTCATTGGTAGGCAGGGTCATCTTGTCCAAGTTATTGGCCACTTGTTCTTTAAAATGCCAATAACAAGGTTGAATGAGGCTACAGAACAAGATATGGAAGAGGATGAATGGAACTACTGAATGAGTATTTGTAGTTAGTAAACATTGGCATATCTGTCTTTATTTTAAAGCCAAAGTTCATCTATTTTATGTTATTTGTTCCACTTTTTCTCCAAAACAGTAAAACTAAGTGAACTTGTATTACTTAGAGGTTTTAAGTTCCTTGAACTTCTTGTAGTACTCCTACAATATTTAGTTAGAATCTGCTCATATGTGGCGTTAAGATATTGTTGACTCACTACATGACATTCAGGAAATATTAGGAAGGACTACTAAAACTCAACAAGCTTATTCATTTGTTAATATTTGTTTATATGGCTGTTGTACATTTCCAGTTTTTTAATTCTTTGCCAATTATTTACTGAGTGCCTGCCATGTGCTTAGTTAGCACTGTACTAGATACTGGGAATCTAGCCGGAACATACCAAATGAGTCCCACACTAGTTAGGTCTTTCTTCTCTTTTCCTCAGTAATACTTCCTGAGAAACTGCAAGATTCATGGCACCATGAAGGACTCTTTCTTTTAAACTCAACTGTAAGAATGGTGACCAAGAGTAATACGATATGCCTCAGCACAGACAAATCTACTTACATCCTTTGACCAGAAATTGATGTCTGTGCCTCTTCATCGTTCCTTGGGCCACCTCCTCTCTTGGACAGACAGCCTCTTAGAGGACTGCTCATCCAAATCTGCTTCTTCATTCTCTGGCCAGAGATAAAATAAAGTATGAACTTTAAGAATCTGCGGGATGTGCACTGTGGAGGGGCCTGTGTCTTTTGAAGCTCTACATACCATTTTTGTCCATTTCCTTTGCAGTTGTAGTGTTTGTGGTAGTCTTTGAACTCTCAGAATCAGGGACTGAAAATCTATTTGTCCATAGCAGGTGGGAACTGGTGTAGAGTGAGGGTCTTGATGTAGAAGGAGATGCTGGCGTGGTGGGTTTGTCTGGCTGAGCTGGGCACCTCAGGTGATGACAGATAGGCTGGAAATAATCCACAACATGAGATATTAGAAATCAAGTCCATCTAAAGAGTAAGGACAGCAGGTTTATACAAAATGTTTTTTTTTCTATATTAAGAGGCTTTTGAGGAGATGATGATCAATATTGAGTACCTGGTAATAGGTACTCAATAAATGAACTAAGCTAAAGTTAGTTAATTAGACAGAAAAAAAAAACAGCTTCTAGACTCCTACTCTGAGAATCCCATCATGTTGAGAACAGTTCAAGCAAATTATTCATCAATTAACCAAAGGGTACTAGATAGCATTAACCATGTAAAAAATTCCTTTGATCTTGGAATGAAAATAAGAATGATGGCCTTTTTAAGATGGAGGGCTGAAAGGCAAGGTTTATGTAGGGAAACAAAAAGATCAGGAGCATGAAGAAGCAAAAAGTAGGGATTACTTGAGAACAGAGAACAAATGTGATAATCCTACCGAGTTCTGAATACTCTACCACCTTGCCATAACCAGGCTTACTGAAACTTTCTAAAGTTCCCATTTTCCTTTTTGTAGTTTTGTTTTGTTGTTGTTGTTCTATTTTCTTTTCTTTTTTTTGAGATGGAGTCTTGCTCTGTTGCCCAGGCTGGAGTGCAACGGTGCAATCTTGGCTCACTGCAACCTCTGCCTCCTGGGTTCAAGCAATTCTGGTCTATTGTGGTCTTTTTTTTTTTTTAAACCTGAGAGTTAGGACAGATAGAGCCTAACAATAAGACTTAACTTGGTTTATGGAAGACTCAGAGATAGATAAATCCTTACTACACATTAAATTTATGACATAGAGATTGTACACATTTTTGTGATTTATAAAGACATAATACAATAAAATGTAGTAAATTTGGAGTCAGACAGATCTTTGTTCAAATTCTAGCTTCAGCATTACTAGCTGTGACCTTGAATAAGTTACTTAGCTTCTCTGGGCCATAACATCCTCATCTATAAAACAGAGATAACACCTTCTTCAGAGAAGATTATGAGGATTAAATTAAGAAAATGTGCATTAGGTGCTTAGAAGAATACCTGGTAATAGGTACTCAATAAATAGTAGCTTATAAAACAAACAAAATACAAAATAGAACTTCAGTTTATGGAATCTAGCCATTCAGAGTCAAAGCAAGGAGATTCCTTTCTTCTATAACCACAGTGACCATAACATTTATCAGTCCAAACGGGGACACTTTTGATAATGCAAAGGAGTGGTAATGATAATTACATAAAGTCAACAGTTGTAATTGGAACCATCTTAGGTAAACCAGGAGTTATGTTCACCCTAAATATAAACTTATACCTTTGACTACCAACTCCACTAGAGAAATGAAACGTAAATAAAAATGTCCCTCCCAACAGTGACACTCATGAGTGCTGTGTAAGCCCCTTAGGTTTATAAGAGTTTGAAAAACAATACACTAGTAGTTAAGAGAGCAAGCTGTGGAGTCAGACTGCCTATGTTCAAACTCTGGCTTAACCACTTCTTGGCTATGTGAAATGGGCAAATTCCTTAACCTCTGTGATTCAATTTCCTCATATATAAAATAGAAATAGTAATATTTACCTCAGAGAGTTGTTATGAGGATTAAATGCATTAATACATGAGAAGTACTTAAAATAGTGCCTGGCATAAAGTAAGCACGTATTGAGTAAAGTAAACACTCAATATATGCTTATATTTTTATTTGCATTTTGTTATACTATGACCTCTCCTTTTAGACTAGAAGGGCATTTATTCAAAAGCATCTGAGAGCATCAGTGAACTCTCAGAAGAAAAAAATGGTCATTTAAGGACCGACATCCTCTAAATTTTTGTCACACAGGTTTGCAAACTAAAGACAGCCATACTGAGTGAGTTGTCCATTGCAAGGTAGAACACAGCCTTTGAACTACCAGTGAAGAAGATACTCCCCAAACTAATTACCCTGCTTTTAGCACATTACATGCGAGCAAAAATGAGCTCACCTCTTCATCCAGACTCCTGCCCCAGGGCTGCTGGCCCTCCCCAGCTTCTGTTGCAGGAACTGCTTAGGTCTCATGCTTCTCAGGGCTCCCCTCAAGCCCTTCAGTGTCTGTAGGCTTCTCACGAGGCTGCTCCTGAGCTTGCCTCTCTGCCCTCGACTGGCTGAATGTCCTTTCTGCTTCTTGAAGGTCTGCTAGGGTGACACCCTGGGAAAATATCACAAGATCAGGGCTGTTTCACACTAACCATGGAATAACTCTTCATTGATCAGAAGTATTCCCAAAAAGATCTAATAGTTGTCAAATTCCAAAATGAAGCCCCTCAAAATGCATAATGAGGCCACTTCAAGCAATATATGCTTAAAATAAGCATCTCAGTGTACAAAGAACCCGGGCCTGAGTCTAGGTACATTTTAAATGTAATACTTTCTTTTTTCTGGTTTGATCTCCAGAAAACAGGTCAACATTGATGTCTGCCTGTTATAGATGTACTTTTCCCATACCAAATAGTTCTCAGTATCTTTATTTGAAAGGTCTCTACCCTCCCAAGATCAAATGGTTACCAACAGAGATTCCCTAAACAGCAGATACCGGGAAAAAAAATTCACTTAAAAAAAGAAAAACCTGGCTCAACAAGATGAAAATTCAGAGCTAGGCTATGATAACAACAACATAACCTCTTAAAACTCCTAGACTAGCTTTTCTTTAATATGAATTCCCAAGTAACTCTAGGAATCATATAGGGATATTCCAACAATTAATGCTCCCCCCCGCAGTGTCACAGGGGCAGCAAGACAGAAGAAAGGCAAATGATGACAAAACTACAGGAGAAGAGAGAAAAGGAGTTTAGAAAGAGCATGAGCTGATTCCAACTCAAGTAGTTATGTGCATGAGTCCTCAGAAGAAGGAAGTTCCAAAGCTGGAAGGTAGTTGATCAGGCACTGTATCCACAGCTTGCTTCCCCTCCCCACCCCCAGCTTTTTTACTATTAATTCATTTACTTACTCATTCTGTTAATAAAGAATTAGGTGTCTTTAGGCACTAGAACTACAAAGACAAATCCAATGGTTACTGTCAAGAACCTTTTATTCTAGCAGAAAAGATGTAAGAAAACAGATGAGTATAATGAGAGAATGTAAGTATTAAAACAGAAACACAAGAGTATATAAGAGGAATATCGAACACTGGGTTTTAAAGAGTAAAAAGAACTTGGGTAGGGGGAGGGAGAAAAGGCATTATAGGTAGAGGGATCCTGTACAAAGATATGGAAACAAGAGAGGCCATGGATGATTTAGGAATCTGCAGGTAACTTAGCAAAGATGAAGCCCACAACAAAAAAAGGAAAGTTGGAAGAGAGAGAGAGAATGAGGATAGGTGATTTTAAGAAAGCAGGCAGAGGCTAGGTCATAATAGATTTTGTAAGCTATGCTAAGAAGCTTAGATTTTACTTTCTTTGGGAGTTGGTGGTCCCTTTGAGAATCTCATGAAGACTACTGAGAATCTAATAAAATCTCCTCAAAAATTATGTACACATTTCAAGGAGTTCAAAGATCTATTCAAGTTTTGACATGGACCTTCACTCCCTCTCTGCTGAATCTTTCCCTCTAAGACGTTTCCATGTTCCTGTCTCTCCCACCTTCAATTCTATGCCCCTCTCCGGCAACTTCCCTATCTTCTCCCATTCCTTCATAAACAAACTTGAAATCATTCCACAGCAATTTATCTTCCCCTATCATTTATTTCTCACTCATTTATTTATTCAATAAATATATATTGATTTATTTACTGTATGATGGTGGAAAAGATGAGCAAAAGTATAGTCAGTCTTCTTTTTCACACCCATTAGGATGGTTATTACCAAAAAAAAACAGGCTGGGCATGGTGGCTAACACCTGTAATCTCAGCACCTTGAAAGGCCAAGGTGGGTAGATCACTTGGGGTCAGGAGTTCAAGACCAGCCTGACTAACATGGTGAAACCCCATCTCTACTAAAAATACAAAAATTAGCCAGGTGTGGTGATGGGCGCCTGTAATCCCAGCTACTTGGGAGGCTGAGGCAGTAGAATTGCTTGAACCCTGAGGCAGAAGTTGCAGTGAGCCAAGATCACACCATCGCACCCCAGCCTGCGTGACAAGAGCAAACAACAACAACAACAACAAAAATATTGGTGAGGATATGGAAAAATTAGAACCCTTGTGCACTGCTGATGGGAACATAAAATGGTACAGCCGCTAAAGAAAACAGTATGGCAGTTCCTCAGAAAATTAAAAATTGAATTACCATATGATCCAGCAAATTCCATTTCTCAGTATATACTGAAAAGAATTGAAAGCAGGGTTTCAGGGAGATATTTGTATAGCCATTCTCATAGCAGCATTAAACAGCCAAAAGGTGGAAGCAACCCAATGTCTACTGACAGATGAATGGATACACAAAATGCAGTATCCATAAAAGGCTGAAATATTCATCCTTTAGGAGGGAGGAACTCTGACACATGCTACAATATGGATGAACCCTGATAACTATGCTAAGTAAAATACGACACAAAAGGACAACTACTATATGATTCTACTTATTTGAGGTTCCTAGCATAGTCAAGTTCATAGACAGAAAGTGGAAGCAGCATTGCCAGAGGGAAATGGGGAGTGATTATTTAATGGATACAGAGTTTCAGTTTGGGAAGAGGAAGAAAGTTCTAGAGATGAATGGTGGCGATAGTTATACAACAATATAAATGTACTTAATGCCATTAAACTGTAAACTTAAAAATGGTAAAACTGGTAAGTTTTATGTTACATATATTTCACCACAATAAAACAAAACAAAAAAACAGTCAGTCTTGGTTCTCTTAGGGGTTACATTCTAATGGAGGAAACAGACAAATAATCATCAAGTACAAATAAAGGAAGAATACATGACCTACTTTGGGAGAGTCAAGAAAGACAACAAGGGTGTTTTTGCTGCCATATATAATGTCTCTTTTCCAGTGGTAAAATTTGCTACTTGACCTCTGTAGTATTTAAAACTGTGGAACTTCTCCTTTTCACTGGAAATGGACTTTTCATTCACTTCCATGCTGCTACTATTTTCTGATTTTCTTTTCAACTGCTCCTGCTGCTTCTTTTCATTCTGTTTCATGGGCTTATCTTTCTTTGCTTCTTTAAATAACAAATTCATAGCCTTCTCTCAATTTTCACTGCCATTACAACTTGATTTCATACCCTTGTAATTTCCTGGGACTACAATACAACTTGGACTACAATACAGTTCCCAGCAAGTCTTCTTGCTTCCAGGCTTGGCAAACATACCTCTACCTACCATTCCCATCAATTATCTGCAGGGTGATTTTTCTAACCTATAATGTAGACTATATCATATTCCCTTAAACTGCTTCAATGACTCCTTCAGGGATTCCTTTTGTAACATCTTTATTAAAATACAATCCTCATATCATAATCACCATTTGAAAGTATACAATTCCTTGGTGTTTAGTTTATTCACAGAGTTATAAAATTATCACATCTAATTTCGTAATTTTCATCACCCCAAAAAGAAACCGCGTACTCACCATTCTGCCTTCCCCCCAGCCCTGGCACTAATCTAATTTCTGTCTCTTTGGATTTGCCTATTTGGGACATTTCATATAAATGGAATCATATAATATATGGAGTGTTTTGTGTCTGGCCTTTTTTAACTTAGCATAATGTTTTCTTAAGGTTCATCCATGTTGTAACATGTATCAGTACTTCATTTTTTTTATTGCCAAATAGTATGGATTTATCACATTTGGTTTACCCATTCATTAGTAAATAGACATTTGGCTTATTGTTACTTTTTGGCTATTATGAATAATACTATTACAAACACCTATATACAAGTTTTTATATGAACATATGTTTTCATTTCTCTTGAGTAGAACTGCTGAGTCAAATGGTAACTCTAAGTTTAAAATTTTGAGGAATTGCCAAACTCTTTTCCCTTACGGATTCTTAAAATGTAGTAGGGATATAGGGATGTATAGGGATTCTTAAGGTCTTTAAGCACAAGTGAAATAATTAATCCTGTGAAGGAAAAGAGATAAACCTGTTCTAAGCCTGGAGGAATATTGGTGAAATGGGTAGATGTAGATGTAAATTCATTTGGTTCTATGTAGTATAAGATTCAACACAGTGAAAGCTTTTAAGACTGGCTGGAATAGGGCAGTCATTTTTATGTGTGTGTTTTGCTTTGTCTTGTTTTTTTGAGATGGAGTCTCGCTCTGTCACGCAGGAGGGCAGTGGAGCAATCTTGGCTCACTGGAACTTCTTCTGCCTCCCAGGTTCAAGCAATTCTCCCACCTCATCCTCCCAAGTAACTGAAATTACAGGCACACACCACCATGCCTGGCTAATTTTCATATTTTTAGTAGAGACAGGGATTCACCACGTTGGCCAGGCTTGTCTTGAACTCCTGACCTCAAGTCAGGAATGCTCTTGGTCTCAACTCCTTGGCCTCACAAATTTCTGGGATTACAGGTGTGAGCCACCATGCCAAGCCGTGTGCGTGTGTGTGTGTCTGTGTGTTTAAATCAGCAGTTGAACATGGATATTGCAGTGTGTTTTGGGACTAGAGCCAAGATGGCCAAATAGGAACAGTTCCGGTCTACAGCTCCCAGCACGAGCGACACAGAAGACGGGGGATTTCTGCATTTCCATTTGAGGTACCGGGTTCGTCTCACTAGGGAGTGCCAGATAGTGGGTGCAGGACAGTGGGTGCAGCGCACCGCACGCCAGCCGAAGCAGGGCGAGGCATTGCCTCACTCGGGAAGCTCAAGGGGTCAGGGAGTTAGTTCCCTTTCCTGGTCAAGGAAAGGGGTGACAGACGGCACCTGGAAAATTGGGCCATTCCCACCCAAATACTGCGCTTTTCCGATGGGCTTAGGAAACGACGCACCAGGAGATTATATCCCGCACCTGGCTCCGAGGGTCCTAAACCCACGGAGTCTCGCTGATTGCTAACACAGCAGTCTGAGATCAAACTGCAAGGTGGCAGTAAGGCTGGCGGAGGGGCGCCCGCCATTGCCCAGGCTTGCTTAGGTAAACAAAGCAGCCTGGAAGCTCGAACTGGGTGGACCCCACCACAGCTCAAGCAGTTCTGCCTGCCTCTGTAGGCTCCACCTCTGGGGGCAGGGCACAGACAAACAAAAAGACAGCAGTAACCTCTGCAGACTTAAATGTCCCTGTCTGACAGTGTTGAGGAGAGCAGTGGTTCTCCCAGCAGGCAGCTGGAGATCTGAGAACAGGCAGACTGCGTCCTCAAGTGGGTCCCTGACCCCTGACCCCCGAGCAGCCTAACTGGGGGGCACCTCCCAGTAGGGGCAGACTGACACCTCACACAGCCGGGTACTCCTCTGAGACAAAACTTTCAGAGGAACGATCAGACAGCAGCATTAGAGGATCACGAAAATCCGCGGTTCTGCAGACACCGTTGCTGATACCCAGGCAAACAGGGTTTGGAGTGGACCTCTAGCAAACTCCAACAGACCTGCAGCTGAGGGTCCTGTCTGTTAGAAGGAAAACTAACAAACAGAAAGGACATCCACACCAAAAACCCATCTGTACATCACCATCATCAAAGACCAAAAGTAGATAAAACCACAAAGATGGGGAAAAAAACAGAGCAGAAAAACTGGAAACTCTAAAAAGCAGAGTGCCTCTCCTCCTCCAAAGGAACACAGTTCCTCACCACCAATGGAACAAAGCTGGAGGGAGAATGACTTTGATGAGTTGAGAGAAGAAGCCTTCAGACGATCAAACTACTCTGAGCTACAGGAGGAAATTCAAACCAAAGGCCAAGAAGTTAAAAACTTTGAAAAAACTTTAGATGAATGTATAACTAGAATAACCAATACAGAGAAGTGCTTAAAGGAGCTGATGGAGCTAAAAGCCAAGGCTCGAGAACTACGTGAAGAATGCAGAAGCCTCAGGAGCCGATGCGATCAACTGGAAGAAAGGGTATCAGTGATGGAAGATGAAATGAATGAAATGAAGCGAGAAGGGAAGTTTAGAGAAAAAAGAATAAAAAGAAACGAACAAAGCCTCCAAGAAAAATGGGACTATGTGAAAACACCAAATCTACGTCTGATTGGTGTACCTGAAAGTGACGGGGAGAATAGAACCAAGTTGGAAAACACTCTGCAGGATATTATCCAGGAGAACCTCCCCAATCTAGTAAGGCAGGCCAACATTCAGATTCAGGAAATACAGAGAACACCACAAAGATACTCCTCGAGAAGAGCAACTCCAAGACACATAATTGTCAGATTCACCAAAGTTGAAATGAAGGAAAAAATGTTAAGGGCAGCCAGAGAGAAAGGTCAGGACACCCACAAAGGGAAGCCCATCAGACTAACAGCTGACCTCTCCGCAGAAACTCTATAAGCCAGAAGAGAGTGGGGGCCAATATTCAACATTCTTAAAGAAAAGAATTTTCAACCCAGAATTTCATATCCAGCCAAACTAAGCTTCATAGGTGAAGGAGAAATAAAATACTTTACAGACAAGCAAATGCTGAGAGATTTTGTCACCACCAGGCCTGCCCTAAAAGAGCTCCTGAAGGAAGCACTAAAAATGGAAAGGCACAACCGGTACCAGCTACTGCAAAATCATGCCAAAATGTAAAGACCATTGAGACTAGGAAGAAACTGCATCAACTAACGAGCAAAATCACCAGCTAACATCATAATGACAGGGTCAAATTCACACATAACAATATTAACTTTAAATGTAAATGGACTAAATGCTCCAATTAAAAGACACAGACTGGCAAATTGAATAGTCAAGACCCATCAGTGTGCTGTATTCAGGAAACCCATCTCACATGCAGAGACACACATAGGCTCAGAATAAAAGGATGGAGGAAGATCTACCAAGCAAATGGAAAACAAAAAAAGGCAGGGGTTGCAATCCTAGTCTCTGATAACACAGACTTTAAACCAACAAAGATCAAAAGAGACAAAGAAGGCCATTACATAATGGTAAAGGGATCAATTCAACCAGAGGAGCTAACTATCCTAAATATATATGCACCCAATACAGGAGCACCAAGATTCATAAAGCAAGTCCTGAGTGACCTACAAAGAGACTTAGACTCCCACACATTAATAATGGGAGACTTTAACACCCCACTGTCAACATTAGACAGATCAACGAGACAGAAAGTCAACCAGGATACCCAGGAATTGAACTCAGCTCTGCACCAAGCAGACCTAATAGACATCTACAGAACTCTCCACCCCAAATCAACAGAATATACATTTTTTTCAGCACCACACCACACCTATTCCAAAATTGACCACATAGTTGGAAGTAAAGCTCTCCTCAGCAAATGTAAAAGAACAGAAATTATAACAAACTATCTCTCAGACCACAGTGCAATCAAACTAGAACTCGGGATTAAGAATCTCACTCAAAGCCGCTCAACTACATGGAAACTGAACAACCTGCTCCTGAATGACTACTGGGTACATAACGAAATGAAGGCAGAAATAAAGATGTTCTTTGAAACCAACGAGAACAAAGACACAACATACCAGAATCTCTCGGACGCATTCAAAGCAGTGTGTAGAGGGAAATTTATAGCACTAAATGCCCACAAGAGAAAGCAGGAAAGATCCAAAATTGACACCCTAACATCACAATTAAAAGAACTAGAAAAGCAAGAGCAAACACATTCAAAAGCTAGCAGAAGGCAAGAAATAACTAAAATCAGAGCAGAACTGAAGGAAATAGAGACACAAAAAACCCTTCAAAAAATTAATGAATCCAGGAGCTGGTTTTTTGAATGGATCAACAAAATTGATAGACCGCTAGCAAGACTAACAAAGAAAAAAAGAAGAATCAAATAGATGCAATAAAAAATGATAAAGGGGGTATCACCACTGATCCCACAGAAATACAAACTACCATCAGAGAATACTACAAACACCTCTACGCAAATAAACTAGAAAATCTAGAAGAAATGGATAAATTCCTTGACACATACACTCTCCCAAGACTAAACCAGGAAGAAGTTGAATCTCTGAATAGACCAATAACAGGATCTGAAATTGTGGCAATAATCAATAGCTTACCAACCAAAAAGAGTCCAGACCAGTTGGATTCACAGCCGAATTCTGCCAGAGGTACAAGGAGGAACTGGTACCATTCCTTCTGAAACTATTCCTATCAATAGAAAAAGAGGGAATCCTCTCTATCTCATTTTGTGAGGCCAGCATCATCCTGATACCAAAGCTGGGCAGAGACACAACCAAAAAAGAGAATTTTAGACCAATATCCTTGATGACCATTGACACAAAAATCTTCAATAAAATACTGGCAAACCAAATCCAGCAGCACATCAAAAAGCTTATCCACCATGATCAAGTGGGCTTCATCCCCGGGATGCAAGGCTGGTTCAATATATGCAAATCAATAAATGTAATCCAGCATATAAACAGAACCAAAGACAAAAACCACATGATTATCTCAATAGATGCAGAAAAGGCCTTTGACAAAATTCAACAACTCTTCATGCTAAAAACTCTCAATAAATTAGGTATTGATGGGACGTATTTCAAAATAATAAGAGCTATCTATGACAAACCCACAGCCAATATCATACTGAATGGGCAAAAACTGGAAGCATTCCCTTTGAAAACTGGCACAAGACAGGGATGCCCTCTCTCACCACTCCTTTTCAACATAGTTTTGGAAGTTCTGGCCGGGGCAATTAGGCAGGAGAAGGAAATAAAGGGTGTTCAATTAGGAAAAGAGGAAGTCAAATTGTCCCTGTTTGCAGACGACATGATTGTATATCTAGAAAACCACATTGTCTCAGCCCAAAATCTCCTTAAGCTGATAAGCAACTTCAGCAAAGTCTCAGGATACAAAATCAATGTACAAAAATCACTAGCATTCTTATACACCAATAACAGACAAACAGAGAGCCAAATCATGAGTGAACTCCCATTCACAATTGCTTCAAAGAGAATAAAATACTTAGGAATCCAACTTACAAGGGACGTGAAGGACCTCTTCAAGGAGAACTACAAACCACTGCTCAATGAAATAAAAGAGGATACAAACAAATGGAAGAACATTCCATGCTCATGGGTAGGAAGAATCAATATCGTGAAAATGGCCATACTGTCCAAGGTAATTTACAGATTCAATGCCATCCCCATCAACCTACCAATCACTGTCTTCACAGAATTGGAAAAAACTACTTTAAAGTTCACATGGAACCAAAAAAGAGCCCACATTGCCAAGTCAATCCTAAGCCAAAAGAACAAAGCTGGAGGCATCACGCTACCTGACTTCAAACTATACTACAAGGCTACAGTAACCAAAACAGGATGGTACTGGTACCAAAACAGAGATATAGATCAATGGAACAGAACAGAGCCCTCAGAAATAACGACACATATCTACAACTATCTAATCTTTGACAAACCTGAGAAAAACAAGCAACGGGGAAAGGATTCCCTATTTAATAAATGGTGCTGGGAAAACTGGCTAGCCATATGTAGAAAGCAGTGTGTTTTCATTGTACCTCCAACAGAAGGGTAGATAGACAAAATGACATTTTAAAAAAAGCCACACTCACTTGAGTAGACCTTCGTGTCTGCCGAGCTTGTCTGGAGCGTGCTGTCCTTAAAACTCTGCTTCCTTATCCTGTACAGGAGTCAGATAGGACCTGCAGAGAAAAAAAAAGTAATAGCAAAAGGAAGATCTTTGCTGAATATACTTGAGGAATGACAAAGTGTTTCCATGTATTGAAGAGATTTCTACATTCTAGGAATGAACTTAAGCAAAGTCAAAGTGACAGATATGCTATCAACCATCAGCAAACATTACAGAATCCAAGTTATTACAGTTGCTCCCCTTATCTGTGGTTTTGCTTTTTGTGGTTTCAGTAGCCCATGGTGAACTGTGGTCTGAAAATATTAAATGAAAACTTCCATCAATAAACAATTCATACATTTTCAATTGTGCACTGTTCTGAATAGCGTGGTGAAATTTCATGCTGTTCCATTCTGTCCCTCCGGAGATGCAAATCATGCACTGTTGTGATATCACAGTGTTTATGTTCAACTAATCCGTATTCTACTTAATAATGGCCCCAAAGTGCAAGAGTAGTGATGCTGGCATTTTGTTATAACTGTCTATTTTATTATTAGTTATTAATATTATTGCTAATCTCTTACTGTGCCTAATTATAAATTAAACTTTAGTGTAGGTATGTATTTATAGGACAAATTGTATTTATATAGGGTTCTGTACTATCTGTAGGTTCAATCATCCACTGGAAGTCTTGAAAGGTATCGTGCGGTGGCTCACACCTATAATCCCAGCACTTTGGGAGGCCAAGGTAGGAGGATCACCTCAGGTCAGGAGTTCGAGACCAACCTGACCAACATGCTGGAACCCTGTCTCTATTAAAAATACAAAAATTAGCCAGGTGTGCTGGTGGGCACCCGTAATCCCAGCTACTCAGGAGGCTGAGACAAAAGAATCACTTCAACTTGGAGGCCGAGGTTGCAGTGAGCTGAGATTGCACCACTGCACTCCAGCCTGGGTGACGAGTGAAACTAGGTCTCAAAAAAAAAAAAAAAAAAAAAAAAAAAAAAAGAAATGTATCTCCCATGGATAACGGGACTATTGTGTTTTTAAATGTATTACTGTTCACACAGAATCATGTCATCTGTAAAATGAGAATTTTATTTCTTCTTTCCCATCCTTCCAATTTTTATTTCTTTTCTTGCCTTAATGCTTTGGCTAGGAATCTCTAGGACATGCTGAAAAGCAGTGATGATAGTAAGTTTTCATTCTCTGTAATCCTGCCATCAAAGAGAATGCTTTCAGCATTTTTTCATTAAGTGTAATGTTTGTTGTAAGATTTATGCAGATACCACTCATCAAATTAAAGCAATTCCCTTCTATTCCTACAGAAAACAGGCTAAGAGGGTTTCTCGTTGTTTTTTAATCATTAGTGTATGTTGAACTTTATCACATGCTATTCTTCCCCATATATTGAGATGATTGCTTTTCTCCTTTTTTCTGTCAGGAAGGTGAATTACATTGAATAATTTTTGAATGATAAAGCAACACTGAATTCTTGGGACAAGCTCAACTTGGTCAAGATGTACCATCTTTTTATATAGATTTTTAAACATATTCACTATTATTTAGTTTAGAATTTCTACCACATTCATGAAAGAAATTGGCTTATAATTTTCCCTTCTTGTAATATGCTGGTCAGCTTTGTGAATTAAGGTTATGTGAATTGTGAGTGTTCTCTACATGTCTATTTCTGTAAGAATTTGTGTAAGATTTGGGTTATTTCCTCCTTAAATGATTGGAAGTGTTCACTAATCAAGTCATCTGGGTTTACAGTGTTCCTTGTGGGAAGGTTTTGTTTTTTATTTTTGAGACAGAGTCTTACTTCGTTGCCCATGCTGGAGTACAGTGGCGTGATCATAGCTGACTGTAGCCTTGATTTCCTGGACTCAGGCAATTTTCCCTCCTCAGCCTTTGCAAGTAGCTGGGACTACAGGTGCACGCCACCACACCTGGCTAACTTTTTTTTATTTTTAGTAGAGATGAGGTCTCGCTATGTTGCCTAGGCTGATCTTGAACTCCTGAGCTCAAGCGATCCTCCCACCTTGACTTCCCAGAGTGCTGGTTTATAGGTGTGAGCCACTGTGTCCAGCCCTTATGGGAAAGTTTTAAATAAAGGGTTCAATGTCTTTAATAGAGTTAGGCTTATTCAAATTTTCTGTTTTGGTAATTGTTTTTTAAGAAATTTTCCATTTTGTCTGTATTATCACATTTAGTGGCATAAAGTTGTTAATAATACCCTTAGAATACATTTGTTATTTTAATATCTAGAGCAGTGGCTTTCAAATTGTTTTGGTCTCAAGATCCTTTAATATTTTTTAAAATTATTGAGAACCCCAGAAAGCTTTTGTTTATATGGGGATTAATATTTATCTTACTAGAAATTAAAATTTAAAAATTAAAAAATGTATTTATTAATTTATTTAAAAATAATAGCAGCCAGGAGCAGTAGCTCATGCCTGTAATCCCAACACTTTGGGAGGCCCAGGCGGGTAGCTGGCTTGAGCCCAGGAGTTTGAGACCAGCCTGGGCAACATGGCAAAACCTCGTCTCTTCAAAAAATACAAAAATTAGCCAGGTGCAGTGGCATGTGCCTGTAGTCCCACCTACTCATGAGGCTGAGATGGGAGGACGGCTTAAGCCTGGGTGGCAGAGGTTGTAGTGAGCTGAGAATATACCACTGCACTTCAGCCTGGTTGACAGAGCCAGACCTTGTCTCAAATAACAATAACAATAATAATAATATTAAAATAGCCCTAGATAAGATGGAGTGATGTCAGCAGGATGGCCAAATTGAGTTACCTAAAGCCCATCCTCTCCACAAAAAGGGACCAAAACAATGAATAAACAACGATATTTCAATTAAAATGACCAAAGAAGTACTCGGGAGAGCACCAGGGGAACAGCAAAATCCCTGTGGAAGACAAAAGCCCAGGGCAGCACCATAGAGAGGGGAGCAAGGTATTCTGCTTCTGCCACACTGTCTCCCCTACCAGGATCAGCCTGGAGCCAGAGGGGGCTTCTTAAGGGAAAAACGTAAGCTGGAGATCACCAGTGATCCCCATTGCTACCATAAATGCCAGAAATTCTTGCTATAGGAGAGTCCCTCTGTCCTCAAAGGCCCTGAATCCAGTTTGGAGAGTAGAGTTCATACAGTTAACTTTGCCTAGAGTAGGAGCTCACCTTGAGCACCCCCTGCCCCCCACCCTCACATCCTAAGCTGCTGCTACTCAGTATCATCTTGAAACTGGACCTACTACTAGAATGTGCCCTTCCCTGTAGTCCGGTACAAGAATGGACTTTCTCCATTCATGTAGCCCTGCCATCACTCTACCATGTTCACACAGGCGCCTGTAGCACTACAATCCTAGCTGCCTGAAGCCTAGTCAGATGCAACAACTGAGACCTCTGCACTTGAACCCATGTGGTACAATACCCTCCCAACCCCAGGAACAGCCAAACCTGCACATGGGGGAAACTGCCTAACTGCTGGCCAGTCCCCTCACCGGTACATACCTGCACTGCACAGCTAGCTTGCCAGCTGAACCTATGCACACCCACATCCAGCCCAACAACCAGTTCTACCGTGGTTCCACCCCTCAGACCGCTGCAGAACCACCCAGCCCTGCTGTGGCCACACACCACTGTGCCTGACAGCCAGTTTAGCAGCAGCCCTGCCCCAAAGACAGATCACTGCAGGGTTGTGTGGCCCTGCTGTACCCATGCTTGGCCTGATAGTTGGTCAAGCAGCAGCGCTGTACCCCTGGATTTCTCAGGAGAAACCTTGTAGGCCAGGAGAGAATGAGATAATACATTCAAAGTGTTTGGGGGAAAAAAACAAACCTGTCAGCCAAGACTACTATATCCAGCAGAGCTATCATCCACCAATGAAGGAAAAATAAAGACCTTCGCAGACAAGCAAAAGCTGAGAAAAAACCATCACCACTAGACTAGCCTTACAAGAAATACTTAAGAGAATGGTATAACTGGAAATAAAAGATTATAATTATTTTCATGAAAAGATGTAAAAGTATAAAACTCACCAATAGAGGTAAGTTCATAAATCAAATTCAGACTAGCCCAGTGATTTAATGGTGCTATGTAAGTCTCTCAGTCCTCTAGTATGAAGGTTTAAAGTCAAAATGGTCAAAACTCCTGACAGTTACAATTAGTAGCTAAGGAACACAATCACAGGTAAAAAAGTAATTACAGAAACAAAAAAGAGAAGTCTAGAGCATTTTAATGCAACCAAAGTTAAGTTGCTATCAGCTTAAAACATTCTACTATAAGACGTTTAATGTTAGCCCCATGGTAGCCACAAAGAAAGAAAGAAATTACTGCAGAGGCACAAACAAGAAAGAGAAAGGAAACAAAGCTCAGTACTACAGAAAACCACCAAACCACAGAAGTAAATAAAAGAGGAAGAAAGGAACGAAGGATCTATAAAACCACCAGAAAAAAAATTAACAAAATGGGAGGAGTAAGATCTTCTTTATCAATAATAAGCTTAAATATAAATGGATTAAATTATCCAATTAAAAGATACAGAGTGGCTGAATGGATTAAAAACAAGACCCAACCATATACTGCCTAAAACAGACTCACCTAACCATTAAAGACAAACATAGACTAAAAGTAAAGGGAGGGAAAAAGATATTCCATGCAAATGGAAACCAAGTGAGCAGGAGTAACCATGTCAGATAAAACAGACTTTAAGTCAAAAACTGTAAAAGAGGACAAAGAAAGTCATTAGACATTGATAAAGGGTACAATTAAGCAAGAGGATATAAAAACTATAAATACATACATCCATCCAAGACCAGAGCACACAGATATATAAAGCAAATATTATTAGAGGTAAAGGGAGAGATAGACTGTAATACTATAACAGTAGGTGTCAAATGTAGTGAACTACAAGTTTCTCTTCAAGGAATCAGTATGCCAGTATATTGAGCTCTCTTATTCTCTATTCTCCATTTTAAAGCTTAACTTCCTGGTTCTCTTCGCCCTCTTGCCTCTAGCTTCAGTACACAACCCCCTCCTAGCCTCTATCACCTGCTCTGTCCTGAGTCACCCCTGGTCGCCTGCTCTGACCTGAGTCATCCTGAGTCACCTGTTCTGTAACCGTCGTTCCTGCCAAACTACTCACTGGGATTTTGGGTGCAGACTTCCTCTGTTCCCTCTGTCAGTCTTTCTCTCTTTTTTCATATACTTTTTGGGTTTCTCTTAGAAGCTCTTCCATAGGTTTGTCTTTCCAGTTCTCTATCTTTTGTAATTTCTTGTTAATATCTTAGCCAAGATTGCACCTACTGCATTCTGGCCTGGGCAACAGAGCAAGACTCCATGTCAAAAAAAAAAAAAAAAGGTGTTCTTCATAAAAATAAAACAAAATCCTAAAATTCATATGAAACCAGAAAAAAAAAAAGAACAGCCAAAGCAATTCTGAGTGGAAAGCTGGAAGCATCACACTACATAACTTAAAAATATACTACAAACGTATAATAACAAAAACAGAATAGTACTGGCATAAAAACAGACACATAGACCAATGGAACAGAATAGAAAGCCCAGAAATAAATTGACATACCTAAAGCCAACTGATTTTTGACAAAGGTGCCACGAACACACATTAGGGGAGAAACTGTTTCTTCAATAAATGCTGCTGGGAAAGTGGGACATCAACATGCAGAAGAATGAGAGTAAATCCCTACCTCTCACCACATACAAGAATCAATTCAAAGTAGATTAGAGACTTAACATGGAAACCCAAAACTGTGGAACTACCTAGAATATAACATAGGAGAAATGCTTCATGACATTGGGCTAAGCTAGGATATTTTAAATAAGACTTCAAAAGCATAGAAAACAAAAGCAAAAATGGACAAATGAGATTGCAACAAACTAAAATGCTTTTCCATAGCAAAGGAAACTATTAAACAGAGTAAACAGACAACCTAAAGGATGGGAAAGAAAACTTGCAAACTATACATCTGACAAGGAGTTAATATCCAGAATATATACGGGACTTAGCAGCAAACAAAACAAAAAAACAAAAACCTGATTTTAAAAATGGGCAAAATACCTTAACAGACATTTACTTCTCAAAAGAAGTCATACAAATGGCTAATGAATATATGAAAAAATGGTCAACATCACAAACCATCAGGGAAATGAAAATCAAAACCACAATAGGTACCATTTCACACGACTTAGAATGACCATTATCAAAAAGACAAAAGAAAACCAGTCTTGGCAGGGATGTGAAGAAAAGGGGAACACTTACATAAGTTGGTGGGACTGTAAGCTAGTACAGCCATTGTGGAAAACAGTATGGAGGTTCCTTTAAAACTTAAAAATAGAACTACCATATGATTCAGCAATCCCACTACTGTGTACACATCTACAGGAAAGGAAATTAGTATATTGAAGAGTTATCTGCATTACCTGTTTATGGCAGCACTATTTACATTAACAAAAATATGAAACTGAGTCCTCAAAAATGGAAGAATGGGTAAAGAAAATGTTTATATCCAGAATGGAACAGTATCCATCCATTAAAAAGAAGAACAAAATCTTGTCATTTGCAACAACACAGATGAACCTGGAGAATATCAGGTTAAGTGAAATAAGCCAGACACAGAAAAAAAAATACTGCATGATCTCACTAATATGTGCAATCTAAAAAAAGGTGGGGGCAGTTGATATCATAAAATCAGAGAGTAGAACAGTGGTTACAAGAGACTGGGGAGGGAAGAGGTGAGAGAAGGATGGGGAGAGGTTGGTTTATGGTTCAAAGTTATAATTAGACAGAGGGAATAAATTCTGATGTTCTATTGCAGAGTAAGGTGACTATGGTTAAAAGCAAAATATTGTATATTACAAAATAGGTAAAACAGTTGCTTTTGAATGTTCTTACCACAAGGAAATGATAAATGCATGGATGATGAATATACTAACTACTCTGATTAGATCATTATACAACATAGATATGCATCGAAACATCAAACTGTACCTCCATAAATATGTAGTTATGTGTCAAATAAATTTTAAAATAAAAAAGAAAATAATAGCCCTAATACATTTTAACATCAATATTATTTTTTATTAAAAAAACTATATCTTCCAAAACAAAAAATTAGAAGAGTGGCATTGTTTTACATTTTCATAAATTTCTTTAATGTTGGTTTAATAGAAGACAGTGGGATCCTCTTATCTCTTTATGCAGTCAATATATTGTTTTGGTTAAAATATATAAAGACTAGTCTTTCACAAATACATAGTTGGAAAAGCGAGGAGTATTGTGATAGCTTTCTCAGATAATTGGGAGATATTTTTCTTTGATGCTACACCAACACAAGTGGTGGTTAATTACAATGTATACTCTAAAACAGGGGTCCCCAACTCCCGGGCTGCAGAACAGGACTGATCTGTGGCCTGTTAGGAACCACGCTGTACAGCAGGAGGTGAGCGAGTGAGCATTGATGCCTGAGCTCTGCCCTCTGTCAGATCAGCCACGGCATTAGATTCTCATAGGGACGTGAACCCTATTGTGAGCTGCCCATGCCAGGAATCTAGGTTGTGCATGCCTTATGAGAATCTAACTAATGCCTGATGATCTGCAGAACAGTTTTACCCAAAACCATCACCGTCCCCCACACCCCATGCCTCCACCAGTCTGTGGAAAAATTGTCTTCCACAAAACCAGTCCCTGGTGCCAAAAAGGTTGGAGAACACTGCTCTAAAATATATTAATAGATTTTTCATATTCTGTTACATTGAAATCCTTTGGTCTATCTTATACTTTCAAAGAATCTTCTTATTCATGCATGATTTTGTAACATATCTTTATAAGTCATTTGTAAAATATTGGTGCATTTGTAAAATATTGCTACATTAAGCAGATCTTCCCAATATTGACATACTACATTATATAATAATAGTAAAAATAAATTATTTAATATCACCTTTGATCTTAGAACAGTCTTTAAGTATTGGGAAGCTGTCAGTAATATTACTCATGGTGGCATATAAGTTTTCTAAAATTCTAATTTCTGCTTGAAAGTTTAAATTTTTAATTGGCAACAAATACTCAACGGCTTGACTCTATTTTCAAGAAAATGTCTGCCAAATTACTCAGGTGTGAATAACCATTGTTTGACCATCAGTAATGCTTTGAAGTAAAAAACGGTGTTCTGTGAAAAATCAAGCTAGTTTCTGCCCTCTCTTGGGACTCCAATCATTTATGTTAGACCTTACTGGCCATGTTCTACTGATTTATCATGCTTTTTCTGCATTTTGCATCCTTTTATCTCTCTGTGCTTCATTCTGGATATTTTCCACTGTCCAACCTTTCAGTTCACTATCATTTCTTTATCTGGTCTACTACTGCAAACTCACCAACTGAGTTTCTTGATTTCAGTGATTTTTTGTTTCTAGAATTTCCACTTGATTGTTTTTAACAGATTGCAGTTCTCTGGTGAAAATCTCTACTTCTTATCTACTTCCTGGAACATATTAATCACAATGATTTTAAAGTCCATGTCTGATAATATCAGTATCTGGACCTGTTCCTATTGTCTATTTTTTCTTTTGGTCTTTTGGTAACTCTTATTTCTTGGTATGTATGCTAATTTTTAAATTAACATCAGGCGTATTTAATAAAAAAACGTAGTGAGTGATAACTCATGACTGTTGTTGCTACCCTTCAGAGAGAATATTTTTTCCCCCTGGCAGTTAGGCTAAGGAAGTGGTTCTTAAACTTTCACTTGTATCAGAACCACTTTGAGGGCTTATGCAATACAAATTTCTGAGTACCACACCAACAGAGGTCCTGATTCAGCAGGTCTGGTGTAGGGGTCTGAGAATCTGCATTTCTAATAAGTTCAGATGACACTGCTGGTCTGGGGACCACACTTTAAGAAACAAGAGACTAAGGAAAAGTACCTTAATCCACTTTGATACTGAGCTGGTTGGAAGCTAGGCTTCAGTCTTTTCAAGGGCTGGTCTATTTCTGGTAAGTCCTTAGAATGTAGCCCTTCAGTGGTTCTAAATCAAAGTCTGGGGTATCTGCTAGGCTCTCTTTCTGAACTCCAATCATTCCCTGAGTCCCATGAGACTACCAAAATCTTGTTCAGTTTCTCAGGCTCATAGCCACTGCTTTACTAATCAGCAAATACCTCAAGGGGAAAAGTAGAGCCAAATGTTGGGTTTACCCTTTTAAGGTTTCCTTCTCTCCAGGATCTTGATCCCTCAAGTTCTCACTTGCTTCGTAACTCTCAAGTACCTTCAAAAACTTTTTTCTTATATTTATCCAGCTTTTTCTAGTTATTCTCAGTGGGAGATTTTACATAAACAAAATATGCCACAGACTGAAGCAGAAGTACCCAACCAGGCAATGTTTTTAATACTCATATTTTTTCCCTCAAGGTAAATTAGTAAATTGGAATTCCAATACATGTGTCAATATACTGTAGTTTGGTAGGTTTGCATATTTCCTTAATATATTCCTCTCCTCTGAGTGAACTAAAAAAATTAAGTCCCAAAACTAAAGCTGTAGTCCAGATACTGGAATTGGTGAGAACTAACTTCCCATGAAGTTCTGTCTAGATTACCAGCAAACCTACTCATATGTTATTTCTACCTGCAAAACATACAGTATCACTATTTTACTGAATTCTTGATCTTTATCTCTTCTTTGCATACAGTACAGAAGGCACAGTGAAAGAAAAAGGGCTCAAGCTCCCTTATCCTACTGTCTACTCTAGAGAGTTTTTTTGAATGAGAGAAACAGAGCTCATAAAAACCTGGTAGGTAAGATCAGGAATATTTTACTTGACTTGGAATCTTAAATATTTGAAATCACACATGTGAAATCACATTACTTTTTTGCCAGGGGGAAAAAACAGGCAAAAATATGAAAATAAAAATCAACTAAAATTCTACCACATGGAGATAATCTCATTTTTATTTTACTGCATATAAGTCCAGATTGTATGTAAATATATAGTATACAAACTATATATAGTTTTTTATAAACCATAAAACTATAAAAACTATATACTATGAATATCACACATATTACTCTGTAGCCTGTGTCAATATATGAGAGTTTTATTATTTAAGAAAAAATATATAAAAACAAAACCCATAAATTCCAGTACTTGAACTGTAAATGTTTTTGAAGGAACATTTTCATTTATTTTTCTTTATCTCAGATGGGCATTCGAAAGATCAGAGAAGTAACGTGCCTAACTTATAGCTGCGTTGAGGACATACTATACTACGTTTTCATTAGAGACTAAGTCCTTCTGTAACACTTTCTAAAATCTAGACCAGCTGGTCAGCAAACTATGACCTTGGGCCAAATCTGGCCTGCAACATTTTTGTAAATAAAGTTTTATTGGAATCACAGAGAAGAGTTTAGTAACTGCAACAGAGACAACATGGCCTGCAAAGGCCAAAATAATCACTATCTGACCCTTTATAGAAAAATATTGCTGACCCCTATGTAGAGCAAGCCCTCACTCCAAACTCCTTGATTTTTCTGAGAAGCATTGCAGCCATCCATGAATCTGAATGCTACAGGATTCTTCATTGCTATTCAAAGAAGACAGATATAGTCTCACAAAACAGAAATAAAAATAATGGAAGCCATGGCTTCTCATCTATCCCCTTGCCTCCTGCATCTGGAAAAAACTAGGCTAACACTCACAGTTTAGTAGCATGGGAAGGAATTCAGATGCCAAAGTCCTCTTATTACCATCTCTATCTATTATGTTTCCTAGAGGGCAGGAAGAATTTTTCTTTGTATTTGTTATGATATTGAGATTACACAATCAGTGGCATTCAAATAATTGATTACAGAGAATTAAGCATGACTTCACAGATATACTTTGTACTTTGTCTCTAAAGTTTATACTGCCCCTTCGCACACTATAAATGGACAAATTCTGCCTCAAGAAGTTGTTTTGGGAGAATTGCTTGAGCCCAGGAAGTCAAGGCTGCAGTGAGCCATCACTGCACCACTGCACTGTAGCCCAGGGTGACAGAGTGAGAGACTGTTTCAAAAAAAAAAAAAGAAAAGAAAAGAAAAAGAAAAAGGAAGTTGTGCAAAACATCCAGCAAATCACCAGTGAATATTTTAAAAGTCACAATAAATGATGATAAAAGACCTAAACTATACCTTTTATACAGGTATAGTGTAGTGATAAAGTACCCTGGCATAAAAATCATACTGCCTGGTTTTGTACCATGGCTTCTCAACTTACTTGGTAGGTGATTGTGGATAAATTATTTAAGCACTCTATACCCAAGTTTCTTATACAATGAAGATATGAGCAGTTGTAATAGATATATACAGATATATTAATAGAGTTGTGAAGATAAAATGCAAACCCATGTAAGGCACTTAGAATAAAACCTGGCACACGTTTGCTGCTACTACCATGACCAGAACTACTATCATCATGACCAATACTCTTACTACTACATTATTTTCATTGTCATATTAAAAGCTCATCAGTAATAATTTGGAAAATAAAGAAAGGATAGGTGTGCTACAATATTCATCACATCTAAATCAAAGAGTTCCCCTTAATTATTTTTACCAGGTATGGCTAACTCATTTGGAAGAGGACTTAATTCCCTTGAAATATTCTCCATGAAGCTTCATAGGGTTACCTAAGTAAAATAAAACTACTCCAAGTAGATGAATGAAAAAAGAAATAATCATAATTTCCAAGGAGAGAACAACGCTGCTTTCTCTAGAATGATAACAAAATAAATTTTGTCTGGAATCCAATGGGAAATTGGGTTTTGAAGTAGCTTTAGAGTCCTATACCTCAAATCTGTTGAGGAGAGAATGGTATTTAAACATGTTCACTCCAAACAGGAAAGGAACTAAGTTGAGTATATAGCTTTTATAGATGTCTCTTATAGTATATGTCTTACTAAAAATTTTTTTTTTTTGAGACAGAGTCTTGCTCCGTCTCCAAGGCTGGAGTGCAGTGGCGTGATCTCAGCTCACTGCAACCTCTGCCTTCCAGGTTCAAGTGATTCTCCTGCCTCAGCCTCCCGAGTAGCTGGAAATACAGGCATGTGCCACCAGGCCCAGCTAATTTTGGTATTTTTAGTAGAGCGGGTTTTCCACCACATTGGCCAGGCTGGTGTCAAACTCCTGACCTCAAGTGATCCCCTGCCTCAGACTCCCAAAGTGATGGGATTACAGGGTAAGCCACCACAGCCCGGCCATAAAAATTTACTATATTTACATATTATATAGCTTATAATATATAAAAATATAATTAAAGACATACTATATAAATATTTTATAGTATATGTCTAATACTGACCACTGAGGATGCTGTGGTCATTAATTACAGAATATCTAATGGTCTTATAAGATAGTTTATTATTGATTGAACTATGCCCTTTTTTTTTTTTTTTTTGAGACAGAGTCTCACTCTGTTGCCCAAGCTGGAGTGCAGTGGCACAATCTCAGGCTCAATGCAACCTCTGCCTCCTGGGTTCAAGCAATCCTCCCACCTCAGCCTCCCTAGTAGCTGGGACTACAGGCGCATGCCACCACACTCAGCTAGTTTTTGCATTTTTTAATAGAGAAGACGGAGTTTCACCATGTTGGCGAGACTGGTCTCGAACTCCTGACCTCAGGTGATCTGCCCGGCTCAGCCTCTCAAAGTGCTAGGATTACAGGCATGAGCCACGATGCCTGGCCAATGTCCTGTATATTAACATAAGATTACATCCACAAAAGTTCTTCAGACATCCTAAAAACACCTTCTTTAATATCAACCTGGAAGTAAATATGGATAGCTACTGGGGGCGGGGGTAGGGGGACAGACTTAGGGGGATCATGGGAATCACAGACCTATGCCTACAGACTTTATGAATTCAAGATGTCATTTGATCTAATTCTAAGACTTCAGGTAGACACAAAAAATGTATTCTTATTTTACGGATGAGTCAATAAAAGCCTAAGGAGATGCTAAAACACCCAAGGTAACAATGTTATATACCTAAAGGGATTTTAACCATGTTCTCCTGCTTCCGGTATAGTTTTTCTTATATTGCACCACAATGAACACTGTTTCCTCCACTCAGTACCATGGTATTCTAGCTATGTAGATTTATGTAGCAAGACATTTCTTCTGGCAAATCCTGCAATATCGGGAACTAATGGATAACAATGTCTTGCATTAAACTTCTCCTAGCATCCCGACATTTCCCAAAAATCTGTCATAATCAACACTCCATTCTTGGGAAAGTATGATTTTTACATTTCTAGAAATTTCCATCAACATGGTATAAGACTGCCATGAACAAACTATAAACATTAAAAATATCAGGGATAAATTCTTCTTTGGAGGATGCAGTTGACTCTACAGTTGCTAGGACACTATGAGGTAAATTTTAGTTTAAATTTTCCTTGCTGTTCCTAATTGGGAAGGGGAGGCTAATACTATGGTACAATAGAAAGAACAGGCACCTGGATTCTAGTTTTAGCTCTGCCATTAATTACTTGTTTGATCTTAAGTGAATCAATCTCTTGGAACTCTAGTTTCTTCATCTGTAAAACAAAGGGGTAAATCTAAAATTTTAAAGATCCCATTTAGCTTTAAACCATGATGAATCCATATTTATACTGATTCTGAACAAACGGCCTCTAAGTCTGCTCACCAAATGTCTATTCTCAGTCTGGCCAAATACTACATTTCTTTTATTTCATGGGTTACTTTCTTTAATACTGACCAACAGAACTTTGTGTAATAATGGAAATGTTGTATACCTGCACAGCCCAATATGGTTGCCACTAGTCACATGTGGTCACTGAGCAGTTAAAAGAGGAACTAAATTTTAAATTTAATTTTAATTATTTAAATTTGAGTAGCCACACATGGCTACTGATTACCATACTGCACACCACAGCTCTAGAAGTCCTGAGAATTCAATTAAAAGACAATATTATCAAGCCCTCTCCTCAAACCTGAAAACCAGATCCAACTCATAAAACTTAAACTTAACAAAATTTCATCAAAAATGCAATTTGTGGCTGGGCACGGTGGCTCATGCCTGTAATTCCAGCATTTCAGGAGGCCGAGGCGGGCAGATTACCTGAGGCCAGGAGTTTGAGATCATTCTGGCCAACACAGTGAAAGCATGTCTCTACTAAAAACAGAAGAAATTGCATAGTGGCCTACACCTGTAATCCTAGCTACCGGGGAGGCTGAGGCATGAGATTCACTTGAACCTGGGAAGCAGAGGTTGCAGTGAGATCGCACCACTGCACTCCGGCCTGGGCGACAAGAGTGGGACTCTGTCTCAAAAAAAAAAAAAATGCAATTTGTTAGTCAGCTAAGTTTAAAAGCAATTGATTCCATTTTCTTCTCAAAGTTCTCATTTTTCTCCTATGCTTCATGGAGGTGGTATTAGAGTAATCTTACATTTTTATATGTGGTACTTTAAATAGTGCCATATAGTGCTGGGGTTCCCACCTTTACAACAGTTCTATAGATATAGCAAATAGGAGTAAGCCCACAGATACAGCACACTTTAGAGCTACTTTTTCCCAATTGCAGCATTTATACTCTGCTGTCTCTGTACACCTTTCCCTGTACCACCCTACTTTCCCTCTGCCCCCTTTGACAAAGAGCGCTCCAAGAAAACAGGCTGTTACCTCCTCGAGCAGGCCTGCATAACAGAACGAAGGTCAAGAGATGCGTGGAAACGAATAGCCAGAAAGGTAAGTGGCTGCTGGGAAAGACTGCAGTCTCAGCACCCGGTCTCCCTTGGACACTGGAAAAGGCTTGCACTGCCACTGCTATACAGCAAGCCAGAGGCAAAGCTTGCAATTTGCTAAGGAGCTGCTACTAAGGAGGAGGAGAAGGAAGGGGAGGAGAAAAGGGAAAGAAGGCAAAATCTTGGGCCTCGGCAGAGCCAATGCTGCTAATAGTTCCCAAAATAACATTCAATTAGATACATGTTTTATACACTGTACCAAACCAATCAATACTACTTCTCATTTGACAGGGAGGGGAGAGAGAGAAATTATTCCTCATGTGAAAGAAGACAGAGCAAAGAGAGATGCAGCATTCTCATTCTGGATCCTATTTCATCTGCCCTTGAGCTACCCTAGTTGCTGCATCCATCCAACTGAGCTGTAAATACTGCCTCACTTGAGGCTCAGGCATAGCCAGCTGGCAAATGCCAACAGCTGTGAAGAGACAGATAGATAAAAAAGGAACACCTGACACACAGAAATGCAGGAACAAATTTCATATCTGCTATAAATGGGATAAACCTAGATAGATAAAGAGTTTACATACCACTCAATTTGATAAGCTAGCTACAGATCAGGAAGATTTCCAGGTCTAATATGTGTCACATATCAAAATATGATCTGATTTCATAGTTTAGGACAATTGCATTCAAATGCTCATGTGCCATTTTTGGCCTCTCTAATCTGACACTGAGATCAGAGCTCATGTTTAAGCAACGAATCAAAGCTACAATTCCATTAAGAATTTTTTAAGAAAGAATTTCCCTCAGCCAAACTAAGCATTTCTTAAATCTAGACCTATAATTAACTGGCCCCAAATGTCAAGAGTGCTGAGTTTGCAGGGGGTGAAGTCAGCAAATTTTGTCTGTAAAGGGCCAAACAGTAAATCTTTCAGGTTTTGCAGGCCTACTCAACAGCTCTGTTGTGAGGCCAAAGCAGTCACAGACAACACATAAATGAATGGGCAAGGCTGTGTGACTACTGCTTGCTGTGCTACACCAGCAGAAGGGAGCAGCTGCAACAGAAACCATGTGGCTTGAAAAGTCTAAAATATTTATTATCTGGTCCTTTGCAGAAAACATTTGCTGATCCCTGCTCTAGACGCTAAGTTATATATCACCAAGCTATGGCTCAGAGAAGTCCTTTTGCTTTAGAGAAAGTGTGAGTCTGGTGTTTCTGTGACCTACCTTAGATAACTACTATATCATCTTGAATTCTTTTCCATGTGAACATTTGTTCCATTAAAAACATGCCAGCCTCAGTGCCAAAGCCACTTGCACAATGACAATGCTTTTACTTATGTAGGTCACTCTACAGTTAATTCACTGGTCAGAACAAGTGTTACTGATGGTAAGAATGGCAGATTCAAGCACCAACAAGGCCAGTGAGTGCTGCTTTATTTCACACACATCAGCTATACCAGCTGGACCTGGCCAACTGTCTCAAATATTTATCATTTACTACAAAGTAGACCAAGACAAATTCAGCACCACCACTAATTTTTTTTAATAAGATAGCCCAAGAAACTAAACACACAAAATGTATATGGAAATAACCTATATATCAAACAATAAGGGGAATGGTTAAATAAAGAAAGTTCATATGATAAAATATTATAGACATTAAAAGACAAACTAAAAAGTACCATATATATGTAAGTTCCAAAATATTCATATCTGGAATATATAAAAAACTTTTACCCATTTTTTTAAAAAGAACCAACCTAATGACAACAACAAAATCAACAAAATACATAATCAGGAAATTCACAAAAAAGGAAACCAGAAAAGCATATAAACATAAGAGAAAATGTTGTTTCACTAGTAATAAAAAAAATGCAAATTAAAATGAGAAATGATTTCATCTTCCTTAGATTACCAAAAAAGCAGCAACAAAAAAAAAAAAAACAAAAACATTTTAAGTCTAACCTAGTTGTAAAGAATTAGAAACTCACATACATTGCTGGTGAGAGTGAAGAGGAGAGCAATCAGGCAGTGTCCAGTGAGATGCACTTACCCTATAGACCCAGAAATTCCATTTGGAAATAAATACTGTTGAGAAACTCTTGCACGTTTGTGTCAAGAAACATGAACAAGAATGTAAACAGCAGCATCATTAGTATTAGGGGAAGAAAAAAAAAGACCTAAACACCTAAATGTCCATCAGCACAGGAAAAAAACAAAAACAAACTGTGGTATAATGGTACAATGGACTAAACTAAGCATTTAGAGTGAACAGACAGAATGCTAAGTGACAAGAGCAAGTTTCAGAATGATGTGTGCAGGTTATACCATTTATATAAAGTATTAAAACATGTAAAAGAATTATATAAGTATGCAAATGAAAAATAATAGTAATAAAAATTTGAGAATGATAAATAGCAAATTCAGGATAGTGATTAATTTTAGGGAGAGAGTCAAGAGATGAGACTGAGGAGAGATACACAGGAGCTTAGCTATATTTTATTCTTAATAACTGAAGCAAATATGGCAAAATATTGGGATTTGATCAGACCAGAAGATGGAGAGATTGGGTGTTTGTGATATTTAGTAACTTTTTGTTTTCATTTTTTTTTTTTTTTTGAGATGAGGTCTTGCTCTGCCACCCAGGCTGGAGTACAGCTGGCATGATCATAGCTCACTACAGCCTCAAGTGGGCTCAAGTGATCCTCCCACATCAGCCACTTGAGAAGCTGGGATTACAGGCACAGGCTCCCATGCCTGGCTAAATTTTTTTTTTCTTTATAATTCTCTGTAGAGATGAGGTCTCACTATGTTGCCCAGGCTTGTCTCCAACTCCTGAGTGCAAGTGATCCTCCCACCTCTGCCTCCCAAAGTGCTAGTATTACAGGCATAAGCCACTGCACCTGGCCAATAATCTTTTAAAAGAAAAAGCCATACACAGCATGATCTCAAAATAAATAAAATATATAAAGATGTTAGCAGTGATATTGCTGATGGTAAGAATACGGGCAATTTTTATTTTCTATTTAAAATACAGTTATTGTGGGAAATTTTGTAAACTTTTTAAAAGGTTAGAAACTTTTAACTTTGAAAAATGATCATTAATATTTAAAGGACTGTTCCAAACAGTAAGATATACATAAAAGAGATGTATTTGTATTTCACACTTTTTTTTATTACCATAGTTCAAAGTGATATAGAAAGCACAGGTACTCCTCAGTATATGCTAAATACTAAAGGAAGCTAAATATGCCAGAAAAAAATTGGTCGGCCATAGGGGGCAAAGAGACAGAATAGAGGTCGGATGTGGTAGAAAAAGGAGTTCTAGCTTGCATAAGTAGGCAATCAGGAAAAGACCTGTGTTAGCATAGGTGGACTCTCTGTATTACGACCAGTAGATTCACAGACTCGCCTACTCTCACCAACTCCTAGAAATCGGTCTCCAGCTCCTGTAATCACTAGGATGGCCTCCAATGGGGGAAAAGGGTGGTATCTGGGGAAGCAGAAAAGCTCTTAGACCTGTGGTTCTTAACCTTTATTGAAATCTAACCCATCTTTAACAATCAGATAAGAAATGCAATCTCCTACCCCTAAAAAAGCACTTACGTATACACAAAATTTGGCTAGCAATTTCAGGGATTTCTGAACTTTCCATTAGCTCAGATTATGAAGGAAAGGATCTAGAAAGAAAGAACTCCCTAAAAGACCTAAATTCGATTTATCTTCAGAGAAAGCCTCTAAAATAAGTCCATTATTTTCACTTTCCAATTACCCTACTTTGCAGATGAATCCAATTCCTTTAAGACTCAGTGGCATATTTTTTTTTCTTTTTTGAGTCAGGTTTCCTGAGGTAAGTTTACATATGGTAAAATTTGTCCTTTTTAGCAAATAGGTCTGTGAGTTCAAGTTTTGACAAATGCATAAAGTCTCTGTCACTGTAATCAAGATACAGAACAATTCTGTCACCCTCCAAAACTCACTCATGCTACTTGGTAGTCACCCCAGTCCTAGCCTAAGGAAAATTTTTTTTAACTTTTATTTTTTATTTATTTATATAGGTAAACTCATGTCACAGAGTTTGTTGTGCAGATTATTTCATCAGCCAGGTACTAAGCCTACTACCCAATAGTTATTTTTAAAACTCACTGTTGAAGAAACACATTGACATTTTCTCACACTAGAAAGTAATATATAAACCAACAACTGCCTTAGCTCATTAAGTCAGATGTTGGCCACTATACTAAACTGTAGATTATAACAAAAAAAGTGCTATTCTACCCACAACTAACCACCATTCTCGAAGTTCTAGGAAGGTAGGGACTACTCTTCATCATTACATCATTAAAATTTAGCATTGTGCCTACCCTTTATTTGGTACTCTAAAACAATTATTGAACTGAATTAAGGTTATGGATGAAATTCAGAATCTGAGCTATTCAGTTTTGTTTTAGAGTTGACCCTAATTCTCTACATATTTATTTACCATTTTTAAAGTTTGGTCAACAGTGTATTGGTTCATGCGCTCATTTTGTTCATTCTATTCAACCAGTTTCCCATTTTACCTTTCTTTTCTTTTTTTTGAGACAGAGTCTTGCTCTGTCACCCAGGCTGGAGTGCAGTGATCACTGCAACCTCTGCCTCCTGGGTCTAAACGACTCAGCCTCTCAAGTAGCTAGGACTACAGGCAGGCACCACCATGCCTGGCTAATTTTTTGTATTTTTAGTACAGACGGGATTTCACCATGTTGGCGAGGCTGGTTTCGAACTCCTGACCTCAGGTGATCCGCCCGCCTCAGCCTCCCAAAGTGCTGGGATTACAGGCATGAGCCACCATCCCCAGCCACCACTTTACCCTTCTTTACCTATTCCAAATCTCTGTTCTGAAGCAAGATCTTGTAAGGGAGTTGGACATATTAAGTACTGATAATTAAAATTTAAGACAAAAATTGCCACAAAGAGATAGCTCTGGAGAGGAAATCTGAGGAGTATCAGGAATAAAATATTGCAAGGGGATGATCTGGGCAGAATCTAAAGAGAATAAGAGACTTCCTAGAAAACAACTGGCTAGCCATATGTAGAAAGCTGAAATTGGATCCCTTCCTTACACCTTATACAAAAATTAATTCAACATGGATTAAAGACTTACATGTTAGACCTAAAACCATAAAAACCCTAGAAGAAAACCAAGGTAATACCATTCAGGACATAGGCATGGGCGAGGACTTTATGACTAAAACACCAAAAGCAATGGCAACAAAAGCCAAAATTGACAAATGGGATCTAATTAAACTAAAGAGCTTCCGCACAGCAAAATAAACCACTGTCAGAGTGAATAGGCAACCTACAGAATGGGAGAAAAGTTCTGCAACGTACTCATCTGACAAAGGGCTAATATCCAGAATCTACAATGAACTCAAACAAAAATTACAAGAAAAAAACAAACAACCCCATCAAAAAGTGGGTGAAGTATATGAACAGACACTTCTCAAAAGAAGACACTTGGCCAGGTGCGGTGGCTCACGCCTGTAATCCCAGCACTTTGGGAGGCCGAGGCGGGCGGATCACGAGGTCAGGAGATCGAGACCATCCCGGCTAAAAACGGTGAAACCCCGTCTCTACTAAAAATACAAAAAATTAGCCGGGAGTAGTGGCGGGCGCCTGTAGTCCCAGCTACTTGGGAGGCTGAGGCAGGAGAATGGCGTGAACCCGGGAGGCGGAGCTTGCAGTGAGCCGAGATCCCGCCACTGCACTCCAGCCTGGGCGACAGAGCGAGACTCTGTCTCAAAAAAAAAAAAAAAAAAAAAGAAGACACTTATGCAGCCAAAAAACACATGAAAAAATGCTCACCATCACTGGCCATCAGAGAAATGCAAATCAAAACCACAATGAGATACCATCTCACACCAGTTAGAATGGCGATCATTAAAAAGTCAGGAAACAACAGGTGCTGGAGAGGATGTGGAGAAATAAGAACACTTTTACACTGTTGGTGGGACTGTAAACTAGTTCAGCCATTGTGGAAGTCGGTGTGGTGATTCCTCAGGGATCTAGAACTGGAAATACCATTTGACCCAGCCATTGCATTACTGGGTATATACCCAAAGGATTATAAATCATGCTGCTATAAAGACACATGCACATGTATGTTTATTGCAGCACTATTCACAATAGCAAAGACTTGGAACCAACCCAAATGTCCAACAATGATAGACTGGATTAAAAAAATGTGGTGCATATACACCATAGAATACTATGCAGCCATAAAAAATGATGAGTTCATGTCCTTTGTAGGGACATGTATGAAGCTGGAAATCACCATTCTCAGCAAACTATCGCAAGGGCAAAAAACCACACACCGCATGTTCTCACTCATAGGTGGTAACTGAACAATGAGAACACATGGACACAGGAAGGGGAACATCACACACCGGGGCCTGCTGTGGGGTGGGGGGCGTGGGGAAGGATAGCATTAGGAGATATACCTAATGCTAAATGACGAGTTAATGGGTGCAGCACACCAACATGGCACATGTATACATATGTAACAAACCTGCACGTTCTGCACATGTGCCCTAAAACTTAAAGTATAATAATAAAAAAAAAGAGACATCCTAGAAAACAAGGGAGGACAACATTGCTTGCAGGACCATTCTCAGATTTTAAGCAGGAGACAGTGACTGGATGAGATTTGCATATAAGAAAGATCACTAATGCTGCACTGTAGATGGTGGAATGGTGGGTGGGGCAGGGGAGAGGAAGGCCCAGTTAGGAGGGCCTGAGTTAACAGAAAGAGAGGAGAGGATGGAATTGAAGGATTCTTAAGGAGAATGACAGACAAGAGTTGGTGACAGACTAAATATGAGAGGTAAAGAATGAAAAGCCTTCTAGTTTGATTTCCAGGTTCTCAGTTGGGTGACATGTAAGACAATTAGCAAAGAGATTTCTAAAAAAAAAAGTGAGAACAAAGACTTTCTCTTGCCTTTTTAAGGCTAGAGAAAAGAAAGATTTGGTTTACCTGTTTGCTTATTCCCTCTTTCTAAAGAGGACTTGAGAATTCTTACAGAAATACATGTCTATAACAATACTTCAAATAGATAAATAAAGGAAATAAGAAATAAGGAGATAAAGTAACAGCCAGAAATGGCTATTGTTATGGAGTGCCTACATGAAGTTAGGCACTGTCCTAAGTAAGTCCTTTACATGTAGTACAAGGAACTTCTGCAAAGAAGTTTGAGCTGGAGAGAGAGATCTGAGTGCTAACTGCAGCAATCAGAATGGATGAGATCAGCTAGGGAGAGTCCTAAGGAGAGAAAAGAAGGAAGCCTAAGGAACAATACCTAAGGTGTTTACAGAAAAAAAAGGGCTAAAAAGAACACAAAGAAGGAGCAATCAGAAAAGGTAGAAGTGAGCCAGGAAAGAATAATATCAGAGAGGTTATGGTAGAATAAAAATTTAGGAAGGCAATAGTCAACATTATAAATTACTGCCAGGATTCAAGGTAAAAGATGAAGTGACTAAGGAATTTAGTAATTTGGAAGTTCACAGGGCCCTTTGCCAGAAAAAATTCACTGGATTGGGGGGTGGGGCAGAATTTCTGTTTCAATATGTTGAACAATGAATAGAAGGCCAGGAAATGGATAAAGTGAAATTGGAAGACTGTTTCAAGACTAACAGTGAAGGGAAGAGTGAGATATGGTAACCCTAGAGAGCAGTGCAGGGTCAAATGTGAATCCTATTACGACAGGAAAAATAAACAACTGTCAAGGACAAATGAAATCATGGTGCAGGTGTATTTTTGTAATAGATAGAACTAAACTTGCAGTTTTGCTTCCCAATGTTTATGCATTTTGTATGCTAAGTGTTCTATTAAACACTGTCAATTTCATTATAAAGAAATTTAGTTCTCAAAGGATTCTTGAGCTATTACTATATTTTATTCACATGTCAATGATTAATGAGCCATTTTCAGCACAAGTGTGCAAGGACTGTGAATCATACTCTAGTTCCCTTTATCAGGTTAGAAGACTAGATTTCCTTAGAAAAAATAAATTTAAAAGCTAGGTCAGTATACTATCCAGTATTATCTAAGAGACTCTGAGGAAGAGGAAGAAAAATCACTGTTTAAAGAAGAATCAGAAACAAGCCTTCAGGTAATAGCTGTCAGCCAATTCCATTTTTAAAAATACTTCTTAAAATAGAAATATACCTTCCCAAGGCTCTGGAACTCTCCCAAAGATAAGTTTCTTATATTCAGCAACCTCAGCCAACCCTGGACAGCCAGATGACCCATAAGACAACCTCTCATTTGGTTCTCAAAACAAAAATAAAAACAAAAAAACCCTATTTCCCATCTAGATTTCAGAGAGGCTAGCAAGTTTTCAATTTGCTTTACTTTCAGAAGTGATATTTCCCTACACAAAGACTCATTTCCTAGAAGTTCTACTTCCCCTTCAAATAAATATCAAGAGATTCTAACCATTGTGCTTATATTGCCAAGCTCATGGTATACAAATATCCAGTGAAGACTGACCCCTTGGACACATTTTCTTGGAGGTGTAGAAGAGCAAGCATGGGCCTCAAAGTCCAAAAGACCTGGTTTTGAATTCTGGCTTTTCACTACAAATTCTGTGACTGTGGACAGATTCCTTAACCTAGCTGAGCCTCAGTGCATTCTCTTACGTGAATTAAGAAAAGAATATTACTTATCTGACAAAGTTACAAAGATTAAATGCATCTAGCAGGGTACTTGGCTTATAGTAAGTTTTCAAAAACATTAATTCTCTTACAGCATTTAAACCTTTCATATACTTAAAGGCCAACTCAATCTCCTCTGGCTCCATGAAGCCCCTTCTGACTACTCCATCCTATACCATTCATCTTCTCTGAACTCTTAATATACCTACCTAAACACAATTTTGCTCTCAAGGACATATTATTCCTTAATACACACTCATGCCTAACTATGTGTACATTTGATGTCTTGGATCATGAGAGCACTTGGGCATGTCCCTTTTTTATGATACTCACAGTTTTTAACACAATATTGAGCACATAACTAAGGCAGTCACTGATGACTTAGAATGCTATTATTTTATAATCTAATATTCCCTATAGATCTCCTAACTCCACCAATTAGCTGAGTAAGAAACTGAACAAGAGAAGTTAAATGGCTTGCCTGAGAAGGCATAAATTGTGGGCTTAGCTGGAGAGTAAACTAGGTATCCTCTCTTGCAATCCAGGGAGCTTTATACCTTGTACCTGTTGCTCTTGTGTGAAGAAGTGCCAGGGTGAATGTGCACAAAGGGCCTTCATGTGCCAAAAAAAAATCTGCATTCCCTATACTAAAACACTTAAATGGAATGGGATAGAAAGGCTCATCTGCGAACTCATCCAAACACAAAACGGTCTTTGCTAGCTTCATACTCAAGTAGATCAATAGACATTCTTCTGCTGCCATCTTATGGGCATAGAAGATCACTACACATGGGCTTATTTTCATTTTAGAAATAATTTTATTCAATAAACATTTACCCATCATCTACTATGTATTAGGCTCTGTGAAGAAAACTCAATTAAAAGCACCCCCAAGAAGCTCAGAATGTAGTAATGAAAAGCAACAACATACCACTTAATAAATTAGTAAACCAATCCTAAGACAGTGTTACAAAAAAAGAACACTGAAGACAGAATACTAGTTTTAGCCTGGGGCTCGGGTGTAGCAAGGTAGTCAGTAGTGGGTTTTAATTTGCAGGAGTTCTTTTTTTTTTTTTTTTTTTGAGACGGAGTCTCGCTCTGTCGCCCAGGCTGGACTGCAGTGGCGGGATCTCGGCTCACTGCAAGCTCCGCCTCCCGGGTTCACGCCATTCTCCTGCCTCAGCCTCCCAAGTAGCTGGGACTACAGGCGCCCGCCACTACGCCCGGCTAATTTTTTGTATTTTTAGTAGAGACGGGGTTTCACCGTTTTAGCCGGGATGGTCTCGATCTCCTGACCTCGTGATCCGCCCGCCTCGGCCTCCCAAAGTGCTGGGATTACAGGCGTGAGCCACCGCGCCCGGCCTAATTTGCGGGAGTTCTTACAGTATGAATACAATTTTGTTAAGCAGAGAAGGTGAGAAAAAACTATTCCAGAAAGAAGGTCACACATGGACAAAGGAAGAGGGTCATGAAAGTAAAATGTACAGGAAATAGGCCTAATCTTTCTACCTGAGTAAAGTGATGCAATTACCAGGAAGAAGAGTTGAGAGAAAGGGATAAGAAAAATAGAGAGAAAAGTATAGTCCTGGGTAGGCTGAATTCAGAGTTTGGTGAGTGCTCTCTCTACAGAACTAAAATGACTAACAATCAGCAGGATTTTCTATATTGCCTGATTCAGCATGTGTTTGTATTCTGTCCAGAAATTGGTCCTCTGAACAAGATCAACTGGGAAACTTCTCATCTTATATACATGGAAAAACATTAACTTCCATTAATATTCATTCTGATTGTAGAGTGTGTAGTAAGTAAATAACTTTTACCCATACCTGATTGAACTAGTCTCTTCATTTTATAATTTCAAAGGCCAACTCAAGTTGCAATCTGCCCCTTCACCTACGTAAATGAGCTTCTTTCTGTAATTGCCCTAAATATCCAACAATACTTTTTTCTGTTTTACTTATTTAAAACATATATAATATTTAAGGCAAACAAAAAAGATATAAAGAATAATAAACCATCACCTATGTCTTACTATCCAAGTTAAGAATAACAGTGCCAATTCCAGTTTCTTCTTTAAAGAAGAAGCATGTTTCTACTTCTTGAAACTCTTAATTGTCCTCTGCTACCCTAATCTTTTGGGTCTGATGTTTATAAGTCAGTGCACATGTTTAAATTCAATAGGAATGTGAAGAAACACTAGAGAAGTTCCATACTGGTTATATCTTATTCTTACCACTTGCCTTCTCCCACTTCTCCAACCATACCACCAAATCAAAGTATGCAACCAAGCCAGTTTCCCAAAGAAACATGCATCTAGGACATTAAAGCCATCAAACAAAGAAATTTTACCTGCTGCTTCTGACATTCCAGGCCCAGCACTTGCTGATGTCTCAATTCAGCACACTGGAGTTAGCCTCCAAACACATAGAGCGCTAACAAACTATGGCAGAGGCTTGTCTCAATTCCCCAGAATGCCCAGATCAACTTCCTGTGCCTGATTCCATAAAACCAGGAATAGCAAGGAACTCTATTGCCAGATCAAATCATTCCAGGAGAGCAGGTCAAGCTACCTCAGACACACCTTGCCACACACCTGTGCAGCAACTTTCCCAGAAGCCCAATTTTCAACAAACAGGTGGCCACTCCTCTGACTGTCCTTCTCTAAACACTGGAGCTCATTTTATGAGATTGTACCAGCAACTGTCCTTTTCTAACATGGGAAAATCAACTGATAAAAGAGAAGGGAGGGTTGAATGAGGGCTGAAAATTTTGTTCCCTCCTACATGTCACCAATATTCACAGCTCTGAAAAATGAACCACTTTATCAGAAGGAGATTAACCGCAAAAACATGGCTGATAAGCGCTTTTAGTAGCACGTGTTGGGTGACTGTCTTCGCTGTGAAGCAGCTGGGAACTGGGATAGAACTACCAGAGGTTCTGCTACATAAAGAAATGGATTCTTGTCCTTTCATCTAAATGCAGGTGTCCTGAGGGGGAGGGGGAAACACTTTAAGCTTCCACTTCTGAACTGTTAAGTGGTGGGCTGAGAAACGCATGACAAATGCCCTTGTCTCTGAAAATGAAGTGAGATGGTGTTGGCAACAGCCGTGTTTAGCAACAGAAATACTGAAAAAAGAAAATAGACTCTTTTATTCAAGGCTCTAAATCTCATTATTTTAACTCTTAGTAGACACTATCCAGGCCTCCCTTCCCAGAACTGTTTGGTAGAGATAAACAGTACTAATGTTATTTTTAAACAGCTTTATCGAGACATAATTCACATGCCCATTAGGTGTACCATTTAAAGATTTTTAGTATATTCAGATTTATGCAATCGTCACTATAACCAATTTTAAAACATGCTCACCCTAGTATCAAAAATATCCACTACTGCATAGTATGGAATGTTCTTGTTTGCAAAACAACAGAAATTGACCTCACTAACTTAGGCAGGAAAGGAATCTGTGGGAGGGAATTACTAATATTTTTAGCATAAAGAATATCACCAGGATAGGAGGCCAAGGCTCAAACTTGCCAGCAAGGGTCAACTGCTACCATTATTACATTCAGCTCACTAGCTCTTGCCTCAAATAAATGTTCAAATGCTTAGATTCCTGGACACTGCTTGGTGAGGGGAGAAAAGGCATAAGAAGGTACCTGTGTATGGCTGCCACTTACTATGTCAGCACAATGGAGATTTTCCCTTAGGGCTGCAGAAAATAATGTATAACATTATAAATAATTGGTAAGGAGATCAGAGGCAGGATAAGTGAGCTTAAATTTAAAAATTAAGTCTCCTAAACTTGAGATATGGAATCCCTATAGCATGTAGGGTTTAAAAATTAAATAAAACATCCCTAAAATCTAAAATGGTATTAATATTTAGCATTTTAGGGTGGAACTTATTTCCAAATGTATTAGCTCTGGAGAAGCTAGGAATGGATCTTAATGAAAGTCAAAAAAGCATTTTCCTGGTAATGACATAAATAATTGTCATATATATCTCTAAATTGTTTTGTAGTTTGCAAAGTACTTTCACATAGTCTGTCTCATTTGATCTTCACAATAGCTCCATGAGATAGATTTGGGAAAATCTAGGTTACTCGTAAATCATTTCTAATCCTCATATACATGCAAACAAGGTAAGCATTATCTCTTTTTTACATATGAGGAAAGAGTCAGAAACGGAACTTGATTTATTTAACCAAAATCACACATATAAGAGGCTGAACTGGACTATTCTTTTTTTTTTTTTTTAAAGAGATGGGGATCTCACTATATTGCCCAGGCTGGTCTCACACTCCTGGCATCAAGTGATCCTCCTGCCTCAGCCTCTCAAGTAGCTGGGATTACAGGTGTCAGCCACCATGCCCCATTTGAACTGGAACTCTTAAATCAATCCTGTGAATTTTCGACTAAGTCTAGCCATTCGCAGTTATCTAGGGGTAGCCTCATCTCTCAGGTAGCAACATATCATCACTATTATTTCAAAGAGATATATTCTGAAAAAAAATTACGTAGAGGTGCCATATGACACTGAAAGCAGTTTGTTTGTAAGGCATATTCAGCCTGGTGAAGGCTCTTGTCATTTTGCTACCTAAGGATCAGGGCCAAAGCACTAAAAGAATCACCTTTTTTCTTTCTGTTCCAGAATTGTTCAGAGTCCCACAGCATAATCCTAATTCTATAAGCAATCCAGAGACCTCCAGAATGGTAATATAGTAGAAAATGTACCCACTGCTACATATGTTTCACTCTCTTCTTGTTCAATATTCACACTTAGGAAGAGAGAGCTTATTTCTATCAGTAGAGAAAAAACTTGGTAGTGGCAGCATGGCCACAGACTTTTAGATAAACTAATCACTTTAGAACAAAAATGGAGAAAGATTGGAGTCATTTGTGGAACCTCTTTTCTAGAGTACCTTTTTGAATTGACAACAGACAGTCTTTAGCTTGGACACAGGGGAACAAATCAAATGACTTTTAAAAACTATAACTCAGAGTTTAAATTCTTGATTTAAATTTTGAACATTCCAAAGATGATGCCAAATTAATCTGCTGACAGCTTCACATTAGTAGGTATAATTACCTAGCTTATAAAGACCCCAAGGGACTGAAGAAGGTCCATAAGTGTGGTATGTATGACTCAGCCAGTACTCACTGTATCTTGACCAAGAAAAGCAGAGTCATATGTAATGTGAGCTATTTGGGAAAGATAATTTTAGCTTATTGTGGAGAAAAACTATTTTTAACCATTTCTACAAAGAAAAGAAAGAGCACCATTAAAAAAGAGGTAAAATTCAGGGTTGGGTGAGAGAGAAAAAGCTAAAGGAAAAACAAAAGAATCAAAGGCAGACACTATTAGACTTTAATATTAGCGATGGGAATTGTTTACATTTTGTTGCTAAGGAAAACTTGGAGCTTTGGAAAATGAACCCAACCACCACCCTATTGTGACAGCTGCTGCCTGGCCCTGGTATTTCTGCAGAGCTATCTGCCAACAGCTTGCCACCTGCCATTTCTATCCTGTCAAATCAGTCCCTTTAAAATCAGATGACCTTGTTGGTTTCTATAGTTCTCACAAGCAATCCAAAGACTGAATGGCAGTTATCAGAAAGCCCTAAAGATAGACTGTTGCATTCTGAGCTGTGGACTGGCCCCTGAGTCAAAACCTTTATTCTGAACGGATAATACTTAAATTCAATAGAAGAAATGGTCAGTGAATTCAATGAGGAGGAAAAGAAGGCCTAAGTGATGGTCTCTAGTGTGCCTCTGACTCAGAGTGTCATATTAAGCAAAGACTCTATGCTCTTAGGGCCTCAGCATTCCCATTTGTAAAATAGGGAGCGTATGTTCTATTCCTTTCTATCTTATAAAGAGAATACATTTAAGCACACTTGAGCTTTTCAGAGGGGAAAAAAAGGAACTTCACAAATCCAAGATTATGCCCTTCTCAAAAAGGAATAAAGTGTTTCAGAAGTTCTGTACTATGTATGCAAAACCATAAATTATCTAGAATCCTGCAAACCTTGAATCTCTGTTATATTTACTCTTCAACGATCACGGCCTTCTTCACAGACTTACATTATAATAAAGACTGTTGTCCCTATAATTAATATTCCTTCATGCCCTCCTGCTCCCTCTGCCCCATAATAACAGGAATCCTTTATCATTCTGGAACTTTGGAAAATACACAAAAAATAAAAATAAAAACTATCCATAATACACCCAAAAATCCAATATTAACATTTCCATGTTTATTACTATTTGGCATCATAATGTATTCTTTTATATCTAGCTTTGTTCATTTAGCAACATATCTGTAGTTAAACTGAGTAACAAACTGTTAGCACAAGGGTATAAAGCTGAGACTGATAATTGGCCAATTGGTATGCACATACCCACTTATCCCCTCTTAAGATAAAACATTCTCAGAAAAGGAGAGCCAGCTGTGCAATTTAATGGTAAAACCCACTCCCCAAATGAAGTGCTTTAATTACACTGCAAATGGAGATTATTTCTGAGAGAGAACCTTCTACTACTTTGGTCTTGCTGTGGCCAGTTTTAAAGCCCCATTTATCCCAATGCTCACTAATTGTCTGAATTTGGACCTGTGAACCCAGGCTTCAGGCTTTTATCAAGGTTTCCCAGTAGGAGTCAAAATCCTTCCACAATTAGCTGATTACAGAGAAAGCTGCAGCTTCAAGAGTAGAATTAGCATCCAGCATGCTCTTTCAGAAGTAAAATTTAGCTGTTTTCAAAACATCTGATTTTTTTTCTTTCATTTAATGCTTGTCTAGCCAGAGAAACTAAATGGCTTTAATTCTGTAAAGGCTTAAATGATATGTTTTATTTGATCAAGTCATTCCCCTGCTGGAAATCCCTCAATTGTATTCCATAGCTGTGAGACTAGAAATTCAACTTTCTTAGCATAGTAAAGACAAAAATCTACATGATTTGGTTCCGGCCTACCTCTCTAGCTTGTCAATTTCCAAAGTTTCTCCAGTGGAATACCAGTCTTGGGTTTCTTTGATTAACAAAACAAAACTACTGGATGAACTCAGAAATTTGGAAAATGCTGCAAATTCCCTAACCACTCCCATGTCCCACTCTCCCCACTCCCCAGAGAGGAATGACCCTAAGAAGGCTTTTGAGTGATCCTATTTAATTTTGTTTAATCCATTGTTCCCAAATTCATTTAGCCACAGCATACTTTTTTTTTTCCTTCATCTAAATCTGTTTCCACAAAAGACACTTTCAGAAATGCTAGCCTGGCCTCACCTTCTCCCAGCTTCAGGCATTCTGAACTTGTTTGTTTCTTGAATTTCTCATGTTTCCTCTCAAATACCATCCTCCTATTACTACTTACAGTTAACTTAAAGTTGTCTTTCAAAATTCAACTCCAGTTACCTCCTCTGGTAGGCCTTCCTTGTCACCCTATTAAATCTAATTTAGATTCCCCTCCTCTACACTCTCATAGCAATCTATACATATCTTTACCACAGCACTTAACAATTGTACAATAATATTTGATGTACTTATTTGACTTCCCATAATAGTTATATCCTCAAGGGTAGAAAAAATGTTTTCTTTCTTTTTTTTTTTTTGACACGGAGTCTCGCTCTGTCTCCCAGGCTGGAGTGCAACGGCGCAATCTCAGCTCACTGCAACCTCTGCGTCCCAGGTTCAAGTGATTCTCCTGCCTCGGCCTCCTTAGTAGCTGGGATTACAGGCACGTGCTACCATGCCCAGCTAATTTTTTGTATTTTTTTAGTAGAGATGGTGTGTCGCCATGTTGGTCAGGCTGGTCTTGAACTCCAGACCTCAAGTAGTCCACGCGCCTCGGCCTCCCAAAGTGCTGGGATTACAGGTGTGAGCTGCTGTGCCCGGCCAAAAGAATGTTTTCTTTGGTCTTGTATCCTTAATGTCTCTGTGCCTGGCACATGGCAGTCTCTCAATAAATGGTTGTTAGGTGCTTCATACATGTGGGTTCCCATTTAAACAAGATTCTATATAGATAATACTATTTTGCAAAATCTTATACTTTAAAAACCATTCCTGATTCATTTACCAAACTGTTCCTATACGTGTGTCTATCTTCAATATAGCTGGTCAACTGTAATTCTTGTTACCTATTCCAATAATAGTTTGAGGTGTCTTTCTGCATTTAAAACTTATATTACATGTTAGTCTGCATCTATGAGTTTGTCATAGAACTCTCCCTCATGGTGACCTTCAGTGTTTATGTTTTATGTGAATTCATCTTTGGTTGAAACTGTTTTTACAGTTTACAGTCTTTTACTCTGGATTGCAGCTGTGTTCCTCCAAGGTGGTTTTGAATTTACTTGTGCCAGGGCCCCAGAGTTTCAAGAGTACAGACACAGTTTCTGTATTAAATCCCTGACTTCTGGGATTTCTAAACTATATGAATAGTGAAAATTCCTCACAAGTGAGTCGTCTGCCCTACCCTGACCCTTGTATAGATTTCCTTCCTTGCCACTTCTTTGAGCTATGGCCTAAGTACCTTTTCATGAACCCTTTGAGATTTCTAGCTTGATATAGTTTCTTAGTTACAACTTGCAGCCTTAGTAGGTCCACAGCCATGCTTTCTACACACAGGACATTAAAATCTGAGTGTCCAGACCTTATGGTCTACATATAAGTCTGACACCAACCCTGGGTCACTCAAACTACTCTGGCTTTTGAGTACTCTTCACTTTTGTCATCTGAGAGTTCCCTATTATTCTTCTGAATTCAACTATGAATTTCTGTTTATAATGGGCAAGGGAGCCTTATAAGTTCCATCTACCATGTTGGAATTATCCTCCTAAACCTGTTTTGAAACCACTCACATTTCTTTCTTTCTTTTTTTTTTTTGAGACGGATTCTTGCTCTGTCGCCCAGGCTGGAGTGCACTGGTACAATCTCGGCTCACTGCAACCTCCACTTCCCAGGCTCAAGTGATTTTACTGCCTCAGCCTCCTGAGTAGTTGGGATTACAGGTGTGTGTCACCACTCCTGGCTAATTTTTGTATTTTTATTAGAGATGGGATTTCACTGTGTTGGCCAGGCTGGTCTAGAACTCCTGACCTCAAATGATCCACCCCCCTCAGCCTCCCAAAGTGCTGGGATCACAGACGTGAGTCACTGTGCCTGGCCAAGATAATTCACTTTTCTCTATCTCTTCTACCATTATCTCAGTGCAAGCCACTGTTCTCTCTCATGAGCCTTTCTTCTGCAGTGGTTTCCTTACTGGTCATCTCACATCCATTCTTGTCTATTTTTCCTCATCCAATTCATATGTAAAACTGCAGCCAGAGTTTAAAAGTCAGAACTTTAAAAACTATAGGTCAGGTCATGGTACTTTTTGCTTAAAATCTTCTAGTTGCGTATGACCCAGAAATTCTACTCCTAGGTATATAATCAAGAGAAATGAAACCAGATGTCCACATGAAAACTTCTACACAAATGCTTGTGGTAACATTATTCATAATAACTAAAAGGTGGAAACACCTCAAGTGTCCATTGACTTATGAATGGACAAACAAAATGTGGCATTATCTATATGATGGAATATTATTCACCCATGTAAAGGAATAAAGTACTGATACATGCTATCATATGGATGTACCTTGAAAACATTATATTAAGTAAAAGAAGTCAGTCACAAAAGACTGTATTTTTATTCCATTTATATAAAATGTCCAAAATAAGCAAATCTATAGACAAAAAGTAGATCAGTGGTTGCTTAGGCCTAGGTGGAATGAGGAGATTGTGGGGGATAGTTACAGGGTACAGGCTTTCTCTCTAAGATGATGAAAATGTTCTGTAATTTACTGTGATGATGGCTCCACATATCTGTGAATATACTAAAAACCACTGCACTGTACACTTTAAATGAGTGAATTGTATGGTATGCAAATTCTCTCTCTCTCTCTCTATATATATATATATGTATATAGCTCCTACCCATTCCTCAAGCTTCATCCTAGACCTCTCTCCCTCATTCTCTACTCTTTGTCACAATGTCTTCTCTCAGTTTCTCCAAAAGATCAAGTACCTTTCCACCTCAGTGTCTTTTCAATTGCCAGGCCTTTTGTTTGGAATGCCCACTCCCTTCTCTTCACTTAGCTATTACTTAACCAGCAGATCTCAGGTTGAGCAGTATCACCCCCTCATGAGAGCCTTCTTTCATCCTCCAGGAGAAGGGAAATATTTTTTTTTTCAGAGACAGGGTTGTGCTCTGTGGTCGAGGATAGAGTACAGTGGTGTTATCATAGTTCATGGTAGCCTCAAACTCCGGGGCTCAAGAGCTCTTTCCGTCTCAGGATCTCAAGCAGCTGGAAGCATGTGCCACCACCCAGTTAATTTTATTTTTGTAGACATGGGGTCTTGCTGTGTTGCCCAGGCTGGTCTTGAGCTCCTGGTCTCAAGTGATCCTCCCAACTTGGCCTCCCAAAGTGTCAAGATGACAGGTGTGAGCTACCATACCTGGCCAAGAAGGGAAGTCTTCTGTTGGCAGATTTTCGGTATGACACTGTTAGAACAACTCATACTACTTCTTTATATTACACAAATATAATTATTTACATTTTTCTTTTTCACTAGCATATTTGTTTCACAAGGGCTCACATCATATTTGTCCGGTTCACTGATGTATCACCTGGGCTTCTCATAGCACCTGGAAACAGGTACTTTAAAATATTCGGTAAGTATTTTGAAGATGAATGAATGCTAGAACATATCCAGTGAATAAGTCCAACCAGTCTACATCTAACATCTCCCTACTTACTTATCTTGTGCCATTCCTAAAATTCACTTATTTTGACTGTACTTGATGTACCACATTCAACTCATAATTCACTAATATTTTGATTTAACCCTTTGATTCATAAATCTGGTCTCTGTTACAGGTATTATCTTATTGATTGTAGGTTACAACATTTGCAGAAGGTAGTAAAACTAAGTTTCTCCAAATAACAGTTCATGCAACAAGGTATTTAATAATGCAGTTTGTTAAACAACTTGATTTCCCCCATACTTTCTGGGATCATGCTCTTAATGATGAATTTAACTCATTTTACTTCTTTCAGCTCAGAAAGATTTTTTAAAGAGAGTTTTTGTCAGCTAAAGATTACTTTTGCATTTAGTTTCTAGGTAAAACTAATAGTATCTAAATTACATTTGAGCTATTAAGTATAGAAGCATTTACTATTCATGATTGATTTATTACTATTTCCTTGGCTGGAAACCAATTTTAAAAAGACAGTTATTGGCTCTGAAACCTGTTAGCCCAGAAATTAGTTTTCTTCCATTTTATGTAAAGAAATGAAAAAAAAAAAAGAAAAAGAAAAAAGAAAGGAAGGAAAAGAAAAGAAGAAGAAAAACACTATTTTCCAACTCAACATCTCCCTTAACTTCTTTCTTAAAATGTGTCTTTATAAAAAAAAAAGTCTTTATAATAGACACATTAGAGCTGTCCTTATAATAAGCAAACATAAAAAGTTCAATTTGTATTGTATCTTGCATCTTGTTTAATTTGTATTGTGTCTTTTATACTTACTACACATACATACATACTCACGTGGGACCTGATGGCTTCACTGCTGAATTTTACCAAACACTTAAAGAAGAATTAATACCAATCTTACTCAAACTATTCTGAAAAACAGAAAAGGAAGGAATACTTCCAAACTTATCTGATGAGGCCAACATTACCTTGATACCAAATCAGACAAAGACACATCAAAAAAAGAAAACTACAGGCCAATACTAGCAAATCAAGTTCTATAACACATTAAAAAGATAATTCTTCATGACCAAGTGGGATTTATCCCAGGGATGCAAGGATGGTTCAAAGATACACAAGTCAATCAATGTGATATATCATATTGACAGAATGAAAGATAAAAACACTATGATCATTTCAATTGATGCTGAAATAGCATTTGATAAAATTCAACATCCTTTCATGATAAAAACCCTCAAAAAACTGGGTACAGAAGGAACATACTTCAACACACTAAAAGCCATATATGACAAACCCACAGCTATTATTATACTGAATGGAGAAAAACTGAAAGCCTTTCCTCGAAGATCTGAAACAAGACAAGGATGTCCACTTTCAACCACTGTTATTCAATAGGCCAGGCACAGTTGTTCACGGCTGTAATCCTAGCATTTCGGAAGGCAGAGGTGGGAAAATATCTTGAGCCCAGGAGTTTGAGACCAGCTTGGGCAACACAGTGAGACCCCATCTCTATTAAAAAAAAGAGAGCGAGAGAAAGTAATACATGACATACAAATTGGAAAGGAAGAAGTTTGCAGATAGATAATCTTATATTCGGAAAAACCTTAAGACTCCACCAAAAAAACTACTAGAACTGAAAAATTAAATAAAGTTGCAGAATTTAAAATCAACATACAAAAATCACTAGCATTTTTTTTGCCAACAGTGAACAATCTGAAAAAGAAATCAAGAAAGTAAACCCATTTACAGTAGTTACAAATAAAATAAAATACCTAGGAATTAATCAAATAACTAAAAAATCTTTACAATGAAAACTATAAAACACTGGTGTAAGAAATTAAACAGCACACAAATAAAGGAAAGATATAGCATATTCATGGACTGGAAGAATCAATATTGTTAAAATGTCCATACTACCCAAAGCAATCTACAGATTCAATGCAATCCCTATCAAAATACCAATGCTATTCTTCACAGAAATAGAAAAAATAATCCTAAAATTCATATGGAACTACAAAAGACTCAGAATAGCAAAGTCACCCTAAGCAAAAAGAACAAAACTGGAATAACATTACCTGACTTCAGATTATACCACAAAGCTATTATAACCAAAACAGCATAGTACTGACATAAAAGCAGACACATAGACCAATGGAACAGAGTAGAGAACTTGGAAATAAATCCATACATCTACAGTGAACTCATTTTTGACAAAAGTGCCAAGAACATACATTGGAGAAAAGACACTCTCTTAATACACACAAATATAAAAGCTCCTTCCTTTGGATATTCAAAATAATATGAAGTCAAACTGAAATCTAAATTCTGATAAGATTTCACCTGGTCTAATCTTAACAAGGGATAATTATAGCCTTAGTCTTTAAGTACACTTGAATCTCCCAAATGCAGTACATTCTATTTTTAATACTTCCTCAAGTAGGAGAAAATGACCCATTCTTGCTCGGTCACATTTTCTAATGTTTCTCTTAATGCTGGCAATCAAAAAGTTTTTCTTAGCTTCTACCTTAAATCTCTATGTCAATTCACAATATTCTCTCATAACTTCTCTCTAAAGAAATTACAGAATATCTAGTCACTATTCTTCTACCATAACATCACATATTATTCATTTCTTTTTCTGGTATTCTTCTCAAATTAATCAAAAGTTTATATCCTAGTTCTATTTATTTGAGCCTTGTGTCATACTGTTCCCTTTCTTTGCTGCCAGAGAAGTCAACGTAGACTATCCATAACAAAATATCCTTCTCTGTGCTTCACAGGTTCTCCATTACAAAATGGTGAAATAATGCCTAACAATTGTCTCTATCACAAGACAAACAGAAAAAAGATATACTTAAATCCATAATGACAGCCGGGCGCGGTGGCTCACGCCTGTAATCCCAGCACTTCGGGAGGCCGAGGCGGGCGGATCACGAGGTCAGGAGATCGAGACCATCCTGGCTAACATGGTGAAACCCCGTCTCTACTAAAAATATAAAAAATTAGCCGGGCGTGGTGGCAGGTAGCTGTAGTCCCAGCTACTCGGGACGCTGAGGAAGGAGAAGGGCGTGAACCCGGGAGGCGGAGCCTGCAGTGAGCCGAGATCGTGCCACTGCACTCTAGCCCGGGCGACAGAGCAAGACTCCGTCTCAAAAAAATAAAAAATAAAAAATCCATAACGGCGTGTCTATGCTAAATAATCATAAATAATTGAGTCACCAAAAACTGACTGCTCAGAGACAAAATACAGAACAGTAATATAAAGATATATTTTCAGGCTGGGCGCAGCGGCTCAGGCCTGTAATCCCAGCACTTTGAGAGGCCGAGGTGGGTAGATCATGAGGTCAGGAGATCGAGACCATCCTGGCTAACATGGTGAAACCCCTTCTCTACTAATACAAAAAAATTAGCCGGGCGGGGTGACACACGCCTGCAGTCCCAGCTACTCGGGAGGCTGAGGCAGGAGAATTGCTTGAACCCAGGAGGAGGAGGTTGCAAGTGAGCCGAGATGGCGCCACTGCACTCCAGCCTGGGCAACAGAGTGAGGCTCTGTCTCAAAAAAAAAAAAAAAAAAGACATATTTTCATAAATGTATTTGAAATTGGGAAAAACACTTTATGCCCATTCCTGTATCGTCTACCTCAAAGCAGAGCCCCACAAATGAAATCAGTAACTCAACATACCTCCTCTTCTCCCTGGCTTCCACAGAGGAATCTGTTCCAGTAATGGAGAGCACAGGAGTAGCTGTAACCCCATTGGCAGTGCTAGGCAGAGGGCGATTGGTGATCACACAGAACGGGGTGCTAGAAGAGACATTGTCTGCTGTTTTCTCTGCTGTTGAGTCAGCCTGGGATTTGTGAGGAGTCCTGAAATTTAAAAAGGTACAAGCAGAAAGGAAATGGTTAGGCACACTATACAACAAAGCACTGGCACAGAGACAGAAGGATTAAAGAGTGGTTCATCTCGGAAATCTTGCTCTGATTTTGTTTGTTGGTTTCTTAATTTTGAGCTCTTACAGCTTGCTTGGAATAGTATAATTACATGTTTAGTCTGACATCCTTTGCCTGAGGAGTCACATTTTATGAGACTTGTATGTGTATGTGTGTGCCTGAGATTTCGTTTTAATAAAAATCATTAGCTGTGGCACAAGGCAAGATAGTGACATATGCAAGAGTGTTTTAAATGACTCCCCAGTAGCACCTGGTCTCCACACATGCACATGGAGACAGGGCCTCTCTACACAAGAAAAAGACATTAAAGTCACTTACAATATTAGTCTCCACCTGTTCCTTAATTCTTGGCAGTGGGAGTCTTTGTGGTAGTCCTCAGCCTAGATTTGATGACCATCTTCTTGGATTATCCAGAGACAACTGATACTCTACAGTCTCAGTATGCTTAGTTCTCCCTCACCTAGTTCAGCAACTGCTCTCTCTTTCCATTTAACCAAATGCCTAATTGTCTATATTCATAACTGCAAAAGTGAGAAATTGAAAGAAAAACCAAACTGGATTCTATAAGTATCCTTAACCACAGACTTTTCAACAGCAAGCTGTATAATTAAACTCATTTACATGAATACAAGATCTTTGTTTCTTGACAAAGAGTTGGGAGCAACCATTGGCTCTCCACACAAAAAGCTATCATTTGTGATGTCACAGCTGTTGCTGGGGTAACAGAGGTCCAAAACTGATACAGAGATAGAGAAAGCAATGAAAAGCACAAATATTAAAAATCTATTTTTTTCACCTACTCACAATTATTAGCAGAAATGTTCACGGGTAGCTCGAAGCTTACTTCCAAATAATCAAATTATGAGCTTGAAAAAAAATAAAAACATAAAAATATAAATATGGTACCTAGATACAAACATAAAAGCAGAATATTTTAAAAGATAGATATAATATCTAAAAAACACATGCTACTTCTCCAGAAGCAATTAATGACTAAGAAAAAAGGTGAAATTTTATAGTCTGTTTTAATAAAAAAAGAAAAGGCAAAAAATTCCTCAGACTTACAAGATATGAATCTATAGGAAGTACTAATAAAATTAGCTAGACACACAGCTATAAAAAATTACACTTAACCAAACCTTACCTGAAGTTCTTTTTAGGTTAATAACACGTTTTGGTCTCACTGTAATTTCTTATGCTTTTGAAATGCCAAGGATTTTATTTTATTAAATTACATAATAGGACTTTTAGTATTATTTTGAAATGCAGTGTAATTTTACAAGTAGATTGTTAGAATAAGAACAGCCCTAGAGCAGAGATCAGAGGATATGCAATGGAGTAGAATAAATATGGGCTTTGGAAACACAACATTTGCTTAAATGTAGACTCTCTGATCTCTTCTTCATTGACAAAATAGAGATAGTGGCATCTTAAAATACAGAGTTCTTCTAATGATTAAATAAAATAATGTCGGCAGGACACCTAAAATAGTACCCAGAATAAAATATAAACTCAGCAGATACAAACAGTGACAAAATAGGTAAGAGCTTTGAAATGTACAAATCTGAGTTCAAATCCTATCTCAGTCCCTCACTAGCTGTGTGACCTTGGGCAGATGATTAACCTTTTGGTCTGAGTTTCCTCATCTATAAAATAATACTTCATATAATAGGGGGCTCATTATAAGAGAATAGATGATATATGTATGCATGAGACAGCTAGTTGTCCAACCCATATCCATTGTCCCTTTCTTCTTTATGAACTGAATCCCTATATCATTGAGGGCAGCAGTATACCTAGTTAAAAGTCCACACTTCTCAAAGTCTCCTGGCCACTAGAGCTATCCAGTGAGACATATGCAGACAACTAGTACTTCTGGGAAAATTCTCAGTTCAGAAGCATTCTTTCTTTGTCTGCCTCCTTCTTTCCTCTTCCTTCTTCCCTAGAGTACTGCCATGATAGCTAGAGCTCCAGCAGTTATTCTGGACCATCAGGCAACCCATGGAAATGGCAGCCATGATGCAAGAACTGTGGAGCAGAAAGAACCTGGATCCTTTAATGACTGTGGAGCTACTAAGCCAGCTCTGCCTATTTCTGGACTTTCTTAAGTGCAAGAAAAAAAACAAAAACCTTTATCTTATTTAAGCCACTACTATTTAGATTTATTGTTACATATGAGCAAACTAAATCCCAGTATAATACCCAACCAAATGCCTGTCACATAATGGGGTCCAACAAATGGCAGCTGTAACTATTTTCTCAGCTGCAGCTCTTAATAGTTATAGTAATAGCAATATAGTATTATTATATAATATATAATATTATATATGTAAAATATAGTAATACGGCCAGGTGCAGTGGCTCTCGCCTGTTATCCTAGCACTTAGGGAGGCCGAAGTGGGCGGATCATGAGGTCAGGACATAGAGATCATCCTCATCCTGGATAACATGGTGAAACCCCGTCTCTACTAAAAATACAAAAAATTAGCTGGGTATGGTGGCACGTGCCTGTAGTGCCAGCTACTCGGGAGGCTGAGGCAGGAGAATTGCTCGAGCCCGGGAGGTGAAGGTTGCAGTCAGCCAAGACTGCACCACTGCACTGCAGCCTGGGTGACAGAGCGAGAATCCATCTCAAAAAAAAAAAAAAAAATATATATATATATATATATATATATATATAGAGAGAGAGAGAGAGAGAGAGAGAGAGAGAGAGAGAGAGAGAGAGACATATAGTAATAATAACCTCTCTATGTTTGTTTCTTCAGCTATGGTGATAATAGTTAACATGTCTATGCAACTGGATTATTATAAGGACCTAATAAATTTACCCATAATTATACAGTATTATTATTAATAATCCATCATAAACCCTTCCCTCGTGGCTGAATTAATGATCACTGCTTATTTTAGGGAAAGAAATCTAGTAAACTGACAAATATCAATCAAGCACCATCACTGGTGTTCCTGCAACAACACTATCATTAAGATTTTTTTCATTTTCTTTATCAGTTGTAGACAGACCCAAAAAAAGGAGACCCTTTGCCACCACACATAAAGGATTAAAAGCCACAGTTAAAACTACAGCTAAAGTCCTAATGTATTTTCACAATAACATTCTACCATGCTATCCCTTAGATGAACTAGAAACCAAGAAGATACTGCCCCCAGAACACAGTTTAGACAAACACAAATCTGTCCCTTTTCACAATGTTTCCAGGAAAATACTCTCGTTGGCTGTAATAACAACTTTGACCCTAAGAGCTTCTGCAAGATCTCATCTTCTCTGCCTCTTAGCATACTGACATTTTGGAATTTGGTCTCTATGCCGTTTACCAACCCGGAGTAAGGAGAGTTGGATTCCTCACATAAGAATTATTATCTTTTCTTTTTAAATTTTTTTGTAGAGACAGGGTCTTGCTATGTTGCCCAAGCTGGTCTTGAACTTCAAGCAAGCCACCGCATTTGGCCTCCCAAAGTGCTAAGGCACTGTACCCAGCATTCACCTAAGAATTCTTTGTGCACCTTATCATATGGCTACACAGGAATTGGTAGATACAGTCTAACATAGCTCACAGTTTTTACATCAGGTGGTCACTGGCAATTTGATATCTTATCCTTGAAAACTAAACTTCAAGCTCTTTTTGGAGTCCTGTGAGGCCTGGCTAGCTCTCTGACAAGGAGATAGAGGATCTTTACTATGAACATCTTTGCATTACCTGCCTGCTTCTCAGTTTCTGACTCAGAAGCTTCATCTTCACCTTCCTCCTCCTCTGAGCTGGAGCTACTAGATTCTTTGTTTTCTTCCTCCATTTCTTGGGACTTAGGTGTCTCCTCCTCATAGAGCATCTTCTCTTTGCTAAATTAAAAATGACAACTTGAGTATAATTCAGAAATGATAATCAGGTATAATAAAGGGAACAAGTCTATAAACTTATATGTGGAAGCAATAACAGAAACATATTTAAATTCTTCTTTACATCTGTGTGTTCTTCCAAACCCTTCATTTTTGCAGACTAAGATTTAGTATTTGATGACAGAGTACGGCTCAAGGAAATCTGGCCTGTTTAACACACAGACAAAAGGAGAACTATGAATTTTGATGACAGTGGATAAATATTCAAAAAAATCATTTAACAAATGTTTACTGAGTACTTATTACATGCCAGGAATCATGCTAGGCACTGGTATAGTCATAAACAAAATAGACATTGTCTCTGAGTTCATGAAACTTACAGTAAGTAGAGGCAGAAGTTGAGACTAAGAGCGCCTAAGCCAGGATTTTAAAATGCTGCACACTGTCTCAATTAATTCTGAAGTTTAAAACACAGTCAACCATCCTTAGTGTCTCCCTCACATATCAATGCCACTCTCTTGTCCCACAAAGTTTCCCACAAGTTTATAGATCATTTGGCTAAATACAAACAGAGTTTCTTCACTTTATAAATTCTGAAGTTAAGTATGTCACTGACACAGAGCAAAGCTCATCCCATTACTCAAGCCTAAATGTCTTACTTCTTAAAGAACCCACTCTGAATCTTGCTGTTCAGATCTTACTCAATGACTTTATTCCATGTCTCCTTTTCACTTTGAAGCTGGAAATGGAGAAAACGAGAGAAAAGGGAAGAAGTTGACTATTGGTGAAAAATCAGCAGTATTGAGAACCAAAATGGTAATGTTATTCTGAAGAAAATAGGACCAACACAAAAGAGGTAGTGGGGAACCTGAGAAAAAGAGAAACATATCAGTTGGGTCTCCTTAGATGACAGAACTCATCCAAGGTAGAAGAGAAAAGCCATGGTGTTAAGAACTTCAATAAAACTGCTCCTATCAAATATCCAAACCTAATCTTCAAAAAAAAAAAAGTCTAGATTCTCAAGAATAAAAAGCCAAAAGGAACCTGAAAGAATTCTTTATGATTCATATACTGAAATAAGTTGGCAATATTTCTAAAGAAAACACAGGTACCGAATGGGAAATAAGCCCTTAGGGAAAACGGTCTGCTATTTAGATGCATGCTCTAGATAAAATGTATTCATATCCCTGGAACTCAAAGTTATGCAGAGGGCAAAGATAAGTACTATTCCCACTGGTGTAGAAATACTATTTCATGAATAATACTATTTCATGAATAATACTATTGATGTTCAAAAACCTTACCATGCTAGGTACAGAATACACAGGAACTCTCTATTTTTGCAACTTCCATGTGAGTCTAAACTTCTTCCAGAAAAAGTTTTTAAAATTACAAGAACCTAACTGTGCAAAGTATACAACTTATAATCAGGAAGGCTGTTGCTGCTAAATAACAGCATTGACACTGCATTTGAAAATCCTAGTTTCAGTGATCCTGACTGCTCAACAAAGAGAACAAAATGAACTTTAAGTTGTGTTTGTCTGAGCTTTATGTATGTGACTTTTCCACTGAGCCTTAAAATAACCAGAATCTTCACTTTACCATACCAGACATAATGCTGAACACAACAGAGATTAGGTATGGTTGATCTGTCCCATCATTGAGCTATATAGTTCTTTGATTCAGAACCGCTGTTTTCCACATTTGTCCTAAACTTTAGTTTACATTACCTGAGTGACAACACGTGCAGAAGAAACAAAAACAAAAACAAAAAAAGTCATTGATTTTTTTTTGCCCCTAATGTCCCACCCTAATGTCATTGATCTTTATTCTCCCCAACTCAAATTATTCATCTGCTTTATGAGTAAAAAATATGGCTTATTCACTCTTCATCCATATATTGGGTGGGTTTTCCATTGTGCAGTCTGAACAAAAATACCATACTTATGTAGTTCTCCTGTATAGCACTAATTAAGCCAAAGACATGCATGACCAAACTAGCATGACCAAACTATAAAAGATTCAAAATGAGGAGCAGAGAAAGGAGGACTGAATTGTAGATGTTTCATAAAACTGGAGTAAGTATGAATCACTGACCAAATACTCTCCTATATGAAATAACGGTTTTAGTATTATGTGTATTTACTTATTTTTTAAGAAATGTATTCTTCTCTGTGATAAATGTGCTTAAATAAAGATAGTCTTTTAGTCAATAAGAAAAAGAAAAGCTACGAGGTATCCTCCACTCTGGTACTTTCTATTTGGAAAAACATCTGATTTGAACATATCACATTCATTTTCTAGAACTCAAGTGTAATTATTAGTTTTTTGTGGCTGTTTTTAACTTTCAGCTCCTTGAAGTCTATCTTATAATGAGCAAAAAACCTGAACAATAATGGTTTCTGGGATATATTCTTCTAACAGACTGTTTACAGTTCCTGAAGGGAACAATTAACATGTCTGGAATGCAGATATGTCCATTTCAACTCTCAGCAGACACAACTGAAACAAGTGATTGAGATACTTGATGTGAACTGCAAACTATTAGAAAACTTTTGAAAGCACCAATCAGAAACTCACCACATTCTGCTTCTTCTGGAGCATCTCCAAATGCTCCACGAGACCCTCATCAGCCACATCAAATGGTGTCTGGCCTGGCAGAGAAAAGGAGCACCATGACTGATAGAAAACAGAAGCAGCAATTACATGACTTTATTAGGGAACTATTCAATAGTCACTTTTTGCCTTTGACTCCAATAATAGCTGCTTTTCAAACTAATCTACCATACATTATGGTAACACATTCATCTATCACACAGATCACATAACAAGAAACACCAAATCCTTTAAATATAGAGTTTGTACAAGAGTATTGTAGAAATCACACCATTTCTAATCCTTACTGCCACCTGGCAAATAATCAAGTGAAGTCCCTACTTGTATCTGTTCTAAAATGGTCTTAATTGCTATGATAAATTCCAAAAAGGGCTCTTCAAAACTTCAGAGGGAAGTTCAGGGCGCATGTTTAATAAAGATTAAATCACAGGAATCATCTTCCTTTAAGTGAGGGGAGGACTGACAAGAAAGTTAATTCTTTCAGGAAGCATCAGCATAATTAAGAACCCTGACCCATAGTCTGAGAATGAAACCTGGGTTCAGGAGAGATGTGATGCAGATAAGAATATCTTCTAATTAAAAGGCCATGTCTCTGCACTACTAGAAAATCAGTATATATATGGGCTGGGCACAGTGGCTCACACCTGTAATCCCAACAATTTGGGATTACTCAGTATTATTGAATATTCACTTTTTGCCTTTAATTCCAATAAAAACTGCTTCCCTAACTAGTCTACCATACATTATGATAATACCTTCATCTATCACAGAGGACACATAATGAGAAACACCAAATCCTTTAAACACAGAGTTTGGGATTACAAGTGGCAAGGCTGGGGAATCACTTGAGCCCAGGAGTTTGAGACCAGCTGGGAAACCAGTGAGACCCCCCATCTCTACCATAAAAAAAATTAATTTAATTAAAATAAAATCAGCTGGGCGTGGTGGCTCATGCCTGTAATCCCAGCGCTTTGGGAGGCCGAGGCAGGTGGATCACGAGGTCAGGAGATCGAAACAATCCTGGCTAACACAGTGAAACCCATCTCTACTAAAAAAAAAATACAAAAAATTAGCCAGGCATGGTGGCATGAGCCTGTAGTCCCAGCTACTCAGGAGGCTGAGGCAGGAGAATGGCGTGAACTTGGGAGGTGGAGCCTGCAGTGAGCTGAGATCGCGCCACTGCACTCCAGCCTGGGCGACAGAGCGAGACTCCGTCTCAAAAATAATAATAATAAAATAAAATCAGTAGACATAGGGATAGGAGTTCCAGAGCTTCTAAGTTGTTTGAAGTGAGACTGAATAACACTATTTTCAGCCAAACTCAAGGATCTTTGTCATTATAACATTTTAATGACTCACATGAATACAGCAACAATAAAATCTTTCATACCTCACCACAGACAGTAACATTAGGCTCCTCAAAGCTCATTTTTTTGCCAAGAACAAATATTTTTTTCCTGTTTTAGAGGCTTGAACATAAATACAATCAGAAGGTCCATGGAGTTTTATTTTAAATAACAAACATAACTCTGTGTTAATAGGGCCAGAGGCAGGGTGGTGGAGGGTAACATAGCTACCAGTGATGTATATTTCACCACAACAGTCAGACTGCCATTGAATAGAGATGTTAAGCCTTTTATTCTAGAGACCCAGCCACCAATCTCGTTGTTCTTTTAGAGGTTCAGGCTCACTAACCAGTTTTTTTCGAATATCCATGTCACAAAGTGCTTCTGCCAGGATGGAGCAAGCCTCTTTCACTCCCCAGTGTGCAGCAGCATGGAGGGGAGTCCAGCCATCATAATCCTGAACATTGAGTTCATAGCCAGCCTGAATTAAAAGTCTAAAAAGAAAACCCAAAACAAGACATATATCTCCTGTATATTACAGTTTTCTGGCAAATACACTATTACCTAATTGATATTTCAGATTTTGGCCCTGAACCACAGGGGTCTTATGATTACTTCTGCCCTCTAAGGCACGGTTTGGGTTTCATATTTACTATTTTGTGTACCAATCATAGATGACCTTTACCAATCCTCTCCAAAAAGTCATAAGATATTTCCTAGGCATATCCATGTTATACCATACAAGGGGAGTATACGGAAACATATGTACCTAAGATTAAGCAAAGCATAATTCAATTAGCCAAATCACATAACTCTGTTAAAGATACATTTTCCATTTTCCAGTGCAGGGAAGAAGTAATATATAAAATGAAGATTCTCATAGGCTGTGGTCATTCTGTCTATCTGTAATAGTGTCAACAATAAAGATAAAGTTTAAAAAAATAAAATAAAATGAAGACTCAATTCTCTTCAGGGTATTTTCTCAACTAGCTTTCTGGTTGGTCTTTCTAGGACACTATATTTACCATATATCCACATATCTCCAACTTTTTGCTAACTATAAAGCTGTAATTTAACTTGTATGCATGGAAGAGAAAAGATTTGACTCCTGAAGACCCAAACTACATTGGGGCCCTTATGGATAGCACTATCAGGCAGAAATGGAGCACCAAAACACTGCTATACCTATTAGAAACCCTGCATTGGGTGAAATATGAAATACTGGAAGAGTCCAGTTAACAACTGCACATATAATGCCTCTGGCAACCCATGTATCTGGGAAAGCCTGTGAACATTAAGTACCAAGAGCTACAAGAAGCGTGTATGGATGTAAGGAAAAATGGAACAGACAGAGTGGTAGAGTCCAAATCCCTCATATAAGTTTGGCTATCCTGTGCCAGCTGGACACTGCATACTCAAGATCTATATAATTAATCTAATGACACAAAAGAAATTATATAAGTCAAAATGGAACAAATGATCACAAGTATTACAGGTCACAAGAAGAGGTCATTGCAGGGATATTAAGGACAAATCAGAGAACTGGAAGAAGTCCCCTCCTAGGACCATGTACCTCAACTCTGTTTCACAACATACATGTTAGTGAGAAGCTAGAGGAATGGTAGGAGGGAGGGAGACAATCCATGGATGAATACCAGCAAAATGTGAGAAAAGACTGCACAATCAGAGAGGAAACCAACAAAAAAGGAAACACGTCATAGCGGAAAATCTAATTCAGCCTCTGCTTCCAAAACCTATTTCATCTTCTCCCAGTGAACCACTCCTGATTGATGTAAATGGACAATACCTGAGGACTTCAGAGTAGCCCTTGGCAGCAGCCACATGAAGGGCTGTAGCCCCGGAGCGAGCCTGCCTCACATCCTCTATTTTCCCACTGTTGAGCCACTGGTGGGCATCCTGCAACATCTGCTGCTCTTCTTCTTTTCTTGACTGCTCCAGATCAACTCCTACAGAAACCAGACACCAGATAGCCAGGATTACTAAAGCTCCACTTAAGTTTGACAGGATATTTTCTTTAGATTAAAGCACATCATAAACATAAATACAAATAACAGTTTAGCCATCAAATTGGGTAATTATCAAATTTAGAAGATCAATGGCATTTGTACACATATTAATGGTCTTACAGGATTAAATCATCAGGTTAAATATTATGTGATATAGATCCATTAAGGGAATGCACCTAAAATTGTTTCCAACAGAACATAAAGATAAAGGGGACATTATTTTTACATTATAATATTTGTACAAAGCTATAAAGTCTTTTTACATGTTATATGACTTTAGTTTCCCAACAATCCTTCAAGGTAAATATAATAGATATTACAGTCTTCATTTAACAGATGAGGAAATAAAAATAGAAAGATTAGGAATCTTGCTCAAAGGCACAAAACACATTAGTGACAGAGCTTGCCACTAGAACTCTGATATCCTGGGTCCCTCTCTGTCATTCCTCTTCTGGGTCCCTATCCACTCACTATACCATAGGATTAGTATCCAAAATTTTGGTTTCAGGTATTGATATACTTTAAAAATTGAACTATCTCTAAAGTTCATTTCCATATACAGGTAAATACACTGACTTGAAGCTATATAATCTAGGACAGATTAGTAGGTGATCTGCAGTTTAAAAACCTGTCTGCTTTCAAGGGAATGCAGATTTTGTTTTCCTTAAAAACATTATGGGGGAGAGGAGCCAAGATGGCCGAATAGGAACAGCTGCAGTCTACATCTCCCAGCGTGAGTGACGAAGAAGACAGGTGATTTCTGCATTTCCATCTGAGATACTGGGCTCCTCTCACTAGGGAGTGCCAGACAGTGGGCGCAGGTCAGTGGGTGCACGCACGGTGTGCAAGCCGAAGCAGGGCAAGGCATTGCCTCACTCGGGAAGCACAGGGGGTCAGGGAGTTCCCTTTCCTAGTCAAAGAAAGGGGTGACAGACGGCACCTGGAAGATCAGGTCACTCCCACCCGAATACTGCGCTTTTCCGACGGGCTTAAAAAATGGCGCACTAAGAGTTATATCCTGCACCTGGCTCGGAGGGTCCTACGCCCACGGAGTCTTGCTGATTGCTAGCACAGCAGTCTGAGATCAAACTGCAAGGAGGCAGCGAGGCTGGGGGAGAGGCGCCCGCCATTGCCCAGGCTTGCTTAGGTAAACAAAGCAGCCAGGAAGCTCGAACTGGGTGGAGCCCACCACAGCTCAAGGATGCCTGCCTGCCTCTGTAGGCTCCACCTCTGGGGGCAGGGAACAGAAAAACAAAAAGACAGCAGTAACCTCTGCAGACTTAAATGTCCCTGTCTGACAGCTTTGAAGAGAGCAGTGGTTCTCCCAGCATGCAGCTAGAGATCTGAGAACAGTCAGACTGCCTCCTCAAGTGGGTCCCTGACCCCTGACCCCCAAGCAGCCTAACTGGGAGGCACCTCCTAGCAGGGGCAGACTGACACCTCACAAGGCCGGGTACTCCAACAGATCTGCAGCTGAGGGTCCTTTCTGTTAGAAGGAAAACTAACAAACAGAAAGGACATCCACACCAAAAACCCATCTGTACATCACCATCATCAAAGACCAAAAGTAGATAAAACCACAAAGATGGGGAAAAAAACAGAGCAGAAAAACTGGAAACTTTAAAAAGCAGAGCGCCTCTCCTCCTCCAAAGGAACGCAGTTCCTCACCAGCAATGGAACAAAGCTGGATGGAAAATGACTTTGACGATCTGAGAGAAGAAGGCTTCAGACAATCAAATTACTCCGAGCTACAGGAGGACATTCAAACCGAAGGCAAAGAAGTTGAAAACTTTGAAAAAAATTTAGAAGAATGTATAACTAGAATAACCAATACAGAAAAGTGCTTAAAAGAGCTGATGGAGCTGAAAACCAAGGCTCGAGAACTACGTGAAGAATGCAGAAGCCTCAGGAGCCGATGTGATCAACTGGAAGAAAGGGTATCAGCGATGGAAGATGAAATGAATGAAATGAAGCAAGAAGGGAAGTTTAGAGAAGAAAGAATGAAAAGAAATGAACAAAGCCTCCAAGAAATATGGGACTATATGAAAAGACCAAATCTACGTCTGATTGGTGTACCTGAAAGTGACGGGGAGAATGGAACCAAGTTGGAAAACACTCTGCAGGATCCAGAAGAACTTACCCAATCTAGCAAGGCAGGCCAACATTCAGATTCAGGAAATACAGAGAACACCACAAAGATACTCCTCGAGAAGAGCAACTCCAAGACACATAATTGTCAGATTCACCAAAGTTGAAATGAAGGAAAAAATGTTAAGGGCAGCCAGAGAGAAAGGTCGTGTTACCCACAAAGGGAAGCCCATCAGACTAACAGTGGATCTCTTGGCAGAAACTCTACAAGCCAGAAGAGAGTGGGGGCCAACATTCAACATTCTTAAAGAAAAGAATTTTCAACCCAGAATTTCGTATACAGCCAAACTAAGATTCATAAGTGAAGGAGAAATAAAATACTTTACAGACAAGCAAATGCTGAGAGATTTTGTCACCACCAGGCCTGCCCTAAAAGAGCTCCTGAAGGAAGCGCTAAATGTGGAAAGGCACAACTGGTACCAGCTACTGCAAAATCATGCCAAAATGTATAGACCATCAAGACTAGCAAGAAACTGCATCAACTAATGAGCAAAATAACCACCTAACATCATAATGACAGGATCAAATTCACACATAACAATATTAACTTTAAATATAAATGGAATAAATGCTCCAATTAAAAGACATAGACTGGCAAATTGGATAAAGAGTCAAGACCCATCAGTGTGCTGTATTCAGGAAACCCATCTCAAGTGCAGAGACACACATAGGCTCAAAATAAAGGGATGGAGGAAGATCTACCAAGCAAATGGAAAACAAAAAAAGGCAGGGGTTGCAATCCTAGTCTCCGATAAAACAGACTAAGAGCTAAGTATCTTAAATATATATGCACCCAATACAGGAGCACCAAGATTCATAAAGCAAGTCCTGAGTGACCTACAAAGAGACTTAGACTCCCACACATTAATAATGGGAGACTTTAACACCTCACTGTCAACATTAGACAGATCAACGAGACAGAAAGTCAACAAGGATACCCAGGAATTGAACTCAGCTCTGCACCAAGCAGACCTAATAGACACCTAGAGAACTCTCCACCCCAAATCAACAGAATATACATTTTTTTCAGCACCACACCACACCTATTCCAAAATTGACCACATACTCGGAAGTAAAGCTCTCCTCAGCAAATGTAAAAGAACAGAAATTATAACAAACTATCTCTCAGACCACAGTGCAATCAAACTAGAACTCGGGATTAAGAAACTCACTCTAAACCGCTCAACTACATGGAAACTGAACAACCTGCTCCTGAATGACTACTGGGTACATAACGAAATGAAGGCAGAAATAAAGATGTCCTTTGAAACCAACGAGAACAAAGACACAACATACCAGAATCTCTGGGACGCATTCAAAGCAGTGTGTAGAGGGAAATTTATAGCACTAAATGCCCACAAGAGAGAGCAGGAAAGATCCAAAATTGACACCCTAACATCACAATTAAAAGAACTAGAAAAGCAAGAGCAAACACATTCAAAAGCTAGCAGAAGGCAAGAAATAACTAAAATCAGAGCAGAACTGAAGGAAATAGAGGCACAAAAAACCCTTCAAAAAATTAATGAATCCAGGAGCTGGTTTTTTGAAAGGATCAATAAAGTTGATAGACCGCTAGCAAGACTAATAAAGAAAAGAAGGGAGAAGAATCAAATAGATGCAATAAAAAATGATAAAGGGGATATCACCACCGATCCCACAGAAATACAAACTACCATCAGAGAATACTACAAACGCCCTCTATGCAAATAAACTAGAAAATCTAGAAGAAATGGATAAATTCCTCGACACATACACTCTCCCAAGACTAAACCAGGAAGAAGTTGAATCTCTGAATACACAAATAACAGGATCTGAAATTGTGGCAATAATCAATAGCTTACCAACCAAAAAGAGTCCAGGACCAGATGGATTCACAGCCGAATTCTACCAGAGGTACAAGGAGGAACTGATACCATTCCTTCTGAAACTATTCCGATCAATAGAAAAAGAGGGAATCCTCCCTAACTCATTTTATGAGGCCAGCATCATCCTGATACCAAAGCTGGGCTGAGACACAACCAAAAAAGAGAATTTTAGACCAATATCCTTGATGAACATTGATGCAAAAATCCTCAATAAAATACTGGCAAACCGAATCCAGCAGCACATCAAAAAGCTTATCCACCATGATCAAGTGGGCTTCATCCCTGGGATGCAAGGCTGGTTCAATATATGCAACTCAATAAATGTAATCCAGCATATAAACAGAACCAAAGACAAAAACCACATGATTATCTCAATAGATGCATAAAAGCCTTTTGACAAAATTCAACAATGCTTCATGCTAAAAACTCTCAATAAATTAGGTATTGATGGGACGTATTTCAAAATAATAAGAGCTATCTATGACAAACGCACAGCCAATATCATACTGAATGGGCAAAAACTGGAAGTTTTCCCTTTGAAAACTGGCACAAGACAGGGATGCCCTCTCTCACCACTCCTATTCAACACAGTGTTGGAAGTTCTGGCCCGGGCAATTAGGCAGGAGAAGGAAATACAGGGTATTGAATTAAGAAAAGAGGAAGTCAAATTGTCCCTGTTTGCAGACGACATGATTGTATATCTAGAAAACCCCATTGTCTCAGCCCAAAATCTCCTTAAGCTGATAAGCAACTTCAGCAAAGTCTCAGGATACAAAATCAATGTGCAAAAATCACAAGCATTCTTATACACCAACAACAGACAAACAGAGAGCCAAATCATGAGTGAATTCCCATTCACAATTGCTTCGAAGAGAATAAAATACTTAGGAATCCAACTTGAAAGGGATGTGAAGGACCTCTTCAAGGAGAACTACAAACCACTGCTCAAGGATATAAAAGAGGATACAAACAAATGGAAGAACATTCCATGCTCATGGGTAGGAAGAATCAATATCATGAAAATGGCCATACTGTCCAAGGTAATTTACAGATTCAATGCCATCCCCATTAAGCTACCAATGACTTTCTTCACAGAATTGGAAAAAACTACTTTAAAGTTCATATGGAACCAAAAAAGAGCCCGCATTGCCAAGTCAATCCTAAGCCAAAAGAACAAAGCTGGAGGCATCACACTACCTGACTTCAAACTATACTACAAGGCTACAGTAACCAAAATAGCATGGTCCTGGTACCAAAACAGAGATATAGATCAATGGAACAGAACAGAGCCCTCAAAAATAATGCCACATATCTACAACTATCTGATCTTTGACAAAACTGACAAAAACAAGCAATGGGGAAAGGATTCCCTATTTAATAAATGGTGCTGGGAAAACTGGCTAGCCATATATAGAAAGCTGAAACTGGATCCCTTCCTTACAGCTTATACAAAAATTAATTGAAGATGGATTAAAGACTTAAACATTAGACTTAAAACCATAAAAACCCTAGAAGAAAACCTAGGCATTACCATTCAGGACATAGGCATGGGCAAGGACTTCATGTCTAAAACACCAAAAGCAATGGCAACAAACGCCAAAATTGACAAATGGGATCTAATTAAACTAAAGAGCTTCTGCACAGCAAAAGAAACTACCATCAGAGTGAACAGGCAACCTACAAAATGGGAGAAAATTTTCACAACCTACTCATCTGCCAGAGGGCTAATATCCAGAATCTACAATGAACTCAAACAAATTTACAAGAAAAAAACAACCCCATCAAAAAGTGGGCGAAGGACGGCCGGGCGCGGTGGCTCATGCCTGTAATCCCAGCACTTTGGGAGGCCGAGGCGGGTGGATCATGAGGTCAGGAGATCGAGACCATCCTGGCTAACAAGGTGAAACCCCGCCTCTACTAAAAATACAAAAAATTAGCCGGGCGCGGTGGCGGGCGCCTGTAGTCCCAGCTACTCGGGAGGCTGAGGCAGGAGAATGGCGTGAACCCGGGAAGCGGAGCTTGCAGTGAGCCAAGATTGCGCCACTGCAGTCCGCAGTCCGGCCTGGGCGACAGAGCGAGACTCCGTCTCAAAAAAAAAAAAAAAAAAAAAAAAAAAAAAAAAAAAAAAAAAGGGGGCGAAGGACATGAACAGACACTTCTCAAAAGAAGACATTTATGCAGCCAAAAAACACATGAAAAAATGCTCATCATCACTGGCATCAGAGAAATGCAAATCAAAACCACAATGAGATACCATCTCATACCATTTAGAATGGCAATCATTAAAAAGTCAGGAAACAACAGGTGCTGGAGAGGATGTGGAGAAATAGGAACACTTTTACACTGTTGGTGGGACGGTAAACTAGTTCAACCACTGTGGAAGTCAGTGTGGCGGTTCCTCAGGGATCTAGAACTAGAAATACCATTTGACCCAGCCATCCCATTACTGGGTATATACCCAAAGGACTATAAATCATGCTGCTATAAAGACACATGCACATGTATGTTTATTGCAGCATTATTCACAATGGCAAAGACTTGGAACCAACCCAAATGTCCAACAATGATAGACTGGATTAAGAAAATGTGGCACATATACACCATGGAATACTATGCAGCCATAAAAAAGATGCGTTCATGTCCTTTGTAGGGACATGGATGAAATTGGAAATCATTATTCTCAGTAAACTATCACAGGAACAAAAAACCAAACACTGCATATTCTCACTCATAGGTGGGAATTGAACAATGAGAACACCTGGACACAGGAAGGGGAACATCACACTCTGGGGACTGTTGTGGGGTGGGGGGAGGGGGGAGGGATAGCATTCGGAGATATACCTAATGCTAGACGATGAGTTAGTGGGTGCAGCGCACCAGTGTGGCACATGTGTACATATGTAACTAACCTGCACATTGAGCACATGTACCCTAAAACTTAAAGTGTAACAATAAAAAAAATACTATAAGAGAATACAAAAAAAAAAGAACATTATGAAAGAACTCCAGGAGTTCTTCCCTTTAGCCAATAACTCACCAATAACTGTGCCAGTGAAAAGGGGTTAGGGTGAGGCATACCCCATTATACAAAATAATAAAATGTCCCAAATACAAACATACCCATTCAAAAAGTTTTACATTCATTAGCAGTCTTTGTGCTTGGTCTACTCCCTTTCAGCTCTTAAAAGAGAAACTGCTGGGTGCGGTGTCTCATGCCTGTAATCCCAGCACTTTGGAAAGCCTAGGTGGGTGGATCACCTGAGGTCAGAGTTCGAGATAAGCCTGATCAACATGGTGAAACCCTGTCTCTACCAAAAATACAAAAATGAGCTGGGCATAGTGGTGGGCACCTGTAATCCCAGCTACTCGGGAGGCTGAGTCATGAGAATTGCTTGAACCTGGGAGGCGGAGGTTGCAATGAGCTGGGATTGCGCCACTGCACTCCAGACTGGGAGACACAGTGAGACTCTGTCTCAAAAAAAAAAAAAAAAAAGAGAGAGAACCTGTCAACTACCTACGTATTATCTGTGTGATTTTGGGAGATGGATGGGATGAAGAGGTAACCAATTTAAAACAGATCAGTACTCCAAACACAAAGAAATGTTAGCAGTGCTGGCAAATTAAACATATATATGAATACCCCTTTCAATAGAGTATGTTCCCTCAATGAAGAGTCAGCAATCAAAACAGAAAAAAGTGGTTTCTCTAATCAAAACTATTTTTTTTTTTTTTTTTTTTTTGAGACGGAGTCTCGCTGTCGCCCAGGTTGGAGTGCAGTGGCGCGATCTCGGCTCACTGCAGGCTCCGCCTCCCGGGTTCACGCCATTCTCCTGCCTCAGCCTTTTGAGTAGCTGGGACTACAGGTGCCCGCCACCTCGCCCGGCTAATTTTTTGTATTTTTAGTAGAGATGGGGTTTCACCGTGTTAGCCAGGATGGTCTCGATCTCCTGACCTCGTGATCCGCCCACCACGGCCTCCCAAAGTGCTGGGATTACAGGCGTGAGCCACCGAGCCCAGCCCAAAACTATTTTTTAAAACTGATTTTTTTAAAGTTTTTTGTACCTTTTAAAGCAAATCTTAGGAGATAAAACTAATTGAGGCTGGAGGTTAAGCTAAGCATAAAATTCTGCAATTCAATAGGGCACAAAGCCAGGCGCTATAGCTCACACCTTTAATCCTGGCACTTTGGGAGGCCAAGGCAGGTGGATCACGTGAGGTCAGGAGTTTAAGAACAGCCTGGCCAACATAGTGAAACCCTGTCTCTACCAAAAAATACAAAAATTAGCCAGGCATGGTGGTGCACACCTGTAATCCCAGCTACTCAGGAGGCTGCAGCAGGAGAATCACTTGAACCTGAAAGGCAGAGGTTGCAATGAGCTGAGATGGCACCACTGCACTCCAGCCTGGGCAACAGAGTGAGGCCCTGTCTCAAAAACAAAAAACAAACAAACAAACAAAAAAATAGGACACAGAAACTATACATGAAAGGCAGCAAAAGCAAGTAGTTACTGAGCTAGAACATCACTATATTAAGGTAGGATCAGCATACTTTCTCCAAAGGGCCAATATATATTTTCAGGTTTGTGGTTCATCCAATCCATCACTACTACTCAACTCTGCTGTTGTAGCACAAAAGCAGTTTTGGATAATATGTAAGCAATGTGCATAGCAAGAATTGGCCCTGACTGTTCTAAAAGTTCATATTGGGAAAGACCACTGGAGCTAAATCCTCTGGGATGAACTGCAAGATTGTGAGTAAGGTAGTTTAGCAGAAGGACAAAAAAAAAATCACTACAAATCTTGTCCACAGAGTTTTGTGGTGGAAAAAGAACCCAGGGACTTCCAGGTTGAAAAATTCCATCCTATTCTGTGAAATCGATTCTCCTAAAACTATAAAATAAGAATAAGCATTTTTAGAATATATTATTCTAAGTTCGCTTCCTCACCTTAACAAATTATCATACTAATTCTCATGGTTAGTTACAATAAATATTTTTATCAGCACCACTTTTAGCTCTCATCAAGGGAAAAGATGCAAAGTCACAAACTGAATTTAGCCAATTCTCAAATTTACACTGTATCCCAATACCATGCATACACACACTAAGAAATGTTCACACTCCTCATCAGGTCACTCTTAATTGTATGATGGGTATGCAACCTCTGAATGGCAAAAACAAGGAATGACTGGTCATCCTTTTGACATCTGGCCTATTCTTGTCTGAGTTATTATGAGGATACATGATGCTGGATTAATGATTAATGCAGTGCAGACAGATCAAATCCTCTCCTGTCGTGTGATAGTGAAATGCTCTGCACAGCAAAAGGATTATTTTCTGTAAATGGCAGTGTTTAAGAATCTTTCCTGGCCCCCTCCAATCCATGAGGTTACCTTGCTTCTTTACTTGCTCCAGAAGAAGATCCTTCATGGCTGGCTCTTCTGCAAGGTCAGAGGGAACTTCACCTTCACCATTGACAATACCTCCACTGGCTCCGTGATTAATGAAATACCTGCATAGACAAGATCCAGGATCAATATTATCTGTCAATCTAATATAAATTTTACCCATGCATCTGGCATTCAATACACAACGAAGTCTCTATTTTGAGTTTAAAATATGGTCTCAGTTAAGATATTCCATTATTAATTTCTATGTGCCTTAAACTTCAATAATTAAGACTGAAGGCTTCCCCATTTCCTGACTAGAGCAATGCCAACAAACAGGATTTCTTTCACACTCATGTTACTAACTCCCATCCTGTCACTCCCAGTGGATGGCAAGAGAATTTCTAAGTTACATAAAGAAGGCATGCAGCCTTAAACTTTCCCAGTGCCACATTGGAGCTTATTAAGTAGTGCTGTGGGTGTGAAAATAGAAGAATAAAGTGTGCATTTAAATTTGCATAAATCTGCCTAAATTATGCCTCCATAAAACTCTCCTATCAACCAGACATCCACATGAAATCTTCCTCTACTCTAAGATGAAACTAAATTACTTAAGAAGAAATATTAAAACGTTAAAGAATTAAATTCTAAATCCAAATAGAATACTTGATTCTGAAGAAGAAAGGTCTGATAATTCAATACCTTACATAGATCCTTTTTGATTTTCAGAGTGCTTTCACATAAAATTATATCATAAGTCTTAGGCAACATTATGAAGTGGGCAATGTGGGTATTACTACCATGACTTTAAGAAATTGAGGTTCATACATATTAAGTAATTTTCTCAAAACCACATAGCGGGTAAATGGCAGAGGGTACAGCCCCTGTCTTGACTTCAAATCTAGTTCATCTTTTCTTTAGATCAAGTCACTTTTGGGCCAGTGAGAACCCTAATAACACTAGGAGCTCTATCAAATACTCAGAAGTGTTTAAAGGAAAAAGAAAAATGCTTCAAATTAGACTTCAATCCATTCAACAATTCAATAAACATTTACTGGTCCCCTACTATATTGAAGAAACCACTTTTTTTTCTTTTTTGAGACAGGGTCTTTGTCTGTCACTCAGGCTGGAGTGCAATGGTGTGATCTCGGCTCACTGCAATCTCCACGTCCCAGGTTCAAGCAATTCCCCTGCCTCAGCCTCCTGATTAGCTGGGATTACAGGAACGTGACACCATGCCCAGCTAATCTTTTTTATTTTTTTAGTAGAGATGGCGTGTCACCATGTTGGTCAGGCTGGTCTTGAACTTCAGACGACAAGTAGTCCACCCGCCTCAGCCTCCCAAAGTGCTGGGATTACAGGTGTGCGCTACTGCGCCTGGCCATGGGAACTACATTTTAGACACTGTAGGAGATTAAAAAAAAAAAAAAAAAGAGAGAGAGATAATATATGGCCACTGGCCACTGCATTCAAATAATTGGCAGAGGGAGCCAAACGCAGTGGCTCACCCCTATAATCCTTTGGGAGGCTGAGGTGGGTGGATCACTTGAGGCCAGGAGTTCGAGACAAGCCTGACCAACATGGTGAAAACCATCTCTACTAAAAATACAAAACTTAGGCGGGCATGGTGGCAGGCACCTGTAGTCCCAGCTACTCAGGAGGCTGAGGCACAAGAATCATTTGAACCCAGGTGGCGGAGGTTGCAGTGAGCCAAGATCAGCCTGGGTGACAGAGCAAGACTCTATCTCAAAAAAAAAAAAAAAAAAGTTGGCAGAGGGAAAAGAATCAATAGAGATTAGATTAAGAACATGTTTTTGCTTTCTCAGTGCCTAGTACCTGGTATAATAGGGCCTCAACAAATGTTTGTTAATTTATAGATCAATTCTATATGTATAAAGCTCAAAAGCCTTCACAATTCACCTTTTAACCATCTCCTTCTTTCCCTTATAGTCTCAGAGGAAGACAGACCTTATTCAATTCCAAAACTAACTCCCTCTATTTGTATTCTTACTTCTATCAAGTCCTAGTATTCCGTTCATAAATTACCCTTCATTTCCACATATTCAACATCTCCTCTCTTCTGATTCCTCTCCATTAAGCAAAAGGAATATTCAGCTATACCTCCCCAACCCTGAAATATCAAAATGCAAATAATACACATAGTAAGCACTCAACAAATGTTTCCTGGATTGAAGTGTACCCTATACTCTATAATCAAACTAAACCACTTACTGTTCCCAAACACATCAACTCTCACCCAGCTCTCTTCCACAGCTTGTTTCTTCCAACTAGGTGGAACACTCTCCCTTCTCTTTTCCCATGTAGAAACCTTGCAATTCTTTCGAAGTTCATTTAAAATGCTTTTGCCTTCATGAAACCTTCGCCTGTTCTCACAAACTGAATTCCCTCTTTCCTTCCTTTAACCCCATACTCCCTCTTCTCCTCCCCAACAAACACTAATTCTAGACCTCGGTTATGACTTACACTGTACCTCGATGCAATCATTCCATCAGACTGAAAGCTACTTGAAGGCAATGTGAAAGGAAAATAAAAACTTGGGACCCTAATTTCACTATTCCAAAAGAAAAAAAATTAAACTGAAAGCTGAGTCATGCAAGAAGCTGCCTTACCTTTTGTTCCTAAGCAGATAGCTATAGATAAAAAGTTAAATATCTCCACAGGTTCTATGTTTACCTCTATGTTCACATTATCTTATGTAAAGCGAGATTTACTGAGCGTGAGATGAACATGTAATTGACTATTCCCCTACTTGCTCCTTTTCTCTGGCTACATGTGAATTCAGGAATGTGACCATGCCCTCCCCTTTTCCCCTCCAGGCTGCTTTTCCCTTTTAAGTATTGAAGCTCTCAACTTGATCTCTGGGGAAAGGCACAGATCTGTCTCCCGGGTGTGCGTCTTTAACCTTGGTAAAATAAACTTTTAAATTGATTGAGACCTGTCTCAGATACTTTTTGGTTCATAGCAACAACTGGGTCTTCCAATTATTATCGCCATGGCATCTGACACTTGCTTTTTTCTCTTGGTATTCCATAAATACTGCTTGAATTACATGAAATATCTTAACCACTCTACTCTGACGTCTATTCCATCCCTACTGGATCAGGCATAATGTCACTTGGGTATACAGGACCCTGCTTTTCCTGCGTTCTACAATCAAGAGGACAAATTTTTAGAAAGTAACTTGGCTCTCTGTTTTTCCATTTTCTCCAGTTCTAGGAAAAAAAAAATTTAAAAACCTCTTTATTTTTACTTTTACCTGGACAAGAATAAATATCAACCTGTGAAGTAATTTCTACTTTATCTCTGAGAATCCTTACAGTTGCCCAAAGGCTCACAAACAGCCACTAGCTCAATAAATATGCCCCTAGAAAATAAGGCCTTCTTGTCCCTCCTAACTCAACACCAATACAAGGTCTTTATGCTACTATCTTAAGGGAGGAAGAAAGAAAATGAAATATGTTCAAAAACTTAGAATAAATTAGTATCTCAATAAACTGTAAAGCCAAATGCTGTATGTTTGGGTCAATCTGCTGCTTCTAAGTGAAACATTTATTCATTAAAAAAATGTTAAAACACCCAGCTAACTAGCATTGAAACTGAACTCATTTTAAAATGAGGAAAAAAGCCTCTGAAGCTCCCTGCTTTTGATACAACATACTGAGACAAAAAGATCACCATGAAACATGAAATAGAATGTACTTGGATTCTTCCTAGAAAGCCAGTTTGCCTTTATTCATTTCTACTACCTTGAAATTTATTTCCTAATGATTCTGGGAATAAGAGCATAAAGTCTAAGATCTTTAAGATACAAAAATAAAAACGACAAGATGATCACGGACTGATCTTATTTACAACATTCTCCATTGGCCCTGAGGTAAAGCAACCGAAATGAACAGTACAAACAATGTTTTTTTTCCATTTCATATTAAAAAATGCTACATACTGCAAATAAATAGATGATAGTAAAGTCAAAACCTGTCTAATAATGATATGCATAGTGAAAAATAAAATAAAGAAGGCCATCTCTACCGCCACCCCACCTCTGCAATGGAATCTGGTCTAGATCACCTCTCTCCTGGTCAGACTTCCAAGTTTAATTTATAATAATCTGTCTTAGGAAATAGTAGCTCTCACAGATTTATTTCATTCAAGGTAATATTTGTTTGAGCTAGAGATTGTTACATTTTGAACTTACTTCCAGAATAATTATATTTGTTCATAAAGATGAATTAAAGAAATCACTGTAAAAAAAAAAAAAGCAATTACAATCATTCTCTGTACCTAGCTTCACACACAGGAGGATAATGCCAGCACAAGTGATCCTAATTCTAAGCATGAGCTCTCCTTAGAAAAGTGAAAGAAAAAACTTAGGAAAAAATTGAATCCTTGAATGTAATGAGATTTGGTAGCTCAAATATCACAAACATGCCACCTGAACAAATAGCAATTGAAAGGCCAACATGTTCTATAAATGTTTCTTAAATAAATGTTTTAAGTAAAATTACCTCAACTCTTAGGCATCAGAATTCTGATGTTACTGGATAAGACTAAGAATAAGAGCCCTCCTTCCCATTAGACTCTGAAAATGGGCAGCCTAGGGGATGAAAAGGTTACTGACTTTTACTAAATTGGAACAGACAGAGGAATCAAGAGTGAAGAAAACTGCATTGTTTATTTCTGTTGGCTCTGGGGCCAAGCCAGTCATCCACTTTTTAGAACAAGCAGCCCAGTCAAACACCAGTGCTGCTGCCTAAAGTTTCTCTGGCTCTGACTCTCCCTTTGTTTAACTTCTCCCACTGAGCATCCCTGGGTCAGCAGCAAACCTAGCAACTCAGGCTCTCCCTTAGGAAACCTGGGCAAATCAGATTCTGCGGGAAGTCATTATCAGGCCTCTACACAGCTGCCAACAAAATTCTCCCTGCTGTTTCCTGGACAGGAGAAATGTAATGGAGCTCTAATCGTATTATTGAAAAGGGCCTTCACACAAGCAATCTGATTTTCAAAGGAGCATAGAATATCATGATTTTATTTAGGGAATTTACCTTAACAATATAAATTTACCCTTATCTAGGATACACTCAACTACCTCATTTTAAAGATGTTTTGACTGCCATTTTAAAGATGTTTCCTTGTTTAAAAATAAACTCCCCGATCATTCCTTCACACAACAGATATTTATTCAGTGCCTCTTATATCTCAGGTACCACATGGTCAGGATTCTTCTGCCCACGGGAGGGGCAACTAGTTGTCCTGGAGATTAGTAGCTCCTAATGTATCTTATTAAATATTCCCATTCAACTAATGTGGACAACACATGCCAGTGCCCACCTTTCCTTTGTTCCACCTGTTTAGGCTCATTCTTCTGCTATTAACTACACGAGTGCTGTGACTGGTATGCTAGGCATTTTTTATCTTCATTTGTACTAAGCACTGATTTTTTTAAAAAAACAATGAAATAGGTTTACAAAGAATCCAGAAAAACATCTCCAGGCCTGCCTATATACGTGCCCAGCTACAGTTGTTCAGAAAGTGAACCCAGACAGTGGAACAGCCACCTCTGCATATCCCAGCAAATTATAAATTACCTGAAAATAGAAGCAAACAAAAAGAGTTTCAACTAAAAAACTATGGATTTAGCAGCTTTACAAACCATTGTATTAGTTATGTCTTAAAGATAATTCAACTTTCTGCTTTTGTAATCTGTAATAAAGAGAGATTATAACTATTTAAAAATTCAAATTCCTAAGAATAGAGGAGAAATGAAGGCCATTCCTACAAATACTGCAAAGCTACACACACAGAGACTCACTCACTCTGCTATGTTGAGATAGCCACAGAAAGCTGCTGCATGAAGGGGTGTCCAGTCCTCTTTGTCTTGCTGGTTTACATTGGCTCTCTTCTCCACCAGAAACTTCACCATGTCCAGATTTTCATCAATACAGGCCTGAAAAGAAAAGCCCGTTCATTCATTCAACAAGTATTCATTGAGTTCCACTATGTGCCAGACACTGCTCTGGGCATTGACAATGCCCAGCAGTTCTAATAAATACATTAATTTCTATTTCTTCCATACTGTGTCCAGAGCATGACTTGTAGGCTTTGTGATCTTATGCAAGCTCTTAAATGTCTCCATGCCTTAATATCTAAACTGTGAAACACAGTTTCATGTATAATCATACTTAATCTTTTTTTTTTTTTTTTTTGACAGAGTTTCACTCTTTTTGCCCAGGCTGGAGTGCAATGGCATGATCTCGGCTCACCACAACCTCTGCCTCCCAGGTTCAAGCGATTCTCCTGCCTCAGCCTCCCTAGTAGCTGGGATTACAGGAATGTGCCACCACACCTGGCTCATTTTGTATTTTTAGTAGAGATGGGATTTCTCCATGTTGGTCAGGCTGGTTTCGAACTCCCGACCTCAGGTCATCCACCCACCTCAGCCTCCCAAAGTGCTTGGATTACAGGTGTGAGCCACTGCACCTGGCTTATGACACTTAAATCTTATTTATAGTATTATTAGGATTAATTGTGAAAGCGATTTCTAAAGTGCTACAAATAAATAAGCTGTTTCATCATTATGTTATAAAAAGGAAAGTATGTTACAAAACACTGATTTGTATATGAATTTTATTTTATTTCACTGCCACCTATTTGTCACAGATGCTTATCAATTTTAAAAGAAAATAATCAGAGGATCGCCTGATGCCAGGAGTTTGAGGCCAGCCTGGGTAACATAGTGAGACCCTATCTCTATTATTAAAAAAATTCATTCCTTCATTCATTTAAAAAAGAAAAAATCACACAGGATCAAATGCAATTTTTCTCAGTGGGAAGTTGTAGTTTACGACTCTAGAATTGCTAAACAAACACTGCTTTGGTGAGAAAGGGTAGGGTGATCATTTCAAACAGAAAAAATGTATTTTCATGTATTTTCTGAATGGCTTCAAACACTATGGCAAAGTATGCTTGCAGTTATGGATGGTTAGGGAGTCTCGTCTGCTCATTTCATGGCAGCAATTAGGAGAAAGCAGAAGCTTTCTGAATAAAGGCGTTAGGCTTACCATAAGACTAACAGAAAGAGTCACAAACAGCAATGAGATCTAAAAAAACCAAAAGGTCTTGACATAGCTACAGAATAAAAATGTGGTAGAAGGCCCACATGTGAAAATGGTAATCATTACCAAGGCTTGGATGGTTACAAAACCATTGGGATAATTCAGGACCAACAAACAAATGAGACTCCCTTTTTAAAACTTGCCTTTTAATGCCCTCCTTTAAAAAACAAGGCTAAAGCTTCAGCTCAGGAAGAATTATCCAAATCAAAGGATTTTCATAATAATATTAAGATATTACTTGCATTTTCATTGTATTGACATTTACACTAATGATGCAAAAGCAATGGTGAGTAAAACCGCTGGTGCCTTAACATGAAGCAAGACAATGGCATCAAAAACTACCAGCAGGCACTATATTCCCTCACCACGTACAGTTAAAAAAATAAAAAAGAAAGCCAGTTTCACTTAAGAATAACCTTGAAGAAGTAGTAGAAATGTTTTTTTTAATATTCTGTGTGAGAAAATGGAAAGTATACGTAAAGCACTTCTGCTGCATTTTGAGGTATGATGGTTGATTCTAGGAAAAAGCACCTCGGGCCAGGCATGGTAACTTATGCCTATAATCCCAACACTTTGAAAGGCTGAGGCGGTAGGATTGCTTGAGCCCAGGAGTTCAAGACCAGCCTGAGCAACATAGACCCCATCTCTGCAAAAAAATTAAAAATTAGCTAGGCATGGTGGCACGCACGTGTAGTCCCAGCTACCTGGGAGGCTAAGGTGGGAGGATGGCTTAAGCCTGGGAGGTCGAGGCTGCAGTGAGCTGTGATCACTGCTCTTCAGCCTGGGTGACAGGGCAAGACCATGTCTCGAAAACAAAAACAAAAATAAAAATAAAAACACACCACTTGTGCATCTGCTTCAGGTGTGAGATGAACTAGCCACTTTTTAAAATCAAAATAACACCATTTTTATTCAAAAGAATAACCAACAAATTATGATTATTTGGACTTGAAAATGAACAAAGTAAGCCTGTCACTCAGAGAAAATAATCAGTATGTGTTGCAATAAAATGTGACCATCCAAGTGAAAATAAGAATTCTGGAAACAGCTACCACCATGAGCTTGACAGCATCCCAGTATTCACTTTTCTGATAAGATCTGTTTGACTATCAACAAATCTGATTTGTTATTATATAATGAAATGCATTTAGATTTGTAAGATCTCTGTAACTCAATCAACCTATATTTTCCAAATAAACAAATGCATAGTTTAGAAAATCATACATGAAGTAAAAGATTCATTCAAAGTACAAGTTAGACTAATGTGTTTTAATGTAACAGAGTAAGAAAAGTCCATTGACATGGTTTCAGTTTCCACACTGCATGAACATTTAAGAAACTCATGTCTTCAACTACCATTTCTAAAACTTACATTTAAGAAACTATCAGGTCGGATGTGGTGGCTCATGCCTGTAATCCCAGCACTTTGGGGGGCCAAGGCAGGTGGATCACCTGAGGTCAGGAGTTTGAGACCAGCCTAGCCAACATGGTGAAACCTCATCTCTACTAAAAATACAAAAACTAGGCAGGTATGGTGGTGCACACCTGTAATCTCAGGTACTCAGGAGGCTGAGGAACAAGAATCACTTGAACCCAGGAGGGAGACATTGCAGTGAGCCAGGATGGCACCACTGCACTCCAGCCTGGGCCACAGAGACTGTGTCTCAAAAAAAAAAAAAAAAAAAGGAAACGAAGCATCACCTGTTGGAGTTTGGTATAATATCCAAGAAAAACATCTACAATTGTCTGAACAGACTATTAAAATGCTCCTCCCTTTTCCAAATATATACCTTTGAGAGGCCAGATTTTATATACTTTCATCAAAATAATATATCACAGCAGATTGAATACAGACATTAAAATAAATTTGTAAAAATGTAAAACAATATCACTATTTTTAATTAAAATATGTCATTTATATTAACATGTAAGCTGGGTCATTGTTGCTTTAAATGACTTAAGTACATATTTAATAACTACATATTTTAAAAATTTCTCAGTAACATATAATAATCAATACAAACAAAGTCCTGGTTAAATTTTGGGAGTCCTAAATGATTTCTTAAGTATAAAGGAATCCTGAGATCAGTTTGATAACCACTGTCTTTAATCAAGCATACCAAAAGATATTTCATGGTGATAATGAATAACTATTTAAACGGCAAAAGATTACTGTGGAAAGAATTACAGTTAGAACTCTAGAGGGCCCTTGTAACTACAGGACTTAAGTAGTACATATGATACCAAGAGAACTTACAGGAATTCCCTTCAGAGATAAACCTCATATCAATCCTGCATAGAAAGGTGATGAATGAAAAAAGCGTGATTTCATTTAGATGAAAATTTAATTAGATAACTTGGTTACAAACAGCATCTTTGTTATTTTTTTCCCAAAATATTTGATACTTCTTTTACAGTTACTGAGATTAGCTAAAAATGTCAATCTAGGTTTGATTTGATGCTATATAATATATTCCTCCAATCTGACCTTCTGGCCAATCTGACTTTTATAGCCAGTATTCATAATGGTCTAGTTTTCAACAGCAGCTCCAGAAATTATATTTCTTCTATGATGTTTTCTTAGGTTTATCAACTTCCACAAGTATATCCCATTCTTTACCATGTAAAATGTTTCATAATTATTCATCATATTTACAAATACTTCATAAGTATGCTTATCACTAAATTGGTCATATATTGTATGTCTGCCCATTTGCAATCCCATATGGCAAGATCTAGCCAACTTATCACAGAGTATCTCACTAAAAACTGTAAATCAACATTTTTATTTTATTTATTTTTCTTTTTTGTAAATAAATATTTTTAAGTAAAAAAATGGAAGGGGACACTTTCAAAAAGGTACTGAAGTCCAATAAGAAAAAAGAATTTTAAAGGTTGTGCTAAAAACACTCTTTGCCCTTAGTAATACTCCTATATCAAGAAGGTCAAATGTGCCGTCTAAACCTGTGTAGGCCAGGACAGCTGGGTCAATTGCTTCTTGCTGCGTTGCAAAATTTCTTTGGCTCTGAAAGAACAATCCAAAAACTTAGCTCTAATGTCCACACTACTATCAAGCAGACTTTTAGAAGCCAATGTTTTCAAGATCATTCTTTGGCCTTTAAAGACAATAAACAGCAGCCACATTCCAGAGGCCCTAAAATAAGCCCGGCTACTCCAGGTATCAAATGGGAGAAAACTTGTCTTTTCTCTTTCCTCCCCTCTTACTTCTCCTCTCCTTTTCTTAATCTCCTTCACCTCATCACTACTTCAGTTCTCTTCTTTTAAATTTTGTGATATTGTGTCTTATAAATCTCAAATCCTTGATAGAAAAAACATTTTTGAGACAGGGTCTTGCTCTGTTGCCAGGGCTGGTCATTGATTCTTGGGCTCAAAAAGCCTCTGTCTCAGCCTTCCAAGTAGCTGGGACTACAGTTACATGCCACTACAGCCAGTTTGATACAAAATTTTACGGGAATGACACTGTAAGGAAGTTTGAGAGAATAACAAGAACAACAAAACTAGCCTAATCTAAAAATGTAATTTGGCGATCATCAATCTGTGAAGAACCATCTTACAGAAAATAAAGGAGGCCAACTGTCTAAATCATTCCCCATACCCTCCACAAAGTGAAGGATGGTATGTTGTTTAAAAAAGTTTTGGCTAGGCATGGTGGCTCACACCTGTAGTCCCAGCACTTTGAGAGGCCGAGGTGGGAGGATTGCTTGAGTCCAGGAGAACCTGTGCAACACAGTGAGACCCCATCTCTATTTGTAAAATAAATAAAAGCACCAGCTTTGGAGTCAGACAGACCAGGGCTTGCATACCAGCTCTGCTGATATGTACAACCTAGAGTGGGGTATCTAACCTAACTATAAGCATATGTACTCATCTGTAGCATTGGGAGTACCACCTACCTCATAAGGTTTTGTAAAGATTAAAGGAGATAAGCCCTTGGAATTGTTTCTGACTTTGTTGTTGTTAAGGCAACATGTAACACACAGCAACTGCCTCAAGGGGAAAAAAAAACAAAAAGCACTTAGTCCTCAATGATCACAGCCCTCCCCACCCCCAGTACCTTACAGGAGGAAAGCAGTTTGGTTAAAAATGTCTTTGAACTAGCAAGATTCTGGAGCTTGTGTGTAAGTCTAACTGCAGAGAATTCCCTCTCTAATGTTCAGAATCCCATGGATTCTTAAATTCAGGAGCTATATGAATAAAATAGTATGCACCCAGTTAAGGTGGAAGAGAATCATTCTTGTAGGTAAGACCAATCAACAGAGTTGTAGGACACTCACTCTCATGAAGCACCTTGGAGTGACTGTTCTCTTGCTTTTTTTTTTTGTCTCCAGAAGAAGGAATATGACTAAAGCATGGATGAGAGACTAAAGCACGGATGAGAGACACAGTTCCTGAAAATCTTCTCAAGTGAATAACGACTAAATTTAGATGCCCTTCTGCCCACTCCATCGGCAGCTGTGCTGCTGACTCATTCACGACTGAAGCATGGTAGATGAGCAGATTTGCCCACTTATAAAACTGTTTCCAGGGTCATGAACTTCAACATCACGCCTCTACACAGAACTATGCTAAATCTTCCAGAGAGATAGGTCTTTCCTTTTCTTGGGAAGCAGGCTAAACAAGCTTTTGATGTCACACATGATAATGGAGAAATTCTTTGCATTTGGCCCAGATTCCTTCTGATGTAGTTTAAGTCTATTTCCTCCTATTTTGCATTCCTGAAGACATATCGAATTTTACTAAAGTAACAAGGTGTTCTAAGCTCCTTAAGAAGTAGAGACATAACTTAATTACTAGTATGAAGGAACTATTTAGAAAAACTGCCAGGTAATAAATTAAAGCTTCCTAACATCGGCATGTCACATTTGTCTGGCAATGACAATCTCCAAGAAAAATACTTGATTTTACCAATAATCTGGGGAAAGAGCACTGTGATCTCACTACTGTACCTGATACTGCTCTCTCCATATCAAAGGCAAAAGTGGCTGATATCAATCAGTGCCAGGGTTAAATCTGGCAGTGCAGAGAAGGCCTCACAAAACAAAGCCTCCTTGGTTCCCAAAATAGCCTGCAACTGTTGCCACCAGCAAGTGCCAGCTTTCAGAGCTGACCTTGCTGTTGTGTCTCAGAATATCACTAATACTACCTGCCTTGGCCTCAGAACAACTGTCTTCCCCATAAAACCCAGCTCCAGATGTCTGGGCATATGTTACACTAGAAGCTGGGCTTAGTGCAGCCTAACACCTACTTGTTTGGATTTTTCGGCCCATGCTTTCCTTGATTTCAACAAATCGTGTGGACAAAATTGTTGAGAGAGTATATCAAAAAACACACCAAAAGAGTAAAAAGGCAGTCCATAGAGTGGGAGAAAATATTGCAAATCAATGCTAACTTCGGCAGTACATATACTAAAATTGGAACAAAACAGAGATTGGCATGGCCCCTACATAAGGATGACAAGCAAATTCATGAAGCATTCCATATTTTTTATAAGCAAAAATATATGTATGTAATAAAGTTTTTAAATTTGCACATCACATATCTGTATGGGATTAATATCCAGAATATATCGAGAACTCCTAAAACTCAACAACAAAAAATAAACAACCTGATTCAAAAATGGGCAAAAAATTTGAATGGACATGTATCCAAAGATATAAAAATGGCCACCAATAAGCATATGAAAAAATGCTCAATGTCATTAATCATTAGGGAAATGAAAATCAAAACTACAATGAGATAGCACCTCATAACTATTAGGATGGCTATTATCAAAAAAACAAAATAGGCCTGTAGTCCCAGTTATTTGGGAGGCTGAGGAGGGCGGATTGCTTGAGCCCAGGTGATTGAGGCTGCAGTGAGCTATGATAGCACCACTGAACTCAAGCCTGGGCAACACGCAAGACCTATCTCTAAAAATAAATTATGAAATATAAAAATAAAATTTTAGCATGCAAGGAAATATTTAAAAAGTGTTGGCTGGGCGTGGTGGGTCACACCTGTAATCTCAGCACTTTGGGAGGCTGAGGTGGGTGGATCACGAGATCAGGAGATTGAGACCATCCCGGCCAACATGGTGAAACCCCGTCTCTACTAAAATACAAAAAATTAGCTGGGTGTGTTGGTGCGTGCCTGTAGTCCCAGCTACTTGGGAGGCTGAGGCAGGGGAATCACTTGAACCCCGGAGATGGAGGTTGCAGTGAGCCAAGATCACGCCATCGCACTCCAGCCTGGTGACAGAGTAAGACTCCATCTCAAAAAAAAAAAAAAGTGTTGGCAAGGAATTAAAATCCTTGTGCACTGCTCAGGGGAATGTAAAATGGTATAGCCTCTATGGAAAACAGTATGGAAGTTCCTCAAAAAAAAAAATAGAATTACCGTTTCTATTTTCTATTCAAAAATAGGATTTTGAATATATATCCAGAAGAATTCTGGGTATAAACTCAAAATAATTGATACCGGTCATAATGGCTCATGCCTGTAATTCTAGCACTTTGGTAGGCTGAGGCGAGTGGACCGCCTGAGCTCAGGAGTTCAAGACCAGCCTGGGCAACATAGCAAAACCTTGTCTCTACTAAAAATACAAAAAATTAGCTGGGGGTGGTGGCATGCGCCTGTAATCCCAGCTACTCAGGAGGCTGAGGCACGAGAATTGCTTGAGCCTGGGAGGTGGAGGTTCCAGTGAGCAGAGACTGTAGTCCAGCCTGGGGGACAGAATGAGACCCTGTCTCAAAAAAACAAACAAACAAACAAAAGAAATAATAATAATTGAAAGCAGGGTCTCTCATGTTCACAGCAGCCTTATGCACAATACCTACAATGTGGAAGCAATTGAAGAGCCCGTTGATGGGTGAATGGATAAGTAAAATATGGTATATACATACAATGTATATATACCAGAGGGAGTGTGGTCCTGATAACACCTTGATTTTAAACTTCTGGCCTCCAGAACTATGGGAGAATGATTGAATAATTTCGTTTTAGGCCACCAAGTTTGTGTTAATTTGTTACAGAAGCCACAGGAAACTAATAAACTTGCCATAGAATAGGGAATCAGACTCAGAACCTAGAGAGTCTGCCATATCCTCAATCCTTACTAGTAACTGAAAATCACAGCTGTAACTGATCCCTTCTTTGACAGATGAAAAGTGATCAATAAATTTATCATACAACTTTTTAAAAGACAACTACATTAAATAGAAAGTTTTAGAAACTGTTTAACCAATCTCTGGCTCCAATAGCAAAACCCTGAAAGAACTAATCATGGTTCTCACATGAGGCATTTTACTGAAGGTATTCTGGCTGAGGACTGAAACTGGGATAGAAATACTAATTGATGAGGTCCCTGTGAAACCCAACATTTCTAAGCTCAAAGTCCCCTTGCCCCAACTAGGCGGCCAAGAAATCATATGCCAAGAAATTATACAGCTGTCCCTCAGCATCCATGGGGAACTTGCTGCAAGACCCCCTGCAGACACCAAAATCCACTGAGGGTCAAGTTCCTTAAATAAAATGGCATAATATTTGCATATAACCTATGCACATCCTTCCAGATACTTTAAATCATCTCTAATTATTTAAAATGCCTAAAATAATGTAAATACTATGTAAATAGTCATTATTCTATACTGTTTTTATTTGTATTATTTTTATTAACATTAAATTTTTATTTTTCCCAAATATTTTCAATCTGCAGTTGGTTGACTCCATGGATGCAGAACCCATGGATACGGAGAGCCAGTAGTACAAATAAATTAAAGGTGATAAAGGACTCACACAGTAAATCTGGCAGTCTCCACCATCAGGAGATCATCACTACAGGAAGGCTTTAACCTATTAGTAGTTAAGATTGACTGATCCAGAGCTTGAGTCAATCCTTCCAAGTACCTGTCTCTTCATTCCAATCATGATATAGTATAACTACTGCTTAAGTGGAAATCATCACAGCAGTCTGCTCCAGCATGACAGGTGACACCAGCAACTGTCTGCCCTGTGTGAAAGATTCATAACCCCACTGGCAGAGACAGTTTGGCTCTCAAATGGTGAGAACTATATCTGATTATGTACTCAGTGGTCAGGCAGGCTCTGGACACAGATCTGTACCCTTTCAAGAGAGACAGCCGAGAGAGCAGAAGTAAAGAATTTTCCATGAAGTGTCATACTGATTAAGATTTTGTTCTCGGTAAACTGGCATATTACCTCAAGACTGCAAATGTTTACAGGTTGGGACCAGAGAACATCTCCCTTCAATTAAGAGCAAGTATCATATTGCCTAAGGGTTAACAGTACTTAAATTTCGAAAATGTGTTCAATTTGGATTCTAATAAGCCCTTCGCTTCAAATAATGTTTCCCTCAATCTTCTCCATTCCCCATGCTTTTATTCACTTAAATGAAGAAAAACTCACTCAGCTGTCTTACAACTTGGCAACTTTTGCACTATGGTTATACATGTCTGATTTCTTATCATCAAATTATGTTTTTTGAAAGTTGAGGAGAAAGAAGATGAAGAACTCAGAAAATGAAATCTGCATTTTCTCAAAGCTCATGAGTCATCTTCAAACAGAAGTTGTATGTTCCAGTCTCCAAATCTCTACTTTGTTACTCACTGATAATTCTAATTTTGAGGAACAATAAATGTGGCCTACTAATTGTGATAAAAATCCCAAGTATGACTTTCTTTCAGATCAAAGGTGAGATAGCTGAGTAACTCTGACACTTGAATAGAAGAAAGTCCTGTTGAAATTGGCTTCTTACAAATTCTGTACATAAGAGCTGAGACACACTAAGTAATGGAATGATACACCTTTACAGCCTTGATCAAAGAAATTCCTTGGAAAAAGTCTATTATAACAAAACAGCAAAGGAAAAAAAGAATATGGAAGCTGGAGTGATAAGCATTAGGACTTTTCATGTTACAGATGAAGAAACTCAGCCTTGGAAAAGTTAAATGATTCTTATTTAAGGTCATATATTCAGTAACAGAACCACCTAAATGCTTTCTACCCACCACTTTAGAGGTGTCTGAAATAGAGTTCATGGCCAGGGTCAAGAAACTACTTGTTTCATGGAACATTTTCAATGCTTAATACCATCTCCCTAAAAATAGCTTTATTTTAGTATATACAGTGTAAACCGATATTAGTCTACCCCTCCAATAATTTTATATAAGGAATGTGGCCAATTGGTCAATTTGAGTTGGTTACTCCTAACTAGACTAAATGCAAAACACAAAGATCTCTTTAAAGTGCTTTGGTTACCACTCTGTTTCTTAGCATGAGTCTGGATTAGAAACCTCCTTCCTCTCTTGGCTACCTGTCTTAATCACAGCCCCGCAATGGTCTACCCTGCTGCCAAGTTGGTGTGTAGAGTAAATTGTTGTCCCATGGAGAGAGATTTTTCTATTTAACTCCAGATCACTCTGTGCCCATAAACAAGTGTTTCACAGGCCACAAGAGCACAGCCTGAGAGCTATGGCTTGGGCAATGCTCCATAGCTGTCAAGTAAGCCTGGGGAAAAGAAGGAAGACAATTCTGGGATCTGAGTTGAGTAAGGAGTGAATGCCACAAAGAAATTAGGGGCAGTTTAAATCTGCAGAAAGTATAAATCAGCACACCAAATATTATCCCTAAAAGGAGATATTAAATAAAAGGTTATTATTTTCCCAGCATATTTTCATCAAGCGTTTTATATAGTCAAAGCTAACAATATGTTATTAATCCATAACACTTATTGTCATGTTCTCCCACAGGTAGAGTACTACATGGTAGAAGACACGAGAGAAAGCAGTTATATAACCCTAAGCAGTACAGTATACAGTTACAATTTTCTGTCCAATGAGTCAGATGCCTGAGAGATGCAACTCAAACACCTACAATGAGGGGTAACATATACAGATATTTGTCAAAACTTAGTGAACGTATACCTAAGATTTGTGCTTTTCACTGTATGTAAATTTTACTTCAAAAGAAAAATAATACTGTAAAGACGTATTTAACTCTAGTTTATAGTTAAGTATTTGGAGAAATTATTACTAATGTCTGAAATGGGATGAATGGATGAAGGGATGGATACATGACAAAGCAAATACAACATTAATAGTGGACGATAGCTTGTGTGGGTATATGGGGGTCACTGTGAACTTCTTTCAACTTTTCTGTGTTTGAACATCTTCATAATAAAAATTTTTGGGAAAACAAGAAAGTAAAGGGGATGGGCAGGTAATACAAATTAATAAAGCAGGCTCGGTGTAACACAGTAGAGATAGATGGGGCCTGGGGCACTGAGAAACGCATGTTCTGCCTAAAGAAGGCAGCTGCCACTCAACTCCAACCAGTTGTTACTTTGTGGGAATCTGGCCCCAGTGTTGTAATCTAATTTTTAAAAAGGAGTTTCAAATATAGAAGTTTTGTGTGCAAAAAATCTTTAATTTTAAAATACCATATGGGCCAAACACTATATTTTTAACTTACCAACTCATTTTCTATTCCAAAGATTTAAATTTTCGAGAAGAAATTGGGGGTTTCCTCTTGAGTTGTAAAGTTACCATTGTTATCAATAACACGTGCGTTTAAAGAGATTTCAGCTGTAGCTGAGACCTTATACTGTAACCTCAATTCCCCTGTTGTGTGGGCTGCTGTACAATAATGCCTTGCCAGGCCGATGCCACGGTATTCATGACACTGACCCAACCAGGACTTTGCTGTGGCGCAGGGAACAGCTGTGAGGCTGGGCTGGTTGGCACTGATTTCTCTAGGCTCACTTTAGGGTTATTTAATATGGAAAGAGCAATAGTACTTGTGAGTTTGCTGCTCAAATATAGTTCCTAAGTGTAAGTCACTTAGGCTTTAAGAGAAATTAGCACTAGTTGGGAATCAGAAACAGAAAAGACTTCTAAGACTTCCTTATATTCCCTGTTTTGTCTAAGTGGTGTCACAAATCACCCACGGTCCTAAGCTCTTAACAATCTCCATGTTATCCTTTCTCACCACTGACATTCTAATAAATGACCCTTTCTGTTCATTCTACCTCAGGGGTACTTCTCAAATCCATGTCCTCCCCAGTGTCTTAGCTGCCAGTACCTTACTTCAAGACCTCATCCTCTCTAGCCTGGATTACAGTTTCCTCACTGGTGTCTCTCATGAGTTTTTCCCTCCCATTGGTTCAATCTTCATATTCCTACTGCAATTATCATTCTAAGATACAATTCTGATAGTATCACTCTCTGGTTTGAAAACCTCAATACCTCCCTGTTGTCTTCAGGATAAAGGTGAAACTCTTTATCACGGATGGAATATAGGGACCTTCATGGCTGTCAACGTACCCTACCAGCCACAATTCCTTCTATTTTCCCCTAGCCTATAGGGTAAAGTTCCAATTTCTCAGTGTGGCAAATGAAGCCCTACTTAAATTTCTATGCATGCCCCTACCCCCTTTTTAGTCTATCCATGCATAGAGTTCTCACTATTCCAAAAAATGGACATTTTCTGTTTCCTCCAGACCTTTGCCTATGTTATTCTCTTTGCTTCAGATTCTCTTCATCGCTGCTGTTTCAGTGTTCTCTTTCTTCTTTATAACTCAGGTAAATAATTGTTTTATTTTTATTTTTTTAATTTATATTATAATTTTTTTTGAGACGGAGTCTCACTCTGTTGCCCAGGCTGGAGTGCAGTGGCGTGTCTTGGCTCACTGCAACTCCACCTCCCAGCTTCAAGTGGTTCTCCTGCCTCAGCCTCCTGAGTAGCTAGGACTGCAGGCGTGTGCCACCATTCCCGGCTAATTTTTTGTATTTTTTTAGTAGAGACGGGGTTTCACTGTGTTAGCCAGGATGGTCTTGATCTCCTGATCTCATGATCCGCCCACCTTGGCCTCCCAGAGTGCTGGTATTACAGGCGTGAGCCACCGCACCCAGCCCAAATAATGCTTATACTGGGAGGTTCTTCCTGTAGCCCCTTGACCAAGTTAGCAACTTCTTACTCTGCACTATAACACTTTGTACTTAGCTCTCATTTTATATTAGAGATTATTTCTGTTGCATTGTATCATTTACATGTCTCTTTCCACCACTAAATGGTAAAGTCTTAATCATTTTTTATTACTACATTTCTGCCTGAGGACCATGTCTGGTATAGTACAGGCCTTATTAATATTTGTTACATGAATAAATGGAAATGCACATTACAGTCAGGGAACACTGATTACTGAGACAAATTCTTAACCTGTTCTTTGGTAATATGAGTCAGTGTCAGATCAGAACTTTATCTTCTTAGATTTTCTGCTTGTGCTAACAATTAGACTTGATGGACCCTCAGCAGCCAGTGACTCTGTTATGGTAAAACACAGTCTAAAGCCCCTCAACTTCCTTTACCAGCTATAGGAGTCAGCTATAGGAGCCCTGACCCATTGTTTTTCCTTCCCTCTAATCCTAACTTAAATTAACTTTTATCTCTTATGAATGAAATCTGACTGTGATCTGTTTACATGTACAGGAACTTACATAGAGCTTATATTCATATTTAAGTATAACATTACTTATATAGAACTATATTTATGTTTAAGTATATCATTTTTGCTCTTGTGTAGAAAGGAGGGTACCTTGTTAACTCTGGAGAGTATACAAGGGTAATATAATAATAGCAGCTAACACATAACATTTAACTGTGTACCAGGCTTGAAGTGTTTTTATGTACATTAGCTCATTTAATCCTAATTGTATCCCTATGAAGGAGTTCTTATGATTGGTATGATAATTTAACAGATGAGGAACCTGAAGCAGACAGAAATAACTTGTTCCAAGAACACAAAACTACTTAACCAGTAGACCTGGGATTTGAACTCAGGAAGTCTTATTTCATAGTCTGTGCTCTTTTTTCTACATTGCTCTGACCTCAGCACTGTCCGAGGCCAAGGAAATGCTGGCTATGAGCAGAAACATAGTTGACCTCTCTTAAAGCTGCATCTTGTTTCTGCTAGGCCTAAACAGTCCAAATCTGGGTATAATCAATTTTGTATATCTGATAATACAAATTCACTATTGAGGCTGAAAACAGAAGACACACTAGAGATTAAGACTTTAGAAATCTGAACAACTTGTTTTTTTCCTAAAAGCATCAAGCATAATGATACAACAAAACATGGCCTGTAGTCCAAACTTCAGACTGCTATGTCCTAGAAGGGAAGTAGAATGAAAAATACAAACCAATAAATAACACAAACATCCCTTGAGGTCACAAATAGAAGAGTTAGATTCCACTCTCCCCAAGTAGCTTAGTGGTAGTACCAAGGTAAAAAGAAAAGCTTCCGTGATTTGGTTGGTAAGAGAAGGCATTCCTAAGTCCAGGAAAAGATCAGGAATAGCAAAAAGGTAGAAACCTCATGTTTCAAAAGTAGAATATGGACAGGTAAAAACCTGAAAGAGGACTCAAGATTCACTGTTAAGGCAAAGACTTTCCACATAGCCTGGCAAAGCAATGGCATCCCTTTATGGAAATGAAAATGAGAAACGCCCCCTGTCTCCTTTGATGGTAAGTGCTTACTTATCTGCAGTCAAATCTCAGCCTCCCGGAGCACTTCGCTAGCAGGGTGCTCAGAATTAGGTGAAGCTTGCCAAGACAGAAAATTTCAGATGCTTGTCATCTAGCATTAGGTATATCTCCCAATGCTATCCCTCCCCCCTCCCCCCATCCCACAACAGTCCCCAGAGTGTGATGTTCCCCTTCCTGTGTCCATGTGACCCTAAAACTTAAAGTATAATAATAAAAGAAAAAAAAAACTTAAAAAAAAAAAGAAAATTTCAGATGCTGTCGCAGAGGCACTGAAGGTTAAGGAAAGAGTGTGTGTTACCTTGCTTTCAATCTTTCTCAACTGTCTCATTTATAAAGTGTCCTCAAGGTGAAACTCTGAACAACTGTTATGTAGGACAGAGGTAGAGGAGAAATTTCAGAACAGAATGGAGGAAGTTATAAGATACTGTATAGGCAAAAGAGTCTGACTTTAATGTCACAGCCCATCCTAATCTTTCCACAGCTAAGTTTCTTAGCTATACAAGAAAAACACCAAATTTAACCTTCTTTTTATTTCAGGGTTGATGTGAGGACACAAGATGACAAATATGAAAACAGATTTTTAAAAAGATAACTAGTACATAAGTCCAAGTATTGCTATTAAATATGATATTCTTTGTGTTAATTAATAAAACAAAATATACTGTAAGGCAGTATAGTGCATTGATTTAGAGCAAACTTTCTCTGTAAAGAGCCAAATAGAAAGTACTTTATTTGGGAGACCAAGGTGAATGAATTGCTTGAGGGCAGGAGTTCAAGACCAGCCTGGGCAATGTGGGAAGAATCTATCTCTACAAAAAAAGAAAAAAATTTAAATTAGCCAGGCATGGTGGTGGACAACTGTAGTCCTAGCTACTCGGGAGGCTGAGATGAAAAACTTGCTTAAGCCCAGGAGGTCAAAACTGCAGTGAGGTATGATTGTGCCATTATACTCCAGTGTGAGTGACAGAGCCTGACCCTGTCTCTAAAAAAACAAGAGAAAAAAGAGCAAAAAGAAAGAAGTACTTCACACTTTGCAGATCATAGTCTCTTGCAAACATTCAACTCTGTCATTATAACCTAAAAGCAGCTATGGACAATACTAATACCAATGACTATAGCTGGGTTCCAGTAAAATTTTATGGACACTAAAAATCTGAATTTCATATAAGTTGCACATATCACAAAATACTTTTTCAGCTAATTAAAAGTGCAAAACTATTTTTAGCTTATAGGTTGTACAAAAACAGGCAGTGGGCTGGATTTGGCCCATGAGCTGTAGTTTGCTGACTCCTGATTTAGTGCATTGGCCAGAAAGTTTGAATTCAAATGTCAGCTGTGGAACTTAATAGCAATAACACCTTGTATAAGTTACTTAACTTCTTTCTGCCTCAGTTACCCCATCTATAAAATGGGAATAACAGTACTATTTCTTTCTTAGTATTATTATGAAGATTACATATCTTTATATGGACACAGCAGTTGGAACAGTGTCTGGCACAACTTAACTGCTCATGCATATTGCTGTTAGCTATTATAAACCATTTCCATAACAATCTCTAACAATTCTGCAAGTGTGCCACAGTTTCACATGCCCTCATATATTTACACATGCTGTTTCCTCTGTCTGGAATGCATTTTCCTGCTTAAAGCTTCTACATGGTCTGAAAGACTTAGTTTAAACATTACCTTCACTATGAAGCCTGCCTTGACTATTCTTCTCAACCTAGCAGATACTAGCCACTACCATCAGTTTCCCATTATCTATTGTAGTACATTGGATTTTATTGTAGTTATCTTTGATAGGTCAAATTCTCAGCAAGACGCCTTGTATGCAGAGTCTATGACTTACTAATTGTATCCCCAGGGCCCAGAATAGTTCTCTACACACACAAAACATGTATTTGCTTAATGATATTAACAATACAGAAAGCAAGCTAATACATTAATAATGAGGATAGAAATCTCCTAGTTATGTGCCATAAAAAGGAACAAAATCATGTGCTTTCCAGTAACATGGATGCAGCTGCAGGCCATTATCCTAAGTAAATTAACACAGGAACAGAAAACAAATTCTGCATGTTCTCACTTATAAGTGTGAGCTAAACACTGGGTATTCATGGACATAAAGATGGCAACAGTAGACACTGGGGACTACTAGAGCAGAGAGGGAGGGAGAGAGAAAGGGAGAGGGGCTAGGGATGAAAAACTAACTATTGGGTACTACACTTGCTAACTGGGTGATGGGATCAATCATACCCCAAACTTCAGCATCACACGATATACCCATTAACAAACTTGTACATGTACCCCCTGAATCTAAAAGTTGAAATTATAAAAAATAAATGAAATGAGACCTTTTTAATCTATCATTAAGGAAAAAAAAATATCGGCCAGGTGCAGTGGCTCACGCCTGTAATCCCAGCACTTTGGGAGGCTGAGGCAAGCAAATCACGAGGTCAGGAGATCGAGACCAGCCTGGTTAACACGGTGAAACCCCATCTCTACTAAAAGCACAAAAAATTAGCCAGGCATGGTGGTAGGTGCCAGTAATCCCAGCTACTCAGGAGGCTGAGGCAGGAGAATGGCTTGAACACAGGAGGTGGAGCTTGCATTGAGCCAAGATCCCGCCATTGTACTCTAGCCTGGACGACAGAGCAAGACTCCGTTTCCAAAAAAAAAAAGAAATCAGGCCAGGTGTGGTGGCTCACACCTATAATCCCAGCATTTTAGGAAGGTAAGGAGGGAGGATTTTTTGAGACCAGCTTGGACAACAAAATGAGACCTCATCTCTACAAAAAATTAAAAAGTTTGCTGGGCATGCTAACACATGCCTGTGGTCCAAGCTACACAGGAGGCTAAGGCAGGGGGATCGCTTAGGCCCAGAAAAATGAGGCTGCAGTAAGCCATGTATGCACCACTACACTCCAGCCCTAGGTGACAGAGCAAGACCCTGTCAAAAGAAAGAAATCTCTTAGTTATATGACAAATGTGAATATAATTAAATATGAAAATAATTTCTAATATCCTATTTTGAGTAAAATTTACCATGTTAATATCCATCCCCAGGCATATCCAGTGAGCATCCAGAGGTTTTCTTGGTGCTATTATTAGTTGGTAGCACATATCTTAGAATCCACACATTGATAATCACAACACTAGGTTTTAGAGATTCAAAAGGTCATCTCCCACCTCAATTTACAAAAAATATATATATATATGTTTAGTACTGAGGGGAAAAGGAAATAAAATAATGAAATGTGAAATTTCCACCAATATAACAATGTACATAGCAAAAAGCAAGAAGTTAACAGAATGAAAGCCCTTTTCTGAGCCTTCTCTTAAACTCTTAAGGAAATAGTCAATCATCAAAAGGCTTCACCAAGGCCATTGAGAGAAGTATGCTTTTTCAGCTAGTCAGGATTCTAACTAAAACAGAGTTACTTGGGCAACATAAGACATTACCCTTCCCACTCTCAACTTGCCAAGAGTGTTGTGTCCCTTTGCTTAGACTTCTGCCAGGCAAGCTATGATACTGTGCCCAAATGATCCTGTGCCAGACACAACAATCCCTCTGACAGAAGGTTCCTTGTGTCTACTAATTCTAGGCTAACCAGCACGCCTGGCATACTGTCTCTTAAAAAAATCAAAGCTGTTTTGGGAGAACAGGTTAAAGGAGGAAGGGACTCCAACAACTGAATAGTGAATATTTTCCAAAAGGCAATTTAATATCATCAAAATCAATGAATGCAATAATAATGAAGAGAGTTCAGTGAAGATTCAGATCACAACCCCCAGGTGACACTAACATGACAGTGAGGATGAAGTAGGAGCTTTCAATTTTCTAAGTTTTCTAAGTTAATGTCACATATGTAAAAATCCCAGCTGTTTGCTGTGGAAATAATGACATCAGAATCAGTTTGTCCTTGAGTTTTCGTTTTTGCTTCTTTTGTTTCTAATGTGTGTATGCATGTGTGTGTAATGCACTGGCTAAGAATTATCCATTTTTCCAGAGGTCTATTTCCCTCTTTCAGAGTATGAGATCATATACTATGAGAATCTGCCAAATTTAAGGAATTTGGCATATTGTCTCCTAAAAAAATCAAACATATAGAAAATACTTTTTAGCTGGGCGTGGTGGTGCACACCTGTAGTCCCAGCTACTCAGGAGGCTGAGGTGGGAGAATCACTTGAGTCCGGGAGGTGGAGGTTGCAGTGAGCTGAGATTGAGCCACTGCACTCCAGCCTGGGCAAGAGGGCAAGACTCCATCTCAAAAGTCAAAAAGAAAATATTTATATTAGGACTATGCTGTATTCTTGCCAGTGCCATTGTTATTACTACTACCATTACTATCATGATTTTCTTCAGTGCCAGAAAATAGCTGCATGTATAGTATTTAATTATTGCTGAATTTGGACATTCTCATAATTGCTAACTTATGGGATAGTAACTTTAGACACACTATTATCAAAAACTTTTTTTCTTCCAATATGTTATTTTAATATATCTGACTAAAAGGATTGGGTTTTCCTATATTTTAGATCTAGATTAATTTCAATGGAATAATATAAGTTATAATGCCATCCATTCTTCCAAAAAACTCAAATTTTAAATATATCCCCATGTGTCTTCCCAAAAGTCCTCTAAGGAAGGGAAAGGTTGAGGAATATCACAATACTGGTGATAGCAGCCAATATTTTTTCTGGTCTATTTGAAGCTGGGCATGTGGAAAAGACCTGGCAAGAGAGTAGTATGAAAAGACAGCCTACCACAAAGCTATGAGAAATTCTAGAATTTAAAAACTGTTTAGGAAAGGATGAGTGAGCAAAGGTGGTATAACCAGAGAAGAGAAAAGAAAAACAAATGTATCATGGAAGTCATAGGATGAAAGCGTTTCAAGAAAGAGTGGTTGATGTTGCTAACAGTCAAGTAAGCTGAAGAAAGGAAATGTCAGAATTAGCAATGTAAAGGTCATGGAGGACCTGAGCTTGAAATGTTTCAGTGCAGTAATTGGGCAAGAGCAAGATTAAGAATGGAATGAAGAGTGAAAGGAAATGAGAGCATTGATAAGTCTTGAAAAATATGGCTAAGAAAAGGAGGAAAGAGACAGAGTGATAGATGGAAGCCAGGAAGGGGCCATAAATTGTTGTTATTGTAAAATGAAAGAGACTTGAGCATGTTTAATTATATTTAGAAGCATTCACATGAAAAGAAAAGGTTGGCAAATAAGGTTGGATAGTGTGAGATTAAAGAGAAAGGCTCCAAAATAAAGACAGAAGGATTACCCTTAAATGGGAAAAACTCTCCACTGCAATAGGAGGGAAGGAAAAGAGAATGCCTCAGACATAGGTAGAGTGGTTTAGAGATAAAAATTGAGCCTGGGCAACATGGTGAAACCCCATCTCTACAAAAAATACAAAAATTAGCCAGGCATGATGGCACGCATCTATAGTCCCAGCTACTTGGGAGGCTGAGGTGGGAGGATCACTTGAGCCCCAAAGGCATTGCTTGCAGTGAGCCAAGCCTTACAGTGTGACACTGCACTTCAGTCTGAGTGACAAAGAGGGACCTTGTCTCAAAAAAGTAATAACAAATAAGAAATTCCCATCTGATTTCTCTGTTTTCTATCTTATCTGTGAAGCAGTAGTAATCACAGTAGTAACAGGGGTAGTGGTAGGAGCAATAATATCAATTAATATTTATTAAGGGCTTACTATACATGGGTGAAACACTGCCCCATATATTGAATATTAATGAATTAATATTCATTAAATACTGCCCCATATAATGAATGTTAATGAATTAATATTCATTAAATCCTCCTGGCAAGCTAATAAGATAAATATTACTATTATTACCATCATCATCATTTTTAGAAGATTAAGTAACATGCCCAAGGTCATATGGCTAAAAACTAAGGAGCCAGCATTCAAATCCAATCAGTCTGGCTCCAGGCATAATTCTGAACCATTTTATTAAACCAACTCTAAATTTAACAACCTACAGGGCACTAGAGACTTTCACAAGTCTCATGTTAAAGCACTTGTTAAAAGGGTTTTTTTGGTGCAGTGATAAACACAAAAGCCAGATCAGACAAGTTGTGGAGTAGGAAGCAAAGCAGGAGGAGGTGATATCAACTGTTCAGAAAAAGGAAGGAAGTAGAATGGTCAGAAGGGTGAGGATCATACAGAAGTATGAAATGATCATTCCAGAGAAATGAGTGAGTTGGCCAGGGACATACGATTGGGTTTCCAGACAAGGGAAAGGATCTATTTGAATTTGGGGACCATGAATGTAAAGTAATAAAAACGTATACTATTTGGTGATTTTCATCCACTTAGGTGTAACCACAGAGAAATCAGAGTTAGGTTCATCCAGTTAGGACGTTGACAGATAAGTTCAAAAATTTCAGAGAGGTAAGGAGTTTAGGGTTTAGGGAAAGTGTTATTAAAGTAAACAGAATCTAAGCAAGACAAGAAGAAAAGCTGATGAATTATAAAGAAGTAAATGGGAAAAAGAATTGGAAGTCCCAATTAGAACTGGTTATAAAAGCAGTGATTGAATTAGCAATTCCACATTATGGCCAAAAAGCCAGATGCATTAGAGGAGGAGCAGATATAGGTGATATTTGTGTCACAGGTATAACTGTGGAAATGGGTGACAGAGCAAGGTTGAGGGAAAAATCACCCAAAATGAGAAACATTTTCAGGAACAGTCACCCAAGTGAATGTTGGATGATTTGATAGAAAAATGAGATGGAGAGTAAGTTGTGAGCTAAGTCTTTGATGAATGAGGGAGTTAAAAGGTGGCATGAGAATCAAAGGAGCAATGGTATTTTATTTTTATTAGACGGTATAAGAAATAATGCTCAGGAAGTAACAATGGGGAACAACATGGTCCTAATACTGCTTCCTAACACCGAGTTATGTGAGACAAATGAAACCTAAACAACTTGAGAGGGCTTAAGTCTATGACAATAGCATAACTAATGCTGTGGGTTCCTAACTTCCAAACCAAAGCTCCATCCAATATCAGGTATACTATAGCTTTTTTCTTCAAATTGATTTTCTTTCTTTCTTTCTTCCTTTTTTTTTTTTTTTTTTGAGACAGAGTCTCACTTTGTTGCCCAGGCTGGAGTGAAGTGGCATCATCTTAACTCAATACAAACTCTGCCTCCCAGGTCTAAGCGATTCTCATGCCTCAGCCTCCCAAGTACCTGGGGTTACAGCGCCCACTACCACATCCAGCTAATTTTTGTATTTTTAGTAGAGACAGGGTTTCACCATGTTGGCCAGGCTGGTCTTGAATTCCTGACCCCAAGTGATCTGCCCAGTCTCCCAAAGTGCTGGGATTGTAGGCATGAGCCACCAGGCCCAGCCCAAATTGATTTTCTTTTCTTTTCTTTTCTCTTTTCTTTTATTTTCTTTTTTCTCCTTTCTCTTTTCTTTCCCCTTCCTTCCTTTTTTTTTTTTTTTTTCTGAGACAGAGTTTCACTCTTGCTGTCCAGGCTGGAGTGCAGTGGCATCATCTTAACTCAATACAAACTCTGCTTCCCAGGTCTAAGCGATTCTCATGCCTCAGCCTCCCAAGTACCTGGGGTTACAGCGCCCACTACCACATCCAGCTAATTTTTGTATTTTTAGTAGAGACAGGGTTTCACCACGTTGGCCAGGCTGGTCTTCAATTCCTGACCCCAGGTGATCTGCCCAGTCTCCCAAAGTGCTGGGATTGTAGGCATGAGCCACCAGGCCCAGCCCAAATTGATTTTCTTTTCTTTTCTCTTTTCTTTTATTTTCTTTTTTCTCTTTTCTCTTTTCTTTCCCCTTCCTTCCTTTTTTTTTCTGAGACAGAGTTTCACTCTTGCTGCCCAGGCTAGAGTGCAATGGTGCAATCTCGGCTCACCGCAATGTCCGCCTCGTGGGTTCAAGCGATTTTCCTGCCTCAGCCTCCTGAGCAGCTAGGATTACAGGCATGCGCCACCATGCCCGGCTAATTTTGTATTTTTAGTAGAGATGGGGTTTCTCCATGTTGGTCAGGCTGGTCTTGAACTCTCGACCTCAGGTGATCCACCCGCCTCAGCCTCCCAAAGTGCTTGTGGATTATAGGCATGAGCCACTGTGCCCGTACCCAAATTGATTGTCTTAAAGTAATCTAGTAACACAGAGTATATTTTTATTGTTAAGAGAAAAAAAATTAAAATCTAACTACAATATATCCTGCTAAAATACTGTCCAGATACTTATGTGCTTACATGTACTTTTCATATATCTTTCAGAATTTTTTTTTCTTTTTTTGAGATGGAGTCTCGTTCTGTCGCCCAGGCTGGAGTGCAGTGGTATGATCTCAGCTGGGATCTCGGTTGGCGCGATCTCAGCAGTGGTGCGATCTCACTGCCACCATGCCTGGCTAATTTTTTGTATTTTTAGTAGAGATGGAGTTTCGCCGTGTTAGCCAGGATGGTCTCGATCTCCTGACCTCGTGATCTGCCTGCCTCAGCCTCCCAAAGTGGTGGGATTACAGGCGTGAACCACCACGCCCGGCCATCTTCCAGAATTTTTAAAAGTGTAAATGGGGACATATTATATGTACTTCAGTGAGTTTTTCTTTCTACTTACAATATTCTTATAGAATGTTCTTGCATAGTGTTAGTACAGGTTTATGTAGGTCTACCTCTTTTGTTTTTTATTTATTTATTTATTTTTTAGAGACAGGGTCTTGCTATGTTTCCCAGACTGGTCTCAAACTCCTGGCCTTAAGCAATCCTCCTGCCTTGGCCTCCTAAAGTGTTGGGATTACAGGAGTGAGCCATCATGCCCAGACCTGGGTCTACTTCTTTTGTTCATAACAGCAAAAGATTTCCATACTGTGAATATCTAACCATTCCCCCATTTATATAAATTTAGGTTTTTCCTAATTTTTTTTACAAGGAATAAAAGAACATTTTTGTATATACATCTTTCTGTACATATGCTAGAATAAGGAAAGAAATAAAACTTGGGAGCCAAATGATCTGCATATATTTTTATAAATTCTGCCAAACTGCCTTCTGAAAAGGCTTTGCCCATTTACAAGACAGTTAAGTGCACCCATTTCCCCAACTCCATATCAATATCCATGCTTGAAAGAACTAATTCTTTTGGTTCAAGGAAAAAAAAAGAACTAATTTTTAAATTTCTGTTAAAGAACTGGAAAAAAAAAACACTGTTTCGATTTGCATTTTGCTAATAATGAAATCTGAGAAGTTTCTCATGTGTTTTAAATTTTTTTTAATGTTAAAACAGCTATGCTGAGATACAATTCACATACAATACAATTTGTCCATTTAAAGTATATAATTTCAGGCTGGACACAGTGGCTCACTCTTGCAATCCCAGCACTTTGGGAGATCAAGGCAGGTAGATCACTTGAGGTCAGGAGTTCGAGACCACCCTGGCCAACATGGCAAAACCCTTTCTCTACTAAAAATACAAAAAAAATGGCCAGGCTTGGTGGTGTGTGCCTGTAGTCCCAGCCCCTGAGGAGGCTGAGGCACGAGAATCCCTTTAACCCGAAAGGTGGAGGTTGCAGTGAGTTGAGATCGCAGCAGTGCACTCCAGCCTGGGCAATAGAGAGAGATCCTGTCTTTGGAAAAATAAATTAATTAATTAAATTTAAAAGTATACAATTTCAAAGGTACTTTTTTAAAAAAATTATAGTCATAGATAAGTGAAACCATCACCACAGTCAATTTTAGAAAATTTCCATCATCTCAAAAAGAAGCCCTGGGTTCAGTCACGGTGGCTCACGCCTGTAACCCCAGCACTTACGGGAGGCCGAGGCAGGTGGATCACTCGGGCTCAGGAGTTTGAGACCAGCCTGAGAAGCATGGTGAAAACCTCTCTCTAGCAAAAATATAAAAAATTAGAAATCAGCCAGGTGTGGTGTGGGCCTGTAGTCCCAGCTACTTGGGAGTCTGGGGTGGGAGCATCACTTAAGCCCAGGAGGTGGAGGTTGCAGTGAGACAAGATTGCGCCACTGCACTCCAGCCTGGGTGACAGAGTGAGACACCGTCTCAAAAAAAAAAAGAAAAAAAAGAAGTCCTGTATCCTCTAGCTATTGCTCCTCAACCTCTTACCCTCCCTCCTCCTATCCCTAAGCAACCACCAACCTACTTTCCCACTCCAGAGATTTCCCTATTCTGGACTTTCAAATAAACAGAATCATATAATATGTAGACTTCTGTGACTGACTTCTCTTAGCATCTGTTTTCAAGGCTCATCCAAACTGTAGCATGAATCAGTATTTCATTCATTTTTATGGCTAAATAATGTTCCATTGTATGGATACACATTTCGATTATCCATAAGCTGATGAACATTTGGGTTGTGTCCACCTTTGGTTATTATGAATAATACTGCCATTAACATTTTTGTGTAAGTGTTGTATGGACACATGTTTTCATTTATCTTCAGTACACCTAGGAGTAGAATTGCTGGTATGGACATACGTTTTCATTTATGGGAGTAGAACTGCTGGATCATATGGTAACTCTATGCTTAATTGTTTGAGGAACTGCCAGACTGTTTTTCAGCGGCTGCCCCATCTTACATTTTTACCAGCAGTATATAAGAGCTCCAATTTCACCATACCCTCACCAATACTTGTCATTATTTTACTTTTTGGTTCTAGTCATCCTAGTGGGTACAAAGTGGTGTCTCATTATGGTTTTCATTGCATTTCCCTGATGACAATTGATGTTGAATATCTTTTCAGGTGCTTATTGGTCATTTGTGTATCTTCCTTGGAGGCATGTCTATTTAGATTATTTGTCCATTTTTTAATTGAGATATTTTTTTCTTCTTATTATTATAAAGTTATTTATTTATTATTAAAGTTCTTTATATATTCTAGATACAAGTCACTTACAAGATATATAATTTGCAAATATCTCTCACTCTGTGGGTTGTCTTATCACTTTCTTTTTTTGTTTGTTTGTTTTTGGGACAAGGTCTTACTCTGTTACCCAAGCTGGAGTGCAGTGGCACGATCTCAGCTCACTGCAAGCGATGCTTCCAGGTCCAAATGATCCTCCCACCTGAACCTCTTGAGCAGCTGGGACTACAGGTGTGTGCCACTATGCCTGGCTAATTTTTCAAATTGTTTGTAGAGATGTTGTCCTGCTACAGTGCCCCAAGCTGGTCTTGAACTCCAGGACTCAAGTGATCTACCTGCTTTCTTGATAGTGTCCTTTCAAGTATTTTAAGCTTTTAGGCCAGGAGTGGTGGTGGCTCATGCCTATAATCCCAACACTTTGGGAGGCTGAGGTGGGAGGATCAGTTGAGGCCAAGATGTTGAGACCAGCCTGGGCTCCATACCAAAACCCATCTCTAAAAAAAAAAAATGCTGGATGTGATGTCACATACCTGCAGTCCTTGTTACTTGGGAGGTTAAGGTTGGAAGATCACTAGAGCCCAGGAGTTTGAGGTTACAGTGGGCCATGATCGCACCACTGCACTCCAGCCTGGATAACAGAGTGAGACCCTTCCTCTTAAAAATAAATAAATAAAGCTTTTAATTTTTATGAATTCAAATTATTTTTTCTTTTGTTGCTCATGCTATGGTGACATATCTAAGAATCTTTTGCTAAATCCGAGGTCATGGATACAATCTGATAGCTCATCAGTAAAATTCAATCAATTAATCAATCGAGGTCATGGAAAACATTACTGCTATGTTTTCATCTAAGAGATTTTTAGCTTTAGCTTTTACATTTAGGTCTTTGATCTATTTTAACTTTTGTATGGTGTAAGACTCCAACTTCATTCTTTTGCATGTTATCCAGCTGCCCCCTATACCATTTGTTGAAAATACTATTCTTTCCCCAGTGAATGGTCTTGGCACCTTTGTCATATATCAGTTGACCATGGTTGCATGGGTTTATTTCTAGAATCTCAATTCTATTCCATTGATGTACATGTCTACTTTTGTGCCGATACCACACTGTCTTGGTTACCATCGCTTTGTAGTAAGTTTTAAAATCAGGAAGTGTGAGTCCTCCTACTTTGTTCTTCTTTTCAGGATTGTCTTGGCTATTCTGGGTCCCTTGCAATTCCATGTGGATTTTTATTTTTATTTTTATTTTTTTTTTTTGAGACAGAGTCCTGCTCTGTCACCCAGACTGGAGTGCAGTGGAGCGATCTTGGCTCACTGCAACTTCCGCCTCCCAAGCTCAAGCAATTCTCCTGCCTCAGCCTCCCGAGTAGCTGGGACTGCAGGCGTGAACCACCATGCCCAGCTAATTTTTGTATTTTTAGTAGAGACGGGGTTTCACTATGTTGGCCAGGCGGGTCTCGAACTCCTGACCTCGTGACTTCTTGCCTCGGCCTCCCAAAGTGCTGGGATTAGCCACCTCACCCAGCCTTCCATGTGGATATTATCTCATATGTTTATTAGCCACATAAACTACTCCCCATTCATAGCCTTTCCTCATTTTTTAAAGATGGTTAAATTTTTTTTTTTTTTGAGACACAGTCTTATTCTGTTGCCCAGGTTGGAGTGCAGTGGCACCATCTCGGCTCACTGCAAGCTCCGCCTCCCGGGCACGCAGTTCTCCTGCCTCAGCCTCCCGAGTAGCTGGGACCACAGGCGCCCGCCACCACGCCTGGCTAATTTTTTGTATTTTTAGTTGAGACAGGGTTTCACCATGTTAGCCAGGATGGTCTCAATCTCCTGACCTTGTCATCCACCCACCTCGGGCTCCCAAAGTGCTGGGATTACAGGCATGAGCCACTGTGCCCGGCTGGTTAAATTTTTAAAATTGTTTATATAAAGAGCTCGTTACTCTGGATATTAATCCTTGATCACAAAATCTTTTTCCTAGTCTGTCATTTGTCTTTCAACTCTTTTTAGGATGTTTTTTGTCATAGAAAAGTTCTGAGTTTCATTTTACTCAGGAAGCCTTCTCCCTCCCACCTCTTCCTTGCTTCCTAGTTATAAAAATATTCACCTATATTTCCTTCTAAAAATTATATTAACTATTTGATTCCTTGGAACTTACTTTTCAGATGGTGAGAGTTAGGCGGTATAATTTTTTTCCCCAAGTAGAGAGCCAACTCTCCTAACACAATTTTTACCCCATTAAATTGAAATGTTACCATTATCAAAATTAAATTCCTATCTGTAATTGAGTCTGTTTCTGGAGTCTCTATTTCTTTCATTTATCTATTTATCTATTCCTCTATCAATACTATAGCATTTTAATTACTTAACTATATTTTGACATCTGGTAGGCCAAGACTCACCTTATTGAATTTTGAGGGATTTACTTGACTATTTCTGCATATTAATTCTTCCAGATGAAATTCAGGATGAGCTTGCCAAATTTTTCCATGGAAATTTTGACTAGAGTTACATGGATTTTATAATAAAAACAATAATAGCAAACACTATGGAGCCTACTAAGTGTCAGAAACTGTTTTAAGATCTTTCATATATTAATTCTAACAATTCTATGAGGTAGTTACTATTGTAGTACTACTAGATCAATATTAAGAAAGAGAGATGATACAATACTATTTCTATCAGTAGCTCCACTTATTTAGGCCTTCTTTCATGTTCTTTATGATAAAGTATTATATTTTCTTCCTACAAGTTTTATAGGCTGGCCATGGTGGCTCACACCTGTAATCCCAGCACTTTGGGAGGCCGAGGCAGGTGGATCACTTGAGGTCAGGAGTTTGAGACCAACCTGGCCAACATGGTGAAACCTTATCTCTACTAAAAATACAAAAATTAGCCTCGTATCTACTAAAATACAAAAATTAGCGGTGGCGTGTGACTGCAGTCCCAGCTACTCAGGAGGCTGAGGCAGAAGAATCGCTTGAACCCAGGAGGCAGAGGTTGTAGTAAGCCAAGATTGTGCCACTGCCCTTCAGCCTGGGTGACAGAGTGAGACTCCAGCTCAAAAAAAAAAAAAAAAAAAAAAAGTCTTATATATTTCTTCCTGGGCAATTATTCCTAAGGATTTTGTGATTTTTTTCTTTTTATTTTTCTTTTTTTGCTGCTTCTATGAACAGGATCCTCTTTCCCATTACATTCTTAAATGTATACTATTATATTCCAAATGATGGTTTGAAAAACTATTTTGTACTGATTCAAATTAAATTTATATAATTTTTTTCTGAAATTTCATTTACCTTAGAATTATTCTGCTTTTAAACAATGGCTAGTCTATCCCGTAATTATGTGTTAATCCCACAACTAATTTGCATATATTCTTATTGTGTGACACACGGCAATTCAAAGACTTGCTTTACAGGTAAAGTGACAACACTCCTATCTTTCCCAAATCTGCTATTCAGAATTACACTACGACATTAGATTAAACTTCTAGTGCATCTATTACAGAAAACTGCCTTCTACCCAGTAGAATGTGACCTAGAAGATCACAACAGTCAAATCTGAAGGGATAGGCAGAAACAGATCAAATTGGGAGTTTGTTTTTGAATAGTCTAATGATTGATCTTTTAATAAATCATTAAATAATCCTTTTCTACCTTAAGGGAATCAGGAAAAAAAAAATCTTGTACCATTGAAACATTAAAATGAAGCCAAGTTTAAGGAGTAGCCAAATAGCTAGCTGACACATTTAAGTTGTCTTTTTGGAGTTACAGCTATCTAGTTAACAACCTCAGAGATTAATTCAAATGAACCTGAAATAGCAGTATACCAACAGAGACCTCACTCCTTAGGCTTTTAGGGTGCCAAAGTCTACACTTAATTAAGACTAAGCCAAGATGATCCCCATATCTTTTTGAGACTAAGTTTCACCTTTCTTGCTCTGAAATTTTAGAACTCAATGAAACCTTCTACATAACTGGTAGTAGCCCAGCCTATTTTCTGGAGCACAGTTAGTCTTATTAATATGCCACACTGACATTGTTGACAGAGTATCCCAATTTAAGGCTGAATGGCAAAAACTCAAAGGCTTACAATAATGTTAATACTTTGTTTTCAAAGGCTATAGTAAAGGCCAAGAGCAAAGTCATTCTTCCAGCTTAATAGCATTGGAAAGACCACAGCAAGTACCAGAAGGCTTTCTGACACAAAATCAATAACTGCATGCAAATATGAACATCAATAGTCACATCTTCTTAGTCACTAGACTAAGTTAGGACTAGCAATGATCAAAAGCGCTTCTAAAATGTTCTTATCCCCTAACCTCTCCATTCCTCTCTGTAAAAGAATAGGATGTCATGAAAAGTTGTGTAATTCCATTCTTTTAATCGCAGTTTGGCAAAGTCCTTAGGCGAAAATATACCTAAATATATTCTCATGAAAATGGCCTTCATGAAGACTAGCATATTATAAAAATCAAACAACAGTAGGATAAATATACTACCCACGGGGGAAAAAAAAAACAAAACTCTGTCAAAGTGTTAAATACAATAGTACTTCAGCTCTTTCACTGTTATTTAGCGCCTTAAATTTGCCAAATGTCAAAGAAAGTCAACAGAACATATTAAATACACAGAAATCCAGGCCAGGCGCGGTGGCTCACGCCTGTAATCCCAGCATTTTGGGAGGCCGAGGCGGGTGGACCACAAGGTCAGGAGATCGAGGCCACGGTAAAACCCGTTCTCTACTAAAAATACAAAAAATTAGCTGCGCGCAGTGGCGGGCGCCTATAGTCCCAGTTACTCGGGAGGCTGAAGCAGGAGAATGGTGTGAACCCAGAAGGCGGAGCCTGCAGTGAGCAGAGATCGCGCCACTGCACTCCAGCCTGGGTGACAGAGCAAGACTTCGTCTCAAAAAATAAATAAATAAAAATAAACAAATAAATACACAGAAACCCATCATAAGTATTCAAATTAAATTTACATTCTGAAGTTAGCCATGTATTTTTTACTATAGAAAAATAGCTCTTGAGCAGCTGGGTGTGGTGGCTCACACCTGTAATCCCAGCACTTTGGGAGGCTGGGTGGATCACGAGGTCAGGAGATTGAGACTATCCTGGCTAACACGGTGAAACCCCGTCTCTACTGAAAACACAAAAAATCAGCCAGGCATGGTGGTGGGCGCCTGCAGTCCCAGCTACTAGGGAGGCTGAGGCAGGAGAATGGTGTGAACCTGGGAGGCGGAGCTTGCAGTGAGCCAAGATCACACCACTGCACTCCAGCCTGGGTGACAGAGCGAGACTCTGTCTCAAAAAAAATAAAGAAAAAAGAAAAATAGCTCTTGAGGCACTTGCAAATCTTATGGTTACAGCAGTCTCCTTATTATAATTGTCCCTTCATCCCTTGCAGTAAACCTTTTGAATAAAATCATTACTAAAAAAGCAAAACAAAACAAAACAAAAAACACAAAAACACAAAAAAAGAGCCTCTTGGACTAAACATTTAATCCTTAATAATAAGACAAAGGAAAATGTGACAGTTACTCTATGATTGAAATAGATTTAGCTGTGAACCCTTGCACAAATCACTTCACGTTCCTGAACCTTAGGTTTTTTGATCTGTAAAAATGATAGGGTTGAGCTCTATAATCACTAGGGTAGCTTCCAGCTGTATTATTCTATACTGATCTCAGCCCCCAAAGAGTCTAGGACAATTTCCAATAGATTTTAATACCCTGAAAAACTTGAGAAACAACTAAAATGAATGTTTTTATTTTACTAATGAGTTTATGTCAGTATTTTTATGGTGTTTGCTGGTGCCATTTGAATGAGCTTCTTTTTTCCAGATGTTGAATCTGAAGTTGAATTTAGACATTTCTTTTTAAAACATCTAGTACAGAACACAACACTTCCTCAACTAAGAAGAAGCCACTGGGAAAAAAGAACTGCTGCATGAAGAAGAAACTATTGAGAGGGATGGTAAAAGATGTAAACAGTCTAAATAATATACAAACGGAACAGTCTAAGCATAAATTGTTCAGATGTAATTGTCTGAGATGCTAAGGAAGATTTTCTGTAACAGATCTGCTCAATCTTTGTCTGATTTTCATAAACCTTATATGAAGTTGATCATGCACAAACCCCAAATATAAACCAATAGGTTACTTGGGCCTTGATATTTTGCAGCTCATCACCAGGAAATCCACGCAGCAATAATCAAGAACCATTTGCAAATAGAATCGCACTCTTGGCATTTTTTGAGAATAATCAATTAAAGAATTATTACCAGTTTTAATCTGAGAAATTAGTGATATAAAAATATGACAACAGCAATTGTAAGTGGAAATGTAGAGCTTTCCTACACAGTTGGAGGAAGTGTACACTGGCATAGCCAGTCACTTTGAACATCACTTACCCAGTGAAGATGCACAAATGTTTAATCTTTCACATAAACCCTAGGAAAATTCTAACACATTTACACATGAAACCATGTACAAGAATGCTCATAGTAGCACTATAAATTTTTAGTTGTCTCTTATAACATCTTCATTGAGATGTAATCAACATACCATAAAATTCACCTTCTGAAAGTGTACAATTCAATGGTTTTTAATACATTCATAGAATTGTGCAATCATCATCCTATGCAATTTCAGGACATTTTCATCTCTCCAAAGAGAAAGACTGTTCCATTAGCAATCACTTTCCACTCACCCCTTCCCCCAAGCCCTTAGCAACCATTAATTTACTTTCTATTTCTGTGGATTTGTCTTTTCTAGACAGTTCATATAAGTGAAATCATATAATATGCAGCCTATTGTGTCTGACTTCTTTCACTTAGCACAATGTTTTCATGGTCTATCCCAGTTGTAGCATATATCAGTACTTCAATTCCTTTTTATGGCTGAATAATATTTCATTTTATAGCTATACCACATTTTGCATATTCGTTCATCAGTTGATGGACATTTGGGCTGTTTCCACCTTTTGGTTATTGTGAATAGTGCTGCCATGAACAATGATGTACAAGTTCTTATGTGGGCATATGTTTTCAATTATTTTGGATATATACCTGGGAGCAGAACTGATGGGTCAAATGTTAATTCTTATGCTTAACATTTTGAAGAACTGCTAGACTGTGTACCAAAGCGGTTGTACCATTTTACAATTCCATCAGCAATGTATGAGGCTCCAATTTTTTCATGCCCTCACCAATATTTGTTATTGTCCATCTTTTTATTAAAGCCATCCTAGTGGGTGTGAAGTAATATCACTTTGTGGTTTGGATTTTTATTGCAATATTATGTATTAAAAGCAAACAGAAGAAAAGCAAACAAGCAACAACATCCTAGAAACAACTTACATGTCCATCAATAAGAAAAGAAATAGATTTTGGTATAATCATACACTGGGCTACCACATGACAATGTAAAAAATAAATTATTGTTACATGTATCAATGTGAAGATAAATGAATAGGTGCTGTGTATTACAAAAGAGATACATCTTAACAAATATAATTTAGATTATATCTGGGTTTTTTTTTTTTTTTGAGACGGAGTCTTGTTCTGTTGTCCAGGCTGGAGTGCAAGGGTGGGATCTCGGCTCACTGCAACCTCCACCTCCTGGGTTCAAGCAATTCTTGTGCCTCAGCCTTCCAAATAGCTGTGATTACAGGCATGTGCCCCTACACCCAGTTAATTTTTGTATTTTTAATAGAGACAGAGTTTAGCCATGTTGGCCAGGCTGGTCTTTAACTCCTGATCTCAAGTGTTCTCCCTGCCTCAGCCTCTCAAAGTGCTGGGATTACAAGCATGAGCCACCGAACCTGGCCATATGGGAAATTTTAAAAAGCACATAGCAAAAGGATACATAGAATATGATGTCATTTATAGGCCATAAAAATGTAAGACAATATTACAAAAGATTTAGGGATACATTCCTATGAGGTAAAGAATATGAAGATATATTCAACAGTATTGCTAATGGTCTATTTCTTAAGCTGATTTTCATAAACCTTATATGAAGTTGGTCAGCTGGGCAGAGTTAAACAGTATCTCATAAGACTTCTTAGTTTAATAAGATGGGATTGTAAAAAGCATTAGGGCTTCCTCATATGAAAACTCCAAACCCTAAGGCGGTCAGACTATGCAGTTCTTAAAACATGAACAATTGGAAACTTTTTTTAATCGACTTGAAATTTTTTAGTTACTTGTCCTGGATGAACAGAATATAATGACAATTTCTTTTTGTTCTATAACTATCTCTATATAATGAAACCAGTCTAAAACATTTGATGGATCAACAAGATTTAAACTTTATTGATATCACTATTAAATAATAATATTACAAAGTACTCTTGGATTTTGGATACACATCTCACAGTCAACCTTTTTTTTTCTTTGAGACAGAATCTTACTCTGTCCCCAAGGCTGGAGGGCAGTGCCACAATCTCGGCTCACTGTAACCTCTGGCTCCAGGGTTCAAGATATTCTCCTGCCTCAGCCTCCCGAGCAGCTAGGATTACAGGTGCACACCACCAGCCCGGCTAATTTTTTTATTTTTAGTAGAGACAGGGTTTTGCCATGTTGCCCAGTCTGGTCTTCAACCCTTGGCTTCAAATGATCCACCCCCCTCAGCCTCCCAAAGTGCTGGGATTACAAGCGTGAGCCACCATGCCCAGCCGCAGTCAATTTTTTTAAAGCTCTCAAAGAAATTCATTTCCTCCAACATAACATGCTTTGTTTTCCAAACTTTCCAAGTTGGAGATTTGTTTCTTTTTTTTTTTTTTTTTTGCTTTTTTATTTTTATTTTTTAAATAAAGTGTTTTTTTTTCTTTTATATATATATTTTATTATACTTTAAGTTCTAGGGTACATGTGCACAATGTGCAGGTTTGTTACATATGTATACATGTGACATGTTGGTGTACTGCACCCATTAACTTGTCATTTCCATTAGGTGTATCTCCTAATGCTATCCCTCCCCTCTCCCCCCACCCCACAACAGGCCCCAGTGTGTGATGTCCCTCTTCCAGTTTCCAAGTGTTCTCATTGTTCAATTCCCACCTATGAGTGAGAACATGTGATGTTTGGTTTTTTGTCCTTGTGATAGTTTGCTCAGAATGATGGTTTCCAGCTTCACCCATGTCCCTACAAAGGACATGAACTCATCATTTTTTATGGCTGCATAGTATTCCATGGTGTATATGTGCCACGTTTTCTTAATCAAGTCTATCATTGTTGGACATTTGGGTTGGTTCCAAGTCTTTGCTATTGTGAATACTGATGCAATAAACATATGTGTGCATGTGTCTTTATAACAGCATGATTTATAATCCTTTGGGTATATACCCAGTAATGGGATGGCTGGGTCAATTGTTCTACAATTGTTGCTTTACAGATCCTTCCAGCCCTTTGTTTCTCTTACTAACTTACTGTGGCCCTAATAATTCTGGACTTTATGCTACTCACTAGTCCATGAGAAGGTTAGGAGATAGGACAAAGGTAAAATTATAATGTTAACAAGCTACATATTAACAGATATCATAAAGGAAGGATTTGGAATTATTCGTAGATATCCTTTCCTTAGGCCATTCCCAGAAGCCATGGAAAATGCAATACTGACTTTCCTTCTTGGACAGAGTCTTCAAGCTGGTCTAAAAGCTCTTAGAGTTGAATACGCCAGTACCTAGATGTGGCTCCCTATTAGCTTAGGAAAAACACTGATGGAAATTTTCCTATGTCAAAATTGAAAGCCAGGATGAGCAGCTACCTGTCTAGAAAGGACTGCTCCATAAGTAGTCTTGGCCTAGGCTGCAGGAGGCAGTTGAGGGATGATACATACACACACACACACACACACACACAGACACACACACATACACACACACACACCCCAAAGCTCATCAAAACCACTCCCATGCTCATTAATACAAAAGAACAATACTCAGATATCTATATCAGGTCAAACCATAAGGTTCTTTTTTTTCTTTTCCTTTTCTTCCTTTTTCTCTAAGGGTAAGATAGATGATCATTAGGGACTCTTGCCCCCACTGAAATTCAGAGAAGAAATACAGTTGTTGTTCTTACACTGAATAATTCCAAAAAACCTTGAGGTCCTTTGGGGATTTTAATAATCTGAAAAGTACGTATGTATGTACACATATGTATGTATGGAATGTGTGTGTGCAAGGGAATACAGATACATTTATATGAGAAATGTATATGTATAAAAATCCTGGAATGCTATTTAGATACAATTTATGTACACGTCAATAAGAGAGAGCATCTATGAAAAAGAAAGAGAAAATGGGTAGTCATTAGTAAAGGAAGTAATTGCTTTATAAATTCTAGCACTATCAGTGCAGTCTAACAACCGCATGAACACTTGACCAAAAGACAGTGACTTTCAAAGACTATACCATAGATACTTGAGATTTTAATACTTTAAGTGTTAGAACAGAGCATGACTCAAATATGAAGAATTCAAAAGGCATATACACAATCATTTGTTTGGTACAAGTACAGGAGATCTTCAAAGGGATACACTCAAGTTCAGAGTAATAATTTACCAGAAAAGTCAGGAAAAGCTCTGGAATCAGTAACCAAAGCAGGCAACAGCGAAGAAGAGAGAAGGTATCTACTGACATTGAGAAGACAGAGCCAAGGAATGGGGTGGGGTGTTGAGAATATAAAGCTTCAGGGCTCTACTCTCAGGGGAAGGGGTGGGTATACAGCTTGAACATTCACTCTAAAATGGATAAGAAACAAATATAATAACCCAAAGTTCAAATCGTGTTCACAGAAATTGTTTCAAACACATTTTCTTCTTTACTCACAGGTCATATCAAAACCATTCTATAAATCTCTCCACTAGGGTAACAGCAGCCCTGGGCTGGAAACTCCAGGTAAATAATGAAACTCCTTCACCTCCTGAGTCTTCTGCCTGCCACAGAACAACTTGTTTGTGTAAGATAATATCACCTGTGGTTTGCTAAACCAGCAACAACGTATCATGAGAACAAGAAGGATGAATAAATTCTGACAGGGTAGAACTTCACAGAGGAGGTGACACCTGAGCCCAGCCTTGAAGTGATTAGGAGGGTTTTACCAGGCATAGAAGGGGAGCAGGAGCAGTTAAGCAAAGAGAACGGTATGAACAAAAAGTTCACGGAGTGCTCAGGAGATGGCAAATAATAAATGAGAAGGTATGTGAATGAGGTTGAGGAGTGGTAGGGAAAAAAACTGTTAAGACAGGTTGAAAGCATTTTAGATGCTTTTTTACTCTGCATGTGAATGGCTTCAAAATGCAAAATTGCATCAGAATCTCTGGGATACCTGGTAAAAATACAGATTCCTGTGCTGTACTCCAGATCTACTAAATTGAAATTTCCAGAGTTGAGGCTCAGGCATCTGTATTTTTCTTTAATTGTCCTCATTCTTAAACAGACAGAATCTGTATTTAATGAGTATTCTGATGTATAACCAACCTTGAAAGCCAATGATGGATTGTTTTTTAAAGAAAAGTTATATCATTAGATTGGTATTTTAAAAATAACAAGGTACTATTAGAAATAGACTGTAAAGATGTGAAATTAGGGGAAAAAATAGACCTATGGCAGAGTATGGCAATGAGGCATTCATTTATTCAACAAGAATTTTAAAAATACCTACTATGTACCTACAAGTTCCCATAAAGATGACAGTCTCAATTAGAATACTAGCAGTGTAAATGGAGACAAGAAGACAGAGTTATGAGACATCACACAGATAGAACTGACAAGTCCTGGTAACTCAGTAGATGGTGGAGATGGGGACAGAGGGAGCAAATCAGTTTTCATCAGTGATTTCCAAACTTGGATGAGCATCAGAATAAAAGATTCCTGGGTCTTACCATAGACCTAATGAATCAGGCTCTTTGGAGGATACAATTCAGCAGCCTCTATTTTTAACATATGCCCCCAGGTGATTTTCATGCAGTCAATTGGGAATCAATGACTTAAATGACTGAGTGGCTGATGATATTTCTCTTCAAGAAGAGAAAACAGGAGGAGGAGCGACAAATTTTGTGATAGGATGAGAACAATTTTGCTCTGGAAATACTGAGACCGAGAGAAACCTGTAAGACATCTACATCAAGATGTCTAATGGGCAGCTGGAAATGCAAATCTGGAGTCCAGGAAAAAAGTCAAGTCTAAACAGGTCAGGGTCAGACAGATCTCGACATCATTAGTACATAATGAGGGATGAGGCCATGGGAGTGGGTAAGGTTACAAAGAAAGAAAGAATATAGAGAAAGTGGGTTGGGGTAGAAATCTGGGCAAAGAGTGGGCAATGGAAGAGGAATTGTGAGCAGAAGAGTGATTCAGGAGGTAAGAAGAGGATCTGAGGGGAAAAAAAGCATTGTTTTGGAAGCCAAAGAATGAGAGTTTTAATTCATATGGAGATCAAGTAGACAAAATGTTATAAAATGCTCCAAAAGGATAAGAATTAGAAAAATGGCCGGGCGCGATGGCTCATGCCTATAATCCCAGCACTTTGGGAAACCAAGGTGGGCGGATCAGGAGGTCAGGAGTTGGAGACCAGCCTGGCCAACATGGTGAAACCCCATCTCTACCAAAAATACAAAAATTAGCCGGGTGTGGTGGCACATGCCTGTAATCCCAGCTACTCAGGAGGCTGAGGCAGGAGAATCGCTTGAGAGGCAGAGGTTGTAGTAAGCTGAGAACGGACCATTGCACTCCAACCTAGGTGACAGAGCAAGACTCTATCCCAAAACAACAACAACAAACAGAATTAGAAGGATGATAAGGCGTGGCATTTAGGAAGTCTGTGATGACCTTTGAGAAAGCAGTTTCAGTATAATGGAGCAAAGAAGCAGAGTGGATTTACACTACCCCTTGAGGAGAATTTGAAGAGAAAGGGAAGAGATGGGTCAGTGGTTTGCAAGAAAGGTAAGACTGAAAGTAAGTTCTTTTGGTGGCCATTTTTATTTTTAAGAATAAAGACCAAAAAAAAAAAAAAAAAAAAGAATGAAGACAACTTGAGGCATCTTAAGGAAAAGAAGAAGAGAGCACAGAACGGATGCTTAATAAATATTTGTGAAATATCAGTATTCGCAAAATCTTAAAACTGTCCTTGGCTGGGCGTGGTGGCTCACACCTGTAATCCCAGCACTTTGGGAGGCCGAGGCGGGCGGATCAAGATGTCGGGAGATCGAGACCATCCTGGCGAACACAGCGAAACCCCGTCTCTACTAAAAAAATACAAAAAATTAGCTGGGCGTGGTGGTGGGCGCTTGTAGTCCCAGCTGCTAGGGAGGCTGAGGCAGGAGAATGGCCTGAACCCAGGAGGCGGAGCTTGCAGTGAGCCCAGATCACACCACTGAACTCCATGCTGGGCGACAGTTCGAGACTCCGTCTAAAAAAAAAAAAAAAAAAAGATACTACCCTACTCACATTACTACTCCAAAATATTCAACCTGTTTATTTAATAAGCAGTTACGAGATACCCAACCTGCCAGGAACCATTCCTTTCCCAATTGAAAGTACCCTCTATCTTCTCAGAACATCTACACTAATTAGCCAGTCTATTCATTCCATAATTATCCCGCCTTAAACAGCTAGTTGTTACTGTTTTCATGTAACCATGTCTTAGCTCACCAAATGGTGTAACAGGGGTATCCAATCTTTTGGCTTCCCTGGGCCACATTGGAAGAATTGTCCTGGGCTACACATAAAACACACTAATACTAATGATAGCTGATGAGCATGAACAAAACAAAAAAGCCAAAAAAATCTCTTTATGTTTTAAGAAAGTTTATGAATTTGTGTTGGGTCACATTCAAAGCTGTCCTGGGCCTCATGTGGCCTCAGGGGCCATGGGTTGGACAAGCTTGGTGTAAAAGCTTCACCTCCCAACATTCAAAAAGAATAAAAAGGTATAAAGTTGAAAAAAAATTGTCTCTGATGAACTCTGGTTGGTCCACTATCCTATTATTTAATATTTATATTATATTGAAAAAAACTTTAATGATCCTTCCCATATTCCTTTACCATAAATAACAACTTCTAGGGTAATTTTTACATCAAATAAATGATTAAGACTAATTTTATTTAATCCACATACAACTTATCAAAGGATGCAATCTTTATATATAAGATTGTATTTACATACCAATCGCTAAACTGTTTTTAAAATTTAGTTTGTTTTATTCTTTCTACCACTAACATTTCTATCCATCCATTCAATTTATACTTTCAGTTTGCTTCCAGCTGATTCAATACCTATGACACAGTAAATTGTCTAAATTTTGCATGAACTTTCAACATCCGAGGCACTTATTCCTAACAGTTGCACTGCTCACATTGACATACTCCCTGAAGGTCAATGATCTAAATTCTGTAATATTTTTAGCATCTAAAATCCTGGTTTATGCTCTCCTTCTAGTTCTCTTGGTCTTTAAAAGACATAAGAACATGCTATCAAATTCCTAATTCCCTGTTAAGCCCTAACCAACCAAAGTTTAACTAAAAAAAAAAACCTAAACCAAGAATCAATTGTTAAGAAAGAAAATCAAATATTTTTAAGCAAAGGAAGTTATAAGGTTTGAAATACAAATTCTGATTATTCCAACTCTGATTATTCTTATTAAATTATCAACTGGAACACCTCACTGCTCTTTTCTTGCCACCACCCCCTTCCTCTGCTCAGTTCATTCACTGAACAAATCTTTATTCCCAATGCCTAAGACTTAACAGATACTGCGGTAGATGCAATTAACATAATAGTGAATAAGTTAGGCACAGTCCCTCCCTTCCCAGAGCCTAAAGTGTATTGACCCTAAGAATATATGTCAAATTAAACTATAAGACTATATGACAAGTGTTATGACAGGTAAGCTATAAGAAACAAAGTGGGGGCTGGATGCCATGGCTCACGCCAGCATTTTGGGAGTCTGAGGTAGGAAGGTTGCTTGAGGCCAGGCATTTGAGACCAGCCTGGGTGATACTGTGAGACCTTGTCTCTACAAAATAAAGATTAAAAAATTACTCGAGCATGGTGGTACACACCTGTAGTCCTATCTACTTGGGAGGATCCCTTGAGCCCAGGAGTTTGAAGTTACAGTGAGCTATGATTACACCACTGCACAACATAGTGAGAACCCTATCTCTTAAAAAAACAACAAAAATATATAAAGGGAAAACACAGTATGGGTTATGCCATGGGAGGCTCCTTAGATGCACTGATGTTGAACCTGAGACCTGTAAAATTGGTAGTCAAAGAAGAGAGACAATAAGGATTATGGAAGTAGGAGAAGGAAATATATTAAGACTAGGAGATGAGAAAATGACATAATTGAGAAAGTGAAAAATGATCAGTGTGGTTGAAGTACAGAATTCAAAAATGGGAACAACAAGAAGTGAGACTAGAGAATAGGGCAATGACAACCACTGAAAGATTTTAAGAAAGGTGTGACATATTCAGGTTTTCCTGGCTGAAGCATAGAAAATAGTTTGAGAGGCCAGATGCAGTGGCTCACGCCTGTAATCCTAGCACTTTGGGAGGCCAAGGCAGGCAGATCACTTGAGGTCAGGAGTTCAAAACCAGCCTGACCAACATGGTGAAACCCCGTCTCTACTAAAAATACAAAAAATTAGCTGGGCGTGGTGGCACATGCCTGTAATCCCAGCTACTCGGGAGGCTGAGGCAGGAGAATCGTTTGAACCCAGGAGGCAGAGGTTGCAGTAAGCTGAGATCGCACCACCGCACTTCAGCCTGGGCGACAGAACAAGACTCTGTCTAAAAAAAAAGGAAAAGAAGAAGAAAATAGTTGGAGAAAGAAGAATAGAGGCATGCAAATCATTCAGCAGACTGTTTCTGTAACCCAGGTGAGAGACAATAACTTGGACTAAAGTGGATGAGGCAGGGCACGGTGGCTCACGCCTGTAATCCTAGCACTTTGAGAGGTGGAGGCGGAGGCGGGCGGATAGACTGAGCTCAGAAGTTTGAGACCAGGTGGGCAGATTGCCTGAGATTAGGAGTTCGAGACCAGCCTGGGCAACATGGTGAAACCCTGTCTCTATTAAAACCACAAAAAACTTAGCCGGGCGTGGCGGCATGCACCTGTAGCCCCAGCTACTAAGGAGGCTGAGGCAGGAGAATTGCTTGAATCCAGGAGGCAGAGGTTGCAAGTGAGCCGAGATTGCGCCACTGCACTCCAGCCTGGGTGACAGAGTGAGACTCTGTCTCAAAAAAAAAAAAAAAAAGAGAGAGAGAGACAAATGAAAGCAGATGGATTTGACAGACATGCAGGAGGTATGATCCACAGGATTTGGTGACTACAACCTCATGAGAGGACCAGCACGAGAGGTCCATGTCTCTTTTATTCCTTACTATATTCACAGTGCTAGGTATCTAGCACATAGTTAACTGCTGTGTAAACATTCTTGAACAAATAAGAAAAACAAGGAATCACAGATGTTACCTAGGTTTCTAGCATAATGACTGCATAAAAGGAGGTGCCCTTTACTGAGATAGGAAACAGAGGAGAAGCAGTTCATATAAAATATGGTGAGTCTGAGGTACCTGCAAGCCTTCAAGGAAAGATAATCAGAATCCAGTTGGATATATAGTTATAAAGCTCAGGAGAAAATGTAAAATAATGGCAGCTTCAGTTAAAGCTACAGCTGATAACTGTCACTTTTAAAGCATACTATGTGAGACATCATCCCAATAATCTTTTTAAATTTCCCAGGTTTCTTAACAGTTTTATAATCAAGGGTATCAAAAAATTAATATACCTTCTTGACCATTAGAAATAATATTTTATTTCTTGACCAAGGTGGTGGTAACTCAAACCTCTGCTTTATAAAAATCCATTAAGTTATACATTTGTGTTTTATGTACACTTTTCTGTGTGTTAAATTTTGCAATAAAAAGGGGATTTTTTTAAACCTTCATAAACTAGAAATAAGAAAATTCCTTAATCAAAGAAGCTACTGGAAACTAAACACCATATTTCTAGTAGAAACAATAGAGACATTCTCGTTAAAGGAAAAAACAAACAAACAAAGATATCTTCTGTCACAATTATTAATAGTGTTCTAAATGTTCTGGTTAAAAATGAAGACCTGAAAATAAAAAAAGGAAGGCATAAACATTGGGGTCTTTTCAATAATGGTGCTGGGACAACTGGATATCCACATGCAAAAGAATAAAGATGGACCCCCTAGCTCACACCATATATTAAAATTAACTCAAAATGTATCAAACACCCAAGTGTAAGAGCTAAAACTACACAACTCTAAGAGAAAACATAGGTGTAAATCTTTGTGACTTGGGAAGAGGCAATAGTTTCTTAGATATGACACTAAAAGTGTAAGCAACAAAATTCTCAAATTTTTCTCTGAAAAATTAGAGAAATTAGACATCATCGAAATTAAAAACGTTATAGTGTCAAAGATTTAAACCTTTGGGGCAAAACCAAAAAGAAATTATCAGTGGCCAGGTGCGGTGGTTCACACCTGTAATCCCAGCACTTTGGGAGGCTAAGGAGGGAGGATCACTTGAGGTCAGGAGTTCAAGACCAGCCTGGCCAACGTGGTGAAACCCCATCTCTACCAAAAATACAAAAAATTAGCCAGGCATGGTGGTGCGCGCCTGTAGTCCCAGCTACTCAGGAGGCTGAGGCATGAGAATCACTTGAACCAGGGAGGTGAAGGTTGCCATGAGCCAAGATAGTGCTAAGGCACTCCAGCCTGGGTGACAGAGCAAGACTCCATCTTACAAAAAAAAAAATAAATAAAAGAAATTATCATCATGAGTAATAGATGCTAACATATAACTGAAAAATCCAGAATTTGAGAAAACTAATAACATAGTTCAGTAAGAAAATCAAATAAATACTACTACTTTTTAAAAACTGCTTTTCTTTTTTCTTTTATTTTTTATTTTTTTTTATTTTGAGACAGAGTCTCACTCTGTTGCCCAGGCTGAAGTGCAGCAGCACAATCACAGTTCACTGTAGACCTGAATTCCCAGGTCCAAGTGGCCCCCCTACCTCAGCCTCCCAAGTAGCTGGGACCACAGGCATCTGCCACCATGCCCAGCTACTCTTTTGTTTGTTTTTTTGTAGAGACGGGGTTTCTGTATGTTGCTCAGCCTCCCAAAGTGCTGAGATTACAGGTGTGAGCCACCTTGTCCAGGCAAAATTGCTGTTTTTTTTTTTGAGACAGGGTCTCACTCTGTCGCCCAGGCTGAAGTTCAGTGTTGATCTCAGCTCACTACAGCCTCTGCCTCACAGGCTCAAGCCATCTTCCCTCCTCAGACTCCTGAGTAGCTGGAACTATCCGCACGCACCACCACACCTAGCTAATTTTTGTATTTTTTCTAGAGATGGAGTCTTGCTTTGTTGCCCAGGCTGGTCTTGAACTCCTGGATTCAAGCAATCCACCCACTTCAGCCTCCCAAAGTGCTAAGATTACAGGTAAGAGCCACTGGACCCAGCCAAAAATTACTTTTCTAATATAAGAAAAACTGATTAGAAAATATAATGAAGGGGCCGGGCGCAGTGGCTCACGCCTGTAATCCCAACACTTTGGGAGGCCAAGGTGGATAGATCAACTGAGGACAGGAGTTCAAGACCAGCCTGGCCAACATGGTGAAACCCAGTCTCTACTAAAAATACAAAAATTAGCCAGATGTGGTGGCACGTGCCTGTAATCCCAGCTACTCGGGAGGCTGTGGCAGAAGAATCGCTTGAACCTAGGAGGCAGAGGTTGCAGTGAGCTGAGATCATGCCACTGTACTCCAGCAGAGTGCGTAGGGCAACAGAGCAATACTCCATCTCCAAAAAAAAAAAAAAAAAAAAAAGAAACTATAATGAAAGAAATGGCATTCAGAATATCAACATAACAACAAAAAAACTTGTTTTGAATAATGCACCATGTTTATGTAAAATGTTAACATTCGGGAAAGCTGGGTGAAGGGTATACAAATACTCTCTCTCTAAACTATCTTGCAACTTTTTTGTAAATCTTAAATCACTTCAAAATAACAAGTTTATTCAAAACAAAACAAGAATGTAAAGAAACAAGGCATAGACCGGGGTAAAATATCTATAATATATTTATCTGACCAAGGACTTATACCCAGAAAACATCAAGAATGCCTACAAATCAATAATAAAAAACAAAAAGCAAATTTAATGTACAAAAGACTTAAATCAGACACACACATACATACACACACTCCAAATAATGAATAAATATGCGAAAAGGTGCTGAACATCACTGGTCATTGAGGAAGTGTAAATTAAAACCAAAATGAAATAACACTATACAAACAATGGCTAATATTAAAAAGAAAAGGAAAAAAATGCACGGACAATATTAAATATCAACAAAAATGTAGGCTGGGCAAAGTGGCTCACGCCTGTAATCCCAGCACTTTGGGAGGCTAAAGTGGGAGGATCACTTGAGCCCAGGAGTTTGAGACTAGCCTGAGCAACATAGCAGGACCCTGTTTCTACAAAAAAAAAAAAAAAAAAAAAAAAAATAGCTGGGTGTGGTGGTGCACACCTGTAGTCCCAGCTATTTGGAAGGCTGAGGTGGGAGAAAGGCATGAGCCTAGGAGACTGAGGCTGCAGTGAGCCGTGATCAAGCCAGTGCACTCCAGCCTGAGTGACAGAGTGACACAGAGTGAGACTCTATCTCAAAAAAAAAAAAAAAAAAAAGATGTGGAGCAAATGGAACTCGTGTTCAAAAAAAATGACAATATCAAATATCAACAAAGATGTGGAGCAAACAGAATTCTAATTCATTTCTGGGGTAGTATAAAATGGTACAACCACATCAGAAAACAGCAAGTTGCTTAATAAAGCTAAAATTTTATATTTTCAGCAGGGCACGATAGCTGACGCCTGTAATTCCAACAGTTTAGGAGGCTGAGGCAGGTGGATCACCTGAGGTCAGTAGTTCGAGACCAGCCTGGCCAGCATAGTGAAACCTTGCCTCTACTAAAAGTACAAAAAATTAGTTGGGTGTGGTGGCAGGCGCCTGTAATCCCAGCTACTAGGAAGGCTGAGGCAGGAGAATCGCTTGAACCCGGGAGGCGGAGGTTGCAGTGAGCCGAGATCATGCCACTGCACTCCAGCCTAGTGACAGAGCGAGACTCCATCTCAAAAAAAAAAAAAATTATATACTCTATTACCCAGAATTTCATTCTCAGGTATTTACCCAAGAGAAATAAAAATAATTATGTCTACAAAAAGATGTGTAGACTACTCATAGCATCTTTATCATCTTTATTCATAATAGCAAAAAAAGGAAATAACTCAAATGTCAATAATCAGAAGAATAAACTAATTTTGGAATACTCACACAATGGAATACTACTCAGCCACAAAAAACAATAAACTATGGATACGTGAAAAATGAGTGAATTTCAAAAACGTTATGTTCAGTTGAAGAAACCAAACTTTAAAAGGTACATATTCTATATTCCTTTTAAAACAGCTAAAACTGGAAGAGTGGGATATCTGCCTTCTGAACAGGAAGTTCGTAGTACCAGTGATGAGAGACAGAATTAAATATGGGTGATGTAGAGAAAGGCAAGAAGAGTTTTGTTCAGAAGTGTGTCCAAGGCCGGGCATGGTAGTTTACGCCTGTAGTCCCAGCACTTTGGGAGGCGAGGTGGGCAGATTAATTGGGTGCAGGAGTTCATGACCAGCCTGGGCAACATGGTGAAACCTTGTCTCGATAAAAATACAAAAATTAGCTGGGCATGGTGGTGCATGCCTGTAGTCCCAGCTACTCGGCTGGCTGAGGTGGGAGGATGGCTTGAGCCCAGGAGGCAGAGGTTGCAGTGAGCCAAGATTGTGCCACTGCACTCCAGCATGGATGATGGAGACAGAACTTGTCTTAAAAAAAAAAAAAAGTGTGCCCAATGCCACACCAAGGTAAAATGAGGCAAGCACAAGAGTGAGCCAAATCTCCATGCTCTATTTATGCAGAAGACAGGTCAGGCCACTGAATTCTCTCACAGACACCAATGAGAACAGAGGCATCACCTGAGGAGAGGAGACACTGATGGAGTATTTGCAGAATCCCAAAAAGTACATCCCTGGAACAAAAATGACCATTGCCAGCACTAAGAAGAAGGCAGAAAGGGCAGACTTGATAGCTTATCTCAGAAAAGCTAATAATGAGTAATAATTGACCACATGACTTTTTTATGTGTACATAATTTAATAGCTCTCTAATATACATCAGAATTCAAATCATGAATAACTCACAGAATATTTTTGTTGAGCAGTCCTGATTTAATTAAGACTCGCTTGTGGTTAAATGAATACATCCGGGTTTTTTAAAATTTTAATAGTAATTCTGATTCAGTAAATGATATCACTGTTTCCCCCTTCTAAAACTATGATTGGGCTTAACTCGTAGTGTTCAACTTTTCACAAAGATGGTGAATGCCATCTTAAAACCTATTAGAGATTGGCTTTATATTTAGATTTATATAACTAGCTATATGAATATATTTAAATACTGGGGAAATGTCTTCACTGTCTCAGAACCAAGCAAGACACATCTGTGTTCTGTGTTCATGTGCCTCTTAAAGGCAAAGACTTAACATAAGGTAACAATGTCTACTTTATATTTCTGGTCTGAACTATGTCAATTTAATTAGAATTCTCTGTATGTAAAATGGTTCCTTGGCTGGGCATAGTGGCTCATGCCTGTAATCGCAGTACTTTTTTGGGGCTGAAGTGGGAGGATTGCTTGAGGCCACAAGTTGGACCACATAGAGAGACCTCATCTGTACAAAAATTAAAAATAGCCAGGCATGGTGGTGCATTCCTGTAGTCGTAGCTACTCAGGAGGCTGAGGTGGAAGGACGGCTTGAGCCCAGGAGTCAAGGTTGCAGTGAGCCATGATCCTGCCATTGCACCCCAGCCTGTGTGACAGAGTAAGACCCCATCTCAAAATATAATGGTTCTTTTAACTTCTCAAAAGGCATTTTGTATGGCTTATATATAATATCAAATTAAGAACAGTTAATATTTCTTGAAAAAAAAAAGAAAAATACAGCCAAAACTAATTCTAGAATGATAGAAATTATAACAGTGGTAGCCTGGGGGAGGATGAAGGGGTGGTGGGTAGAACTTCCAAAGGAGGCAAAGATGTCCTATTTCTTGATTGGGTGATGGTTACTATATTAGGCTATTCTTGTGTTGCTATAAAGAAACACCTGAGTAACACCTGAGAAACATTTGAGTATATTTTCAAATACTAATAATTACATGGTTTATAATTTATAAGTCCAATTTCCGGTTATTTTCATTATTAATACTTTTCCAGTTATCTACCCTTTCTAAAAGAGAATACAAAATGCTTCTTTTCCTTTTTTTTTTGTTTTCAAGGCTAGAACCAAGACAGGCGCAAAGGTCAGGGCAGATCTAGGGCACAAGCAGGGCAGGCTAGGGCAGGGCAATGGCAAGACCAGGCCATGGCAGGGCCAGCCCAGGATAGAACAGGGTACAGGCAGGGCAGCACCAGGGCCACAGCTGGGGCAGGACGAGGACCAGGACCGGGGTCCAGGCCAGGGCAAGGGTATGGCCAGGGCAGAGGTAGGGCCAGAGCCAGGGTGTGGGCAGGACCAAGGCAGGTCTATTGCAGGGCCAGGGTTCAGACCAGAGCCAGAGCAGGGCTGGGACAGGGCCAGGGCCAGGACCAGGAAAGGGCAATGTCAGGACAAGGGCCATGGCAGGACCAGCAACGGGGCTAGGGCCAGGACAGGGACAGGGACAGGGACAGGGTCAGGGCTAGGGCCTGAATAGCATGCCAGGGTAGAGCCAGGCCACATTAGGGCCAGGACAGGGTCAGGACAGGGCCATGGTAGGGCCAGGTTAAATCAGGGACAAGACACCTGCAAATCCACTTCAGGGCCAGGGTCAGGGCAGGGCCAGTTCAGGGCCAGGACCAAGACAGGTCCAGGGCCAGCGCTGTCGGGGTCATTGGCAGGGCCAGGGCCATGGCAGGAGCAGGGTCAGGAGCAGGGCTCAATGCCAGGCCAATGCCACAGATAGGACCAGGTCTGTGCTAGGGCCAGTGTGAGGGCCAAGGTGGGGTCAGGGCAGGGCCAAAGGGAGGGCAGGGCCAAAGGGAGGGCAGGGCCAGGGCAGGGTGGAGCAGGCCCAGGGTAGCACAGGGTTAAGGTAGGACACAACCAACCAGGGCAGGTCTATGGCTGGGGCTGGGGCAGGGCCAGGGCTGGGGCAGGGCCAGAGCCAGGGCAGGGCCAAGACAGTGGCAGCTCCAGGGCAGGGCCAGGGTTAGGACCACGGACATGTCCAAGGCCAGTGCCAGGGCAAGGACAAGGGCAGGGGCAGGGCCAGGTTCATCTAAGAACCAGGGACAAAGCCAGGCCCAGAGCAGGGCCAGGGCAGGTACCTGGCAGGGCTAGGGTCTGGGACAGGGCCATGGCAGGGCCAGGGCCACAACCAGGTCTGTGCTATGGCCAGGTCCAACACAGTGCCCAGGTAAGGCTAGGGTGAAGGCCAAGGTAGGGCCAGGGCAGGGTCAAAGCCAGGCTAGGGCCAAGGCAGGGCCAGGGCCGGCAAGGCAGGGCCAGGAAAGCATAGGGCCAAGGCAGGGCAGGGCCAGGCCAGTGCCAAGACCTGGGCAGGGCCAGGGAACAGCCAGGGCAGGGCCAGGGCCAGAGCCAGGGCCAGGGCCTGGGCAGGACCAGGTTTGGGACAGGAGCAAAACAACGGCAAGGACAGTGCAGGATCTTGGCACAGCCAGGATCCAGGACAGTGTCAAGACAGGGCCAAGGCAGGGTCATGGCCATGGTAAGACCAGCAACAGGGCTGGTGCTAGGCCAGTGACAGGACCAGAGTCAGGGCAAGGACCAGAGCAGTGCAAGGCCAGGGTAGGGCCAGGCATTTCAGGGTCAGGGCCAGGGGAGAACCAGGGCAAGGTCTCAAGCAGGGAAGGGCCAGGACCAGGACAGGTCCAGGGCAGGGCCATGACAGGGCCAGGGGCTGTGTTAGGGCAAGGGCAGGGCCAGAGCAAGGTAAGGGTCAGGGCCAAGACCAGGGTAGGGACAGGGCAAGAAATATGGCAGGACCAGGGGCAATGCCAAGGCCAAGGCTGGGCCAGGGCTGAACCAGGGCTGAGTCAGGGCAGGGCAGGGCAGGACATGGTATGGCCAGTGCAGGACAGGACAAGAGCCGGTCCACAGAGAGAGCAGGGCTGATGCCAAGAAAGAGCCAGGCTAGTGCCAAGGCTGAGGCAGTGTCAGAGCATATCCGGGGAAGGGTCGGGGCCAGGGCCAGAACCGAGCCAGGGAACAGCCAAGGCAGGGTAGGGCAGGGAAATAGCATGGCTGGGTCAGTACTGGGACAGGGCAGAGCAGGGCAAGGCGATGGTAGGGGCAGGGCAGGGACAGGCCAATGCAGAGCCATGTTACACCAGGGCCAGGACACCTCCAAGTCCACTTCAGGGCCAGGGCTATGGCAGGACAAAGACCAGGGCCAGGGTCAGGGCCAGGTCTGTGCTAGGGCCAGCTCCAGAGCAGGGCCTAGTGAAGACTAGGGTGAGGGCCAAGGTAAGGCCAGGGCAGGGTCAAAGGCAGAGTAGGGCCAGGGCAGGGTGACGACACATCCAGAGCACAGCAGGCAGGGTGATGGCAAGACCAGGGGCAGACCACTGCCAGCTCAGGGCCAGGAAAAGGCCAGTGCAGAGCCAGGATAGGGTCTGGGTCTGGGTCAGGGCTAGGAACAAGGCAGAGCAGGGCCAGGGCCATGGCAGAGTCAGGGCAGGTCCTTGACAGGACCAGGTTCCAGGCCAGGGCCAGGGCAGCAGAAGGGGCAGGGCCTGGATAAGAGCACGGCCAGGGATATGGCAGGACCAGGGCTAGGGCCAGGGCCAGGCCATAGTGAGGGCAGGGCAAAAGCCCAGGTAGGGTCAGGGCAGGTCCAGGGAGTGACCAGCACCAAGAGGGGCCAAGGCACAACCAGCGCACGGTAAGGCAGAGCAATGGCACCACTGGGCCATGACAGGGCAAGGTCAGTGCCAGGAGAGGGCAGAACAGGCAGGCCCATGGTGGGGCCAGGCCAGGGATGGGCCAAAGCAGGTCCAGGACATGTCCAAGGCCAGGTCAGGGTCAGAACAGGAGCGGGACCATGACAATTGGCAGGGCCAGTGCCATGACAGGACCAGGGTCAGGACAAGGGGCAGGGCCAGAGCCAGGGCCAGAGTCAAGGTCAGGCCAGTGCAGGTTCAGGGAAGGGCCAGTGCCAGGGCAAGACCAGGGCAGGGACAGGGTAGCACAGGGCCAAGACAGGGTCAGGATGGGACCAGAGCAGGACGGGGCTGAGAGTCCAGGTAACAGTAGGGCAAGTACAGGGCAAGGCAGGGCAGTATAGGGCCAGATCCATGGCAGGGGCAGGGCAAAGCCAGGCCCACTGCCAAAGGACCAGCCCTCCCTACAAGGCTCCTACCACCTGGCTACTGGTGCAGCCCATCCATCGCTGTAAGCCTGACCCCCAACCCTGGCTGCAGGCACCTGCCCTCCTAGCGTGGCCGCTCTCCTACCGCTCTGGCGCACTGCAGTCTCCATTGCTACCACCCACCCGCGGCAAGGCAAGTCGTGGTGTCACAGGCTATAGGTGTCTCCTCCTCCTCCTGGCATGGAGCAGCTGGGCGGGCAAAGCCAGAAAAGCCTAGAGGAAGATGTGAGGGGTGGAAGGGTTAGAGCCTCAACTTGTCATGCCGGCCACTGGGTGGCAGGGGCCAGTTTCAGTTTCAGCAAAGGCACTCACACCTACCCTCCAATGTCCAGCCTCTCCTTTTGGCCCAAGCTGGCCAGGAACTGGGGTCTGGGGTGGGTGCTGGAGACACCACAGCACCCAGCTCCCCACTCCACAGGAGCCATTGGGCCCACTGGGGCTGCACTCCTCGGGGAGCAGGAGAAGCAGAAAAATTCAGACCCAGCCAGCCCTCTGCACCCAGGTGCCAATTCCTGTTCCGGACGCCTCCACACACAGGGCCCTGTCCCCAGTGGTGTCCCCAGGGGTGCCTGGCAGCCTCCAAGGCACAGACCCAGAGCGCACAGGCCCAGGAACCACGGTGGGTGTGGGGGCTCTGCCGTGCTCAGGATTCCATGCAAACGCTGCGTGCCTGCCGCACTCCAGTATGACCAAGAGTGGGTCGCCCTCTGGAGTGTGGAGTCAGGGAGAGGAGAACCACTCCTTCCTTGGATGCCAACTCTGCTGACTGCCGCCAGAAGTGCAGCCCCTGATAGCACTGAACTCGCCCCCCATCCACGGCTAGTCCTGCCCTCAATAGCTTCCCCCACGTCCGTCCCCCAATGCAGCCAGTAGTGTATACCCAATAGTGCCCTAACCTGTCCTCCTCCATGGGCATTGCAGCCCCAGAAAGTGCCCATAACCCACCCTCCCTGCCATGGGCAGTGCAGCCCTGTACAGTGCTACCAACCAGTACCCCTAATGTAGGCAATGACACCCTGGATAGCGCCCCCAACCCACCCCACACTGCGAAAGGTGCAGCCCTGGTTAGCCCGTCCTACCACTCTGGTCGTGCTGCAGTCTCTGTCACCGCCACCACCAACCACAGTGAGGCAAGCCAGTGGGTTGCAGGCTCTAGCACCCGGCAGCCAGGCACGGAGCAGCTCTCTCCAATGGTCTGCTCCTACCACTCTGACCACGCTGCTGTCTCCGTGGCCATCTTCTTTGACTACAAAGGAATAAAACTAGGTATCAATAAGAAGAGTAATTCTGGAAACAATACAATCACATGGAAGTTAAACACTATCCTCCTGAATAAATGACTAGCGGGTCAATGAAGATACTAAGACAGAAATTCAAACATTTCATGAAACAAAGGGTAATGAAAACACAGTATACCGAAACTTGTTACACAGACAGCAGTACAAAGGCAGAGATTTACAGCTGTAAGTGCCTACCATCCAAACAAAAGAAAAACTTCAAATAAACAATACATCTTAAAGAACTAGTAAAGTAAGAACTAACTAAACCGAAAATAAGAAAATGAATAAGATCGTAGCAGAAATAACATTGAAAAAAAAAAACACACAAGATTAAATGAAAAGTTGGTTTTCTGGAAAGCTAAACAAAATTGACAAACTTTTAACCAAGCTAACTAAGAAAAAAGAGACAAGATTAAAATAAATAAAATCAACAGATTAAAAAAAGGAGACATTACAACTAATACTTCAGAAATTCAAAGGATCATAACTGGCTATTATATGCCAATAAATCGGAAAGCCTAGTAGAAACTGGCAAATTCCTACATGCATACAGCCTACTTAGGTTGAACAATGAAAACATCCAAGACCAGAACAGATTGGTAACAAGAAATGAGATTGAAGCCATCAGAAAAAGTCTCCCAGTAAAGAAAAGCCCAGGAACTCATGTCTTCACTGCTGATGGCTTCACACAAAACAATTTAAAGACCTAGTACAAATCCTACTCAAACTATTTTGAAAAACAGGAGGGGGCCGGGCGCGGTGGCTCACGCCTGTAATCCCAGCACTTTGGGAGGCCGAGGCGGGCGGATCACGAGGTCAGGAGATCGAGACCATCCTGGCTAACACGGTGAAACCCCGTCTCTACTAAAAATACAAAAAATTAGCCGGGCGAGGTGGCGGGCGCCTGTAGTCCCAGCTACTCGGGAGGCTGAGGCAGGAGAATGGCGTGAACCCCAGGGGGCGGAGCCTGCAGTGAGCCGAGATCGCGCCACTGCACTCCAGCCTGGGCGACAGCGAGACTCCGTCTCAAAAAAAAAAAAAAAAAAAAAAAAAAAAGGAAAACAGGAGGGAATACTTCCAAACTTTTTCTATGAGACCATTATTACTGTGATACCAAAATCAGACAAAGGCATCAAAGAAGGAAACTACAGGCTAGTATCTCTAATATTGATGCGAAAATCCTCAACAAAATACCAGCGAATCCAATTCAGTAATACATTAAAAAGATAATTCATCATGATCAAGTGGAATGTATCCCTGGGATGCAAGGGTCACTCAACATACAATGTGATACATCATATCAACCAAATAAACGACAAAAACAGTATGATCATGTCAACTGAAACTGAAAAAGCATTTGATGAAATTCAACATGGCTTCATGCTATAAATCCTCAAAGAAACGGGTACAGAAGGAACATACCGCAACATAATAAAAGCTACAGGAAAGACACCCACAGCTAGAAGCATATGGAGTCGGTAAAAATGGAAAGCTTTTCCTCTAAGATCTGGAACATAATAAGGATGCCCCCTGTCACCACTGTTGTTTAACATAGTACCAGAAATCCTAGCTAAAGCAATCAGTGCAGCCCCTGATATGGCCCCCAACCCACCCTGCCCCCTACCACCAGCAGTGTCGCCCCCCGCAATAGCACACCCAACACACCCAAACCGCCCCGCCTCCCCGCACCATGGGCATTACAGCACCCCATAGCGCCCTCAACTCGAAACCGCCACCCCCCCTCCAACAGCCGCGCAGTGCAGCCCCGGATAGCACACTTAGCCCACCTCACTGTTGCCAGCAATACAGTCTGGGATAGTGCCCCCAACCGGCTCCCCGCCAAGGCCAGTGCAGCCCCGGTTTGGGCCCCCAAAGCACCCCCCGGGGGCAGGCAGCACAGCCCCAGATAGCACACCCAACCAGCCACCCAAGGCGGGCAGTGACGCCTGAGATAGGGCCCCCAACCCGTCCCAGGCCACCCGCAGTGCAGCCTGGAAAGCGCACTTACCCTGACGCCTTTCTACACTCTGGCTGGCTGCAGCGTCCACCGCTGCCACCCACCTCAGAGCTGCAAACAGGAAGTATTTTACTCACCGTTGATGCGGCCCCGAGTTGTCCCAAAGCGCGGCAGTGCCCCCAAGGTCTGTGCTGAGCAGAACGCAGCTCCGCCCTCGGGGTGCCACCGGCCCGCCCGACCGGGTCCGTGCTGAGGAGAACACTGCTCTGCCTTCCCTGTATCTCCGAAGTCTGTGCAGAGGAGAACTCAGCTCCACCCTCGCGGTGCTCTCGGGGTCTGTGCTGAGGATAACTCAGCTCCGCCCTCGCAAAGGCAGACAGCGCAGGCGCCGACAGCGACAGCTCAGACAGCGCTGGCGCGGCGGACAGGCGCACAGAAGACCTCAGGCTCAGGTTCCACTCCCCAGCTGTGAAAGGGTAAGAACTGAGGGTGGCTGAGGCTGGGGGTTGTTCAGGGCGGGGTGGGCTCTGGACCCAGCAGGCCCTGCACCCAGGCCAGGGCTTCAGGGGAGGCCAGGTAAGGCCAAGATGGGGCCGGGGCTGGTCAGAAAGATCCGAGCGTTGGGAGCCGGTGGAAGAAAAGAGCGCGCGGGCGACAGTCAAACAGGCCTTGGGGCAGGGCACGCCTCGCGCTCCAGGCAGCCCTGCCAGCCCAGGGCACCTGAGCAGCAACCGCCGCCTGCACTGGGCGCGCCAGAGAGCTGCTACGGTGGTTTCTCCCCCTCGGGCCTGTTGGGCGGGGCCGTTATGGTGCACGTGCTCGCTGGTCCTAATGGTTCTCTTGGGCGTTTCTGCTGAGAGGCGGGAGGCGCTGAGAGTCTGTGCGAAGGTCCGTGGACAGACTGCATTGCTTGTTGTGCTTCAGAGGCGGTGATCCCCAGAAGGCGAGCTGAGAAATACGGCTGGAGCGTTCCCAGGCTACAATTTGCAGCGACGATTATGGAAGTCTACGAGCTGGAGTGGTAGACTTCACCAATACCATTTCACCAATACCACATTAAATTGTCTCATCTGAGGAGGATCCACAGAGCTGTCCTCTATGGTAGTCTGCAGAAACTGAACTACCTTCTGTCGACGTATCATGATGCCAATAAGAGAGACAAGAAGGGAAGGTAATGGGGGCCGGGAGCCGGGGCTGCGGGAAGAGGCCCGTGGATGTGGAGAAGTACCCCCTTCCAGGCTGAGGGCTGTGGGGCGGATGGTCCGGGGCTCGGGGTATGGACAGGGGCTAGGAGGTGCCTGGCTGGGGTGGGAGTGAGTGGAGCGGAGCCCGGGGAGTGGGGGTATAGGGGTTGGCGGGGTGTGGAGTGAGTTGGGGGATGGCAGTGGGGAGTAGGGGGTGCATGGGGTGGGGGTGTGAATGGGCTGAGGTGGATGGAATGAAGGCTTTTGAGGTAGGGGTGTGGACGGTGTGGGGTGGGGAGATGGGGTGAGGGTTCAATAGGACAGAGGATTGGAGGTGGGGGTGAGGTGTGGGGGTGAATGGGGTGGGGGAAAGGGGTGCAGAGGTGAGGGGGCCGAGTCTTGTCACCAAAGGGGCTGGACTTTCTTTCCTGGCAAGCTCAGCCGCACCTGGGATGTGGAAACCTTGGGGGGGGGCGAGCACCCAGGCCATTTTCACGAGCAGCAAAACAAAAACAAAACTTCAGCTTGTTTCCAATCACTCACCATGCTTCTTGTTTATAAATCATTTTAAAGTGATTTCACTAATACAATTCAGCATGTACAGCGTTTTATTTTTAATGTACACATTTTAAAGCATAATGTTACATACATTATGGAAAAGTGCATAATGACAGAAAGCATTTCCATAATATATCAACTTCCTGACTAAAAATTCTTTGGATAAAAATCCAATATTTATTTGATATCGGTGGACACCTATGTCAATGTGGTTTTCACTTAGAGGGAAACTTTGAAGTGGGAAGATTGTGTTCTTGAATAGAAAGACACATTTTTCTAAAGTTCTGAGCTCTTTCTGTGTTTATAAATTTTACATAATCCAAATAAAGTTATCAAAGTGTTAACATTTTTGAATTACTCATGCTGTCTTTTACTATTGTGATGACATTAACAACACTTTTGAAATGGAGTCAAAAAAGGCTTGCCTTTCTAGATATGAAAATGTGCTGTTAATTTTCACAAGTTATTTGCTAACAGCTGAAACAACAAATAAGTGAATGGAACAGGTTAGAAAATCCAGGAACACACCAATATGTGTAAGAATTTATTAGCTTTGTGCAAAAACAATTGCGGTTTTTGCCGCAAGTACAAGTAATGGCAAAAACCGCAATTGCTTTTGCACCAATCTAATAAAATTGGATAATGGTGACATTTCATATTAGTAGGAAAAGATGAATTACTCATAAATGAAGTGCCTGCTAACTATTTGGAGAAATCTGGCTAGATTTTTATGTCACAGAAATAAGTTCGTTATGGAATGTAGATTAAAAATTTTAAATACACAAAATAAGAAAGATAACAGAAAAAAACACAAATGCCTACTTATGTTGATACATGTTTATATTCCTACAAATATCACAAGCAGACATTCTGAAGGTCGATTTAGCAAAATAAAAAAAAAATCCAGTTTATAAGAAAAAATTAACAAAAGACAATACGTGTATATACATATTAGATAAAAAAGTGATTTTCATTTTACAGATAATTCTTCAAATAAACAAGAACTCTCATTTAAAATAGAGCAAAGCATTTTTTTTTCAGATATTAAAGCAACCTATACACATGGGAAAAAATATTTAGTGTTCCTGGGAGGAGAAGGTATTTAAGTTAAAAAAGGAATGAAATACTCTTTTCTATCCACAAGTTTGTGAGGGTAAAGAGTAGCAGTACATATACTGCTGTTTAAAGTTTACATTTCTGATGATTTTTCAAATAGACAATTTGTTGGTAAGTATCACACTTTAAAAATGTATGTGCCCTTCACCCATCAATTCCATTATACTAAAATATCTCTGGGAAATAGAGATACATGCAATTTGTTTTTCTCAGCACTGCTTAAAATAGCAGTGTATTTGGAAAACCCCTTATAATGGATTTTATAAATTTTATAAATTTATCAATAAATTTCGGTGCATCCATACAATGGGACAATATGGGACCTTCACAGATGTCAGTAGATACAGATGTATGTTGAGGTGTGAAGATGTACTCTGAAAAAAAGTTGGTTTGATTATACATGCACACAAACAGTCTATGGTGTTTATAAGCCAAGTATGTGTACAAAATATAACATTTCTTTTCTGGCAGGTGTATTGTGATATTTTTTCTTATCTGTGATGTATAAATGATCAGTATGTTTAAAACTTCTAGTACATGTGTTTTATTAATGAAATTATCATTGGGAAAAGAAGAAATATAAATCTTACAAAGAAAAAATAATTCTCACTTTCTATTTTATTTTATTATTTATTTCTTTGTTTGTTTGTTTATTTTTGAGATGGAGTCTCGCCCTGTCGCCCAGCCTGGAGTGCAGTGGCATGATCTCAGCTCACTGCAGTCTGCCTCTCAGGTTCAAGTGACTCTCCCACCTCAGCCTCCTGAGTAGCTGGGATTACAGGTGTGCATCACCATGTCCAGCTAATTTTTGTATATTTTAGTAAAGACTGGGTTTCAGCATGTTGGCCAGGCTGGTCTCAAACTCCTGACCTCAGGTGATTCCCCCGCCTGGGCCTCCCAAAGTTCTGGTATTACAGGTGTGAGCCACTGTGCCTGGCCTTATTTTTATTATTTTGTTTATTGGTATCTTCTGTGAACTTTTAGCCTCTTCAGAGGCAGAGGGAATATTTTTATTTGTGCTTATTTTATTATGCATAGATTTTAGTATATAAATAGGTTTTTATTATAGCTTTATTACATATATGCAAACAATTTTTAATTATTTTAGTTTATCAGTGTCCTCATGAAAATGAAAACGAGCAAATATAAGTGATTATCACTATTCCAAGAGCACTGCTTTAATTTGTAGTTTTTTTCGTAATAAACTCCCCAACTGTATGTATGCATTCTTTCAATCCAGTTATTTGTCAAGCATAACCTGAATACCTATTATGTAGCAGACACATTCCACCATCTCTCAGGACTCTTCCACCCTTAACAACTTCATGTTTACCTGCCCAGCCTGAGCAAGTTGAGATTTAAAATGGAAGCATTACGACTGAATCCTAATTGGGTCTTTTATTCCTTTTTTTTTTAAATAAAAGCAATTCTGAAGTTAGAAAATAGTGAAAGATAACCTTTAACTGCCATTTCAAAAACTTATGACCATCTCAAATACTACTATTAATCATTGCAAATACCTAATTTACATAACATTCTGTAAGTATTGAAAAAAATGAGCGATACCTATTCATATGAATCCTGAGTTTCCTTTGGATTTTTTTTTTTTTGGAAAATTGAAGTAAGAAGTACTTTGTTTTAAAAATTTGTTTTTTTATTTTTGCCTTCTTTTTCCACAGTACTTTATTTAGGTGCAAATTATATGAGTAGAACTGCCTGTTCTATGTACTGTATCCCACTTAATGTGAGGCATCATGGATTAGGTGATGCCACATTACTTTATATATCGATAAGATAATGTTTAAAACATTGCCAGTTATAATTGTAATAAGTAATGAATTGTAAACAGTATTCCAATGTCAAGAGATGTTAATATATAAGAGAATAGTAGCTTATATAAGAGAATAGTGAGAATATGAGCATCTGAGAATGACTGAAATACAATGATACATCTAATCTTTAATAGATACCTCAATGTAGATATGATTGTATCATTTTACTTAATTAAAATGTCTTTGTAAGTAGTAATATCTAAAAATTATTGAGCTGTTATTTGTGTTAGAAAGTGTTCTAAATGCTGTGCATAGATTGTTATGTAAGCATCACAGCAGTGTTCTGTGGGATAGCTACTATTCTCATATATTTTATTGATAAGGAAATTGAAGCAAAGAAAGGCTAAATAACAACTAAGTGACAGAGATTACAGTAAATTTTAAGCCCCAATTAAACTGAATCCAGAAGCCAAGCCTTTTCTATTAAATAGCCTGCTCTTTCATTAATGTGGCGAGTAATAAGTGCTAACAAATGTTGTACCTTCTTCACAAGAAAATTACATATTTGTGTTGAAGACAGAGAAATAACATGCTAATTAATGCTTACAGTTACATGGTTTAAAAAGTCCTGTCACTCTCACAGGACTGCCCTACATTTGGCCTGTGCCACTGTCCAACCAGAAATGGTATTTCTGCTTGTGTCCACAAGATGTGAGCTTAACCTCTGCGACCGTGAATGCAGGACACCTCTAATCAAGGTATATAGTAGTTGAATCTTTGAGCATGAGATGGATTTGGTTTAAATATGTAGGATAAAATGAATTTATCTCATTGGAATACCACTATATAACTAGTTAGTAAATCCTACGGAGTGTTTATTTTGATTTTTCAGTATTTGCGTGTTTCTCAGTCTAATACTGACAGGCTGTACAACTAGGGCAGGAGGCTTTTGCAACTATTCTGCTGCCAAATGGCGCCGATCCAAATATTATGGATTTCTTTGGAAGGACTGCTCTACACTATGCTGTGTATAATGAAGATACATCCATGATAGAAAAACTTCTTTTACATGGTACAAATATTGAAGAATGCAGCAAGGTATGGGTCAACCAATGTTATTATCAAACTATGTGAAATGCATTTATTTTAACATTGACCCATGTAAGGGTCAATTTTTCATATTTGGAAACTCAAACATTCCTTGAATGAAAATATTTTGAAATGCCTTAACTGTCAAAGATTTTACTTTAAATATTGGAACTTTTAAAGAAGCATTATAAGGTATGGCTTTTTTTCATGCACTTATGGTAAATAATTATAAAAACAAATGAGTTACAATAAATTTATAATTCATGACAACTGAATTTGGGAGGGGTAATAGTGAAGTGTTTTTCCACTAAATTACTTTTTTCTAATCAGTGTGAAGTGACACAGGAAAGTAAAATTGGCCCTTATAAATAGGCTTTATTTTAAATTTCAAAGAAAATTAAAGAATTTCACAATAAATGTACATCTTGTTGCTGTTGACAAATATTGTATGTGAAGGTGATTTCATTTGAAAGTGATTCCTCTGTGGAAAGGCTTAAGGGGGAAATATGAAGAAAAGGAGAGCAATCAGAAATGCACAAGCTAATTTGGAAATTAGGTAATGAGGGAAAATACTGTGGAGAGGGTTTTTGTGTGTTTTGTTGTTTGTTTTCAATTTATATGTTTAGACAAGGATCGTTTCAGTTTTGGGGATGATTATTCTTACTTTGGGAAAGAGTTTGTGAGTTGTAAAATTGCCCAGGGATCAATTTTGGTAGGACTCTGAGGAAACCAGGTTGGCAGTGAATAGTGGTGATGATGTGGCACACAGTTCAGCAGAGAGAAGAACACATAATTAATGGACATTATTCAATTCTGGCAGAAAAAGCCACTTAGATAAGCATCTAAACTCTACTCTCAAGTCCAGAATGTCTTGATGGGCAGGTGGGAGATAAGGAGCTTATAAATAGTAAAATCAAGTTGGATTTTGAGTTTACTGGTCTCTTTTCTACCCCTACCCAGGAAAAGTAAATGAAATTTTCAGTGAATGGCTCTATCTTTTGCTCTTTCCTCTTTTCGGCCAAATCCCAAATGATAAAGGGAATTTGCCACATGGGTGAGAGATGAGACTGAAGTGATTATCAACTGTGCTGGTTCGCAGTTAGAATTGTGCATGGCAGTAACCTGGGGAAATTAAAAGCAAATCTCTTAAGTCTAGGATATCCCCTGAAGATTTTAATATAGTAAATCTAGTATTTACTATTAAATATTACTGGACATGTATGTTTTAAAATATTTCCTTGAAGCTGGGCATGGTGGTGCCTCTAGCCAGAGCCACAGAATAAGACACTGTCTCTAACAACAACAACAACACCAACAACAATAAACAATTTCTTGAGACACTGATACACTGCTGGTCAAGAACCACTGAATAGATAAGTGTAATATAAATTCCCATATCTCAAACACATAAAAAATCTCTAGAAGAGTTAGATGATAGGAGCTGCTTCCTTTGAATTTCTCCTTTCCAATAATAATGGCCTGACTTTTACCTGTCTCTACCTCTGTGGGTGGGAAGTTAAAAGAACTATTACTTGCAATATCTATCAGAGTAAGAATAACACCTTTTCTTTGCCACCATCACTTATGCACTGCCATTCATAGGGTCGTTAGAAATTTGCTATTGTGGACTCTTTTAATAAGTAGAGACTGACTCTTTCAGGACTCTGAGTCTCTTTGTTATCATTGTGGTGATTAGGTCAATACATCATTATTAAAAGAAGGGTTCTCTCAATTACAAGAGTAAAAAATTCTAAACCTTTTTTTAAAGCTGAAGCTCTATTATGGACTGCCTCACTATGTCAGTTAAGTACACAGAACTATGGCATAATCAGGATAGCAGTTTTAAACACTTAAAACCATGAAGTTAGTAAGAATACAGAGAATACATTTAGGTCATTATTAGAGCTTTAATTGGTAAGCCATCGTATTTTTATTTCTGATTTATATTTTACCTAAAATAAAAAAATTAGGTTACAATATAGAAACTAGAATAATTTAATATTATTTTAATAATTTAGTTGCAGCAGTCCTGTGAACTAATTATCCATTTGGTGAACAATCTGGGAAAATTAAACATAAATTATGAATTAATGAATGTTGTAAAAGTGCTCAAAGTGGGGATTATGACTCTTAGTAACAATTTTAATTGCATTCTTGAGGCTATTTTGGAAAATAAAATCTGAAACTAAAGAAAGGAAATATTTTACACGAAAATACTTGTTTTATATAGAATCGCTTGGAGACATATCCACAGCAAATATAAAAATACAAGGTCTATAGTCTAAATGTGTCTCATAGATGTGTTTAGTTTGCCTCTATAAATTGTCTCACAATGGAAGGTTTAGGAGACTCGTGCACAGATCTGGATTCCAGGCTTCTCTTCAAGAATCCAATCTGGTGTCCCTTGAGCCTATCTCATGTTTAGGACGCTGTGCAGAGGTTGCCCCTTTCTATGAGGCATGTGGTCTACATTTTGCTACTGTACTTCACTTCCTCAGGTCATCTCCCTTGCCTCTGTAGGGATGACTTTACAAGCCCTGTTTTATAATATATTTTAGTAAATATTTCAAGGTTTTCAAGACATTTTATATTTATTTAAATATGGAGTCTATATTTTATATAAATCCCTTGGTAATTGGGTTGAACTTTTGAATTTAGATGGTGGTGTTTTATAAATTATTTTTCTTTATATATACCATAAATAGTCATCTTCCCATTAGAATGCATGGAAGCTTTTTAAGGTGAATCATGGTATAGTTGCATAGGTTACGCATATTGCAGACAACGTTATATTTTTCTCTTCAGCATTGCCTCCTAAAAATGCAAATAATTGGCCGGGTGCAGTGGCTCATGCCTGTAATCGTAGCACTTTGGGAGGCAGAGGTGGGTGGATCACGAGGTCAGGAGATTGAGACCATCCTGGCTAACATGGTGAAACCCCCTCTCTACTACAAATACAGAAAATTAGCTGGGTGTGGTGGCACACATCTGTAGTCCCAGCTACTCGGGAGGCTGAGGCAGGAGAATTGCTCGTGCTTGAATTCGGGAGACAGAGGCTACAGTGATCTGAGATGGCACCACCACACTCCAACCTGGGTGACAGAGCGAGACTCCGTCTCAAATAAATAAATAAATAAATACATAAATAAATAAATAAATAAAAGATGCAAATTAGTGGCTTTCATTATTCTATAAATAATTCATATAGGTCATTATTAGAGCTTTAATTGATAAGCCACTGTATTTTTATTTCTGATTTATATTTTACTTAAAATAAAAAAAGTAAGAATTCATATGGAAACTAGAATACAAATAAATTTTTAAAGGAGTTATATACCAGGGTCCTAAGATTATAATTACATAAATATTTGCATCAGGGTCCTAAGATTGTAATTGAGAATAATATTTTATACAGAGCTTTCTGACAGCTAAGATAAAAATATTACTAGAGAAAACCCATGGACTATTTAATAATAAGCAGTGAAAGTTCATTTGAAGCCTATCTCTATTAATTCAGAGCCTGGCTCTTCAAATTAAAAAGAGAGAGGCTTCAAATGAACTGTCAATCGTGTCAGAATCTCAGATGACAATGTCAGGTGTGAGCACCTGACATTGTCATCTGAGATTCTGACACCATCAATAGAAGAGAATGAGGCACGTGTGTATCACCTTTACTGGCAAGCTCTCACAACTGTATCCCTGAAACTCTCATTTCTTAAATGTTAACAGTCTCCAAAATAAGTATTTACAAATAGGGATTAGGTGAAGTTCAAAAGATTTCTCAAATACTAGACACATAATGCACAGTTTTGTAACATTTTTCAAACATGGGTGATCATGAAGTCTTTCTTTTGGGGTATAATGTTGAACTTCTGGTAAAGTAAATATCCTTTGGAATATATTAATAGTTTAAGAAACACCGCTCTATAGATAATAATTTAGATCATTTATAAAAATACCTGAAACATTTATTACTGTGTCTTAGAGTTTGAGGACATAGAGAAAAAAATACAGCTGCTGCCCTCAAGAAGCTCTTGGTTCAGGTGGGAAACAATAAAATCCTTGAAACATGCCATGGTAAATGCTGTGACAGAAGCAAAGATTCTTGGAACTGGGAAGTGTTTGAAGTGAGTTTTGGAGATGACCAGAGTTCTTGTGGTGAGGCAGAGGAGGTTGTTTCCAGCGGAAGGAGCAGAACGTAGAAAAGCACCGAGGAGTGAAAAGAAAGGGACTACCTCTTATGTCCTTTCAATTGTATATATTTAAGCTCACAGGATCTTACATAAGGTTTTCAGTTCAGTTGATAAATACGTAATTATGTGATTATAAATTGTTGCTGTTGTTTTACAGACTGAATGTCAACCACTTTTACTGGCTGTGCGTCTAAGAAAACTGATAATGGTGGAAGTTTTATTAAACAAAAATGCAAATATAAATGCAATTGATTGTCTTAGCAGATACAGACCTTAGTTCTTATTGTATTGTTTTTAAACCTGAGTGTCATTGTAGAGTGGTAGCAGTCACTCAAGTCACAAATATTACATTAATAAGAAGACTAACTTTTAATTATTGGGATATAGTGAGAAATATCAACACAGATCATCACTTAGGTAGAAAAACAATTATTTGGACTGAGTAACATAAAGAACAGTGTATAGCAGGATTTGTCTCTCTATATAGACATTATACACATAAAAGGCTTCTATATATAGAAAGCTCTGTATATTGATAGATGTTTGTTATTTGTAATATGATGTGTTATTTATAATGTAATAATGTGATGCTTTTGATTGTATGATTTTATGTTAGCGAAAGGGGTTTCATGTTAGTTTTTCATTTCTACTGTGTTTTGATGTTGTTTTTAATTGATATGGGGAGAGGGAGAAAAGATAGCTTTCAATGGATAAAACTTTACTTTAATGAAAACAAGCTTTAGGTTCACACAGGACTGGATTTAATCCCTAGCTTTCCCACTTGCTAGATGTGTGACCTTGGTAACATTACTTATCACCAAGTATGTTTTCTTCTGTGAAAAGGAGGGTAATAATATATCCTTCAAGGATGGTTGTGTGTAAGTAACATTATATATATATATATATATATATATAGTGTTAGAATGTCCAGCTAACAGAGCAAGGTGCTGATGTTTTGGAAACAATGGCTGAGCATATGCTTATGTGCATATATATAATATATATATACACATATGTATGTAAGAATATAATGTAAGTAACATCATATATAGTATATAATATATACTATATATAGATAATATATAATCTATAATGTATATTATATATTTTATAGATAACATATAATATACAATATATTATATATGTATGATGTTACTTAAGTTACTTATACACAACCACCCTTGAAGGATATATTATCCTCCATATGTATATATTTATATATATATAGTGTTTAATTAAATGCCTAGCACATGCTTATCAGCATCGTTAACTGAAGCTATGACTACTACTATTAGCATTCCTATTAATATTATTGTTTTAAGCCTGCAGATAGCTCTTATCTAACCCTTTAGCTGATTTGGCATTATAATGTATAGTATCAGACTAGGGAAGAAATGAATAATTTTTCACTTAAATTTGCCTACTGTAGATAGGTGGCCTGAGCACAGTTTCTTGCCCATCAAAGGACTTTAAGTTAGCAACTTTATGTCATACCATAGTGGGACAAGAGGCTTCCTTTTTGTTCCTTGCTTTTAACCTTTATGGTAACTTGCAAAGATAAACCCTTGGGCACCCAAGATGCTTGTTTCTTAGTACACGTAATTGGGTTAATTCTACATGGACAGACAACATATTAAGTTGATAAAGTATATAAACTTAGCTTTTAAAATGTCATTAAAGTTTTTAATTACCTCCCGGTTATTTTAGATCAGCCCTCATACTTGCTGTTACTCTTGGAGAAAAAGATATAGTCATTCTTCTTCTGAAGCACAATATTGATGTGTTTTCTCAAGATGTGTATGGACAGACTGCAGAAGATTATGCCATTGGGGCTGGGAATAGAGTGTAAGTCTTTACATAAAAAGGCTAGTGAACACTAAATTGAAGTTTAAAATAATTGTAACAATTGCATCTTATATATCAGGTGCGATTTCATAGTTTGGTTCAAGTAGTTTTCAAGTGACAAATTTTCAAGTTTTTAACTTTTCGAGAGTTGTGCAACTTCGTCAGCCAGAAATCAAGCAAAAGGCTAGATTAGTAGCAGCGGGTGCAGGATTCTTGATATTGAAACTTTTAGGACTTTTCTCCTTAGGGATTCCAATGTTGTACATTTTATTTCCAGTATAACCCCTATGCATAGGATAAAGTAGTTTCACATCTTTGATTTTTCTAATTGGTTATTTGGGTCTCAAAATGTGCAGTTTATCAAAAAATCTTGTGCTGTGTACTGGGGACCATCTACTATAGCCTGATCATTGAATTTTTCAAGAACCTAAGAGGTTCCCTAAGTACAAGGAAGACAATCAGTGTCTACAAGTCAGAAGGAGAAGGGGAAAGGGCATTCTAATCATTGCTTTGTTTTCATTGATTCTGTTGCTGCTTTTTCCATTGAAAGTACTCTTGCAGTCTGGTAATGATTAACCTTTGTCACCAGGATGCCCTTTCTGTTTGAGATCCCTCAGTCTTCATGTTGATCCATAAAAAGGCTTCAAAGTTACAATTTTTTTTTTTTTAGTTCACTTGCACATACTTATATGCTCAGCCATTGTTTCCAAAACAGCAGAACCTTGCTCTGTTAGCTGGATATTCTAACTTTATCAACATACATACTGAGCAAATTGACACTTTCACCCACACTCAAAACCTGATGTAAAGCCCACATTTTAACCTGGGCTTCTAGACTTCATGGTGAGTTATTTTTTGAGTCCCTTTTTTTTCTCTTCAAATATTAGTTGGTATAGTTCTAAACTGTCAGAGATATTCAAATAATGTTGTAGAAAGAGATCACAGTTTTTTTCTTTATTGCTACCAGATCTGTACCCTGAGACTTTTTAAATAAACAGTGTAAGAAATTTTCTCAGCTAGTGAAAACTTCTATGCCATCCTTCCTTATAGTAGGAGGCATCGACTTGTGGTTGGCCCCTCAAGTGATCTGTTTTCTGTAATAATGAAGATCTCCCAAGCTGCTTGCATCACTGTCTCAAGTTTGTAAAATATTTTCAGATTCTACCTTAGAGGAAGCCATTCATCAGAATTATCTAAGTCTCAAGTTGGTTAGTTAGATTTAACAGAGCTAATCCTCATCCATGACTTATCAGCATTTATATGTAAAAGTAAGGCTTTGTACTTGCTTTGGCAGCACAAATACTAAAATTGGAACAATACGGAGAAAATTAGCTTTGTTAAGCACTTCATATTTTGCAGTCAGGGGAAGGTCATTTGACTGTTTGCTGGCTAGCTAAGTCACAGTTTGAACAGAAACAAAATGGGTGGCCCCTTATATTTGAATTGTGATTTTTCACTACAAAAACATTTGTGTAAGGTGATCTATAAACTGAGAATGGAGATAAGTAACACATAGGGTGTTGTGTAAATATTTTGTTAGTATGTATCTTGGAAATGAGAAAATGTCAACTTTCATCTACTTCATAGAACTTAAAAAAAATGAAAGTAGGGTTTTGTCTTCCATGTCAGTTGGAGATAACATCACTGATGGAGATTAACCATCATTCTAGCAAACATCTGCTGGTTCAGTTAGAGTCTGTAGAGAAGTAATAGTGGTAGCCCAGGCAAGATCTTGACATCTGTTAGTTTTCTGCCCTTGGAATTGATGAGCTCAATAATAGTGAACAATCATCTTACCTATTTTACTGAAATAATGTATTCATAAATTTATTTGTGAATTATGAAATATTTGAGATGCGCTGAATTATAAGCCACAAATAATAGAACAATAAGCAAAATTAGGACTTAACATTTTTCTTAAACTGAAGCATTTGAATATTAGAACCTATGAAAAAATACACATTGGGTTTGATTTGGGATTTCAAAATAGTTTCAGCAATAAAGTTCAAGAACAAATTCCACTGCTTTACTATTTCTCTGTGAATGTTAAAAATGCTACTTCATTAAACCTATATAACAACCTAGTGAAAGAAGATAGTAAAATCTAGAAGAAGACATTGTGCCTAAGAGAAGCAACTTGTTTAAGAGGAAATACCTTTTGGCTATAGAGCCAGGACCTTCCAGTAAGAGCCAGGAAGGTGACTTTCCATTATGTCAAGCTGATGTGAGACAGTTTGCTGGGCTATACTGCCTTCACTTCATGAGTACTTCACCTGTTTTTATTATTTAATTAGAAAGGTACTAAGAAGTTTATAGAGCTTACAGAAGAGAAGTGTATAGGATAATTAACATCCTGATATTGTTCAAGATACTCTAATAGTTCAGTATGTTTGGTAAATGTTTTTGATAATAGTATTAAAATATTAATTTCATTTATTTTTATACATAGCATTTTCAAACTAATTTCTGAATACAAAAGAAAGAAATATGAAGAGCTTTCTATAAATGGCAATCCAGGTAAGATTTCTGATAGTGAATTACTCTTGATGGTACTACCATAGATAAAAAAGAATAAAGATGTTTTGATTACAAAAAAGCAGTTTAAAAAAATCAGTTTAAATTGCACACATTTAAAAAATACTTAGTAGTCTAGATTTTATAATTATTTAAAAAGTTAATTGTAGGTAGTTTATAATCTCAGTGTTGTTTGAAAAAAATTATTATTTAATTATGGTTCCTAATATTCTAAATGATCTTTTTGTGTAAATAAGAAAACAAATTTTTGTTACTACATTGCATGTTTTTTTATAGTCACATAATAATGAATTAGACTTTTTATATAATTAGAACTTCTATTTAATTTGTAAAATAAATTCTTTGCAATTACTAAATGAATCAATAATTACAGTTGGCCCTTGAACAACATGGGATTTAGTGCTGCCAATGCCCATGCTGATGAAAATACATATTTGGTATGTTATATATATTATATATTGTATTCTGAGTACAAGAAAGTAAGCTAGAGAAAGGAAGCTTTTGCAATAGTTAAAGCTGTAGTTTCCTTGTAGTTCGATGCTTGAACTACTATCAATCTAGTGTAAGGTGTTCACCCATCCATGGTAAAATAAAGTAAATTTTCTCCATTTACTCATTTTAAAATGTTGGTCTTTTTCTTGCCCTTATGCCTTCTTCATTTGTTTTACTTAATTTTTTATTTGTAAAAAAACAGTAATAGTTGGCAGGGACTTTTTTTCCTGTGAAAACCATCAATGAAGAGGCCATGTTGATCTAGGAAATATAAACATATTTATTTGGTAGCAGTAGAAATATAAAGCATAAGCAGAAAAGAGGTACAGTTAATATGATTTAGTGAACATTGAATGTAAAACATTAGTGGGGAGAGAGAAATCTTGGATCATTCATAGGTTTCCAGGTTGTGTACTGGCCTTTATACTGCACAGGAGAAAGGAGTAGGATGTGTTCACTGAATGGAAAAGTACAGCTGGTCAACAGGGAAGAGTAACTTCCCTTACCTCCACCTCTGAGGTTGGAGATGCAGAAGTAGAATGATGTTGTTATAATTTTTAGGCAAAATCATCGATCTCAACTGTCCATGATGCAGATGTAGAATGAGAAGGCATCCAGTGACAAAACCCTGGGAATGTCAACATTCCCTCCCGCCCCCAGAAAAAAAAGAGTTGGTAAAGGAGAATGAGCAGTGGCTAGAGAAAAGTAGGAGAGGAGTCAAAGGAAGTGATGTGGCAAAAATAAAAAATATGAGAATTTTAAGGAGGGTGTATCAATTCTAACAAGTAAGATTACTAAAAAGCCAATTAGATTTAATTTTTAAAAGCTCTTTGGCGGTACCGTTTTCAAAAGAACCATTTTTGAGGTGTAATGTGGGCTGTTGATGTGATTGGTATGTCTGGTGTCCAAATATGGAGGAACAAATCTACCAAGATCCTACGTAACTCTTTTGTAACTGCAGAAGCTATGTGGACAGGGTCAGGGAAAATGGTCTTGACTTCTGAGTACATGTGCCCACACTTTTACAGAATTGTCAAAACCTAAGTGTAATGTGTGAGAAAAACTGTGGTCTTCTTATCTGCTCCTTGTGGAAATACTTAGTTTGTACTGAAATCCCTGATAAGTTCTTCTGGATGCATTCTGTAACAAAAGTCTGGCAGCAGTAACTGGAACCAGCTTGTCCAAAGCACATACATCCCAACTCCCTCCAACATGGAATCATAACACAGCTACATTTTGAGAGTTTCAAGTTTCAATTGGAAGTAGTCTACAGACGAGCAGTTTGGAGAAGCTGACATCTTTTATATTATGTTATGGATGTATGATATTATGTTATGGATAGGTGATATGCTAAGTATTCCAAGTCTCTGTGTTCTGGGACACTTTGTTTTAGTGCAATTCCCTTTTCATGACCTCTTCTAATATCTCTGCTTTTACTGTTTTCTTTTGAATTTAATCCCTAAAGAAAATATTAGAACACATTTCTAACATAGGTATTTTTGACAACTATATATGATTTTCTTTTAAGAGAATTAGCTACCTATTCTAACTTATATCTGGTATTCTATTAATCTTTAATGCTAAACTTCTTTATATCTTCAGCACAATGACAGTGTAAGTGATGCTGATCCTTTAAGATTTTAAGTTTCTTTTAAATTTTCAAACTTTAAATGTCTTTTAAATTTTCAAATTAAGTTAAGACACTTAAGGTGTCTTTTAAATTTTCAAACTTGACATAGTTTTAATGTAAAACACTTTTCTGGTATTACATTTCTTCAAATATTGGTAATCTGTTACTTAGCTGGAATATTTGGTCGGTTGGATTACCACACCTTTAACCATCTATATATAACTTTCTTGATTTTTTTTTTTTTTGAGATTGAGTCTTTTGCTGTTTCCCAGGCTGGAGTGCAATAGTGTGATCATAGCTCACTGCAGCCTCAAACTTCTGGGTTCAAGTGGTCCTCTTACTTCAGCCTCCTAAGTCGCTTAGACTGCTACGAGCCTATGCCACCATACCAAGCTAACTTTTTTATTTTTTATTTTTTAGAGACAAGGGTCTCTCTCTGTTGCTCAGGCCAGTCTCAAACTTTTGGCTTCAAGTGATCCTTCTGCCTTAGCCTCCCAAAGTGCTGGAATTATAGTCATGAGCCATCATGCTGGTCCATAACTTACTTTATTCCCCAAAATGAGTTTAAAGTACTATTGGCCCTTAATAATAAAAACCCGCTGTTTGGAAGGAGAAGTGGATAACTCATCCTACTTTTTAAATGCAGTTTTTGACTTTTTGACCTGTTCTGTGAAGAACTGCCTTTAAAAGATGATTTTTAGTTTTAATAGATATTTTTGGTTTTATAAGAACTTAAGAAAAAAGATTAGAAACAAATTAAATGAGCTCTATGATCGATAGTACAGTATTATATCCAATGGCTACATATATTTCTATAATTATCACAATGATCTGAATGATGCAAATTACTTTATGTATGTTTTTATTAATATATATATATATATATATATATATTTTTGAGACTGAGTCTCATGCTGTTGGCCAGGTTGGAGTGCAGTGGCGTGATCTTGGCTCATTGCAACCTCTGCCTCCTGGGTTCAAGCACTTCTCCTGCCTCAGCCTCCCAAGTAGCTGGGACTACAGGCATGCACCACCACGCCCAGCTGATTTTTATATTTTTAGTAGAGATGGGGTTTCACCGTGTTAGTCAGGATGGTCTCCATCTCCTGACCTTGTGATCCACCCTCCCCAGCCTCCCAAAGTGTTTGGATTACAGGCATGAGCCACCACCCCCAGCCTACTAATACATTTTAGAGACAGGGTCTCACTCTGTTTCCCAGGCTGGAGTGCAATGGTTATTCGCAGGCACAATCTCCGCTGCAACCTCGAACTTTTGATCTCAAGCAATCTTCCTGCCTCAGCCGTTGGAGTAGTTGGGACTACAAGTGCATGCCATTGCACCTGGCCTAATCCCCAATTATTATAAAAGAAACCTTGGTGAGTTGAAGACAATTGGCTGTGATCTTTTTGTTTCTCTTTTAGAAGCTTTCATACTATGGGGTATATTTTTAATCATCCATATTCTCAATTTTTTATTCTGGTTAAAATAGGATTGCTGCTTGTTTTTCATTTTTTTGGCATAATTATTTCTATTCCTTTATGGATTTACTCATGCGGAAATACAGGAATCTCAAAGGCAACTGTTAAGGAAAACAGATTAGGGAAAGGTATTCTATAAACAGCCTTCTGATTGTAGTCACAGGTCACATCACCTTAAAGAAAACTAATTTCATATAATGCCATTATGTCAGAGTTTCCCAAGACCACCTCTGTTTGGTGATTCACTTGTAAGGGCTCAGCAAACAGTCCTACTCTGGGCTTTGATTTGTTACAGTGAAAGAATACAAAGTAAAATTGGCTCAGGGCAAAGGGGCATGTGGCAAGTCTTGGAGAAGCCAGGCACAAGCTTCCAGGAGCCCTCTCCTGTGGAGTTACCAGGATGTGCTGAATTCCTGTAGCTTTGAATTTTGACAGCACATGGGCAGTATTGTCTACCAATATGAGTCTGACTAGACAGTATCCAAGATTTTTATGGAAGCTAGTTACATAGGCATTCTATCTCACACATATACAAAAATTCCACACTTCCAGAAGAAAAGCAGCTGTTCAGAGTCAACCACATTGTTTATGCAAACAGTTTAGGTACAGTGAGGTACTTTTCTCAGAAAATGGTGACAAACCTTTAAAATGCAAATTTCCAAACACCAGCAAAGGGCCAGTTTTGCATGTAGGCCTTTCTAAGAATGACAGTCTTATGACTGTTATATGAATTATTTTCTTCACAGCAGTTACAGCCCCAACTTAATTTTAGTGTCTTAAAAATTCTATTTAATAATGAATAACATGGTGATATAATATAGCATGGTGCTTATTTCATTTGTGTCAGTTGCAACTTAATATGAAATATTAAGTTTCTGTGCTGTAAGGTTTTGGAATTTTGGTGAATATTTAACAGGTTTCTATACAGAAGTTACTATGGTAATATTAGGTAATTATAATCTGTTCTTATTCGATTAACCTTTCAGTAAAATGGTTAGATAAAATAAGTAATGATTTCTGATTTAAAATTAAAATAAAAAATTTGTTTCATTTTAATTATGTAGATGGTTCAGTTTTGTTTTATATTTTATTAAATTTCTGTTTATAATTATGAAATTTAAAAAATCAATCATTTATCAGTTATTTTCTTGCCTGTTAATACAGTTATTTGCTTTATATACTTTTATATACTATAATTCTGGAGAGAATATTCATATTGTGTTTCAAATTGAGTACATCTTGCTATAATATATGGCAATATATTGTAGTAATATATTAGCAATAGAAGATTCAGTGAAAATCTTTTAAAAAAGTTAATAACTTTATTTTAAGAGCAGTTTTATATTCTCAGCAATATTGAAAAGAACCTAAAGAGATTTTTCAAGTATGCCATCCCCCCTCACATGCATAGCTCCCCCTATTATCAATATCTCCCACCTGAGTGGTACATTTGTTACAACTGGGAAGCTTACATTGCTGGATCATAATAATCACCCAAAGCCTATAGTTTATATCTAAGTTCCCTCTTGGTATTGTACCTCCTATATAGTTGGACAAATGTATAATAAATGTACCTGCCGTTAGAATACTTTTGTTGTCCTGAAATTCATCTCTCTTTTTTTTATTCCTCCCTCCCAACTAACCCCTGTCAACTACTAATATTTTTTCTGTCTCCATAGTTTTGATATGTCCAGCATAGTCATATATTAAGGATAATATAGTGGATATCTTTTTCAATATTACAAAACATAAATTTCCAAGATAATTGAATGTATTCAATTAAGGTATCCATTGTGCTTTTTGCTTTTAGTTTATTAATGTAGGATTTAATGGCTTATGGTTTACGTGTTGAAAAAGCATAATTTATATAGACATTTGCCACATAATGGGGAGGGTTGAGGAAAATGACTTCATGCTGTGTACTACACAGCACTAACTGGATCATCCTTCTCTGTGAGATGGGTCCAGATATACTAGAAGTGGAAAGAGACAATCTCAAGAGGCTGTACTTTATAAAACTAGAGTCAGAAAGTCTTTCCTATTTACCTTGCAGTTGGAAATAAGACCAGCTAGTGAATACTATAGGCATACAAATATGTTTCTTATTGACCTTCTTTTTTTGAGGGATCAGTATGAAAACAGTCTATATTATTATAACATGGGTTCTCCATCATGAAAAATGCCGAGAGTCATACTATTTTTGTTTACCTAAAGTGACAAAGATTTGTTGTTGTTGTTTTTCCCACTAGGTAGTGGGACAACTGTTGGCACATCTTGGTAGCTCCAGTGAGTTTATGGTTCCTTTATATGTATTTTATATATTAGAAAGTCCTCCCTGGCAACTTGCCATACCTCCCCAGTGTTTCTTTATAAGCTTCTCTCTGACAAGGAGACAAGACTCAGATTGGATAAGCTTTTAAGGGAGTGCTATTTCCTCTGTGTGTTTTTTTTGAAGGAGCTAAAGTGAAAGCTGAATTTAAGCATTGTTTGTGCCCTACATAGGGTGAATGAATAGCTAGAACTGAGCAAACTTACCAGAATCTTCCCTAGGAGAGGATTAGTGAAGAGTAAGGACGCTGATCTCTCTTAGGCTCTTCTGCACTGGCAGCTGAAAAGTCTTTGCAGGGATCCTTGACCCTGGTCTGTATGCTGTGTTTTGCCATAGAATAAGTACAGTTTTCATAGACCTAGAGTTTTTGTATTAGAGTGCTTTATCCTGAATAGTTTAAACCGAAGAGGTGGAGAAACTGTTGTGTTTCAACAAAATAAGTAAAGTAATTTCCTCTTATCCGTGGGGGTACATTTCAAGACCCTTAGTGAATGCCTGAAAACATGAATAGTGCTGAACTCTATGTGTACAAAAATTTCTAAAAATACATATATATCTATAATGAAAATTAATACATAAATTAGGCACAATAAGAGATTAATAATATCTAATGATAAAGTAGATCAATTGTAACAATATACTGTAATAAAATTTATGTGAATATGAGCTCACAAAATATCATGTACTGTAGTCACCCTACTTTCTGCACTGATGTGAGATGAAAAAATGGCTATGTGATAAGCGAGGCAAATGCAGTAGGCATTGCCATGTAGTCTTAGGCTACTATTGACCTTCTATTTGACTATATGTCAGAAAGAAGATCATCTGCTTCACATGATCTTGGATCCATGAGCCATGATGATATTCTTGGTTGGATGTTAGGTACAGATTATGTCAATGACTAGTGAGCAGATATCATATGTAATGTGTATGCACTTGACAAAGGGGCGATTCACATCTTGGGCAGACTGGGATGTAATGGCTCAAATTTTGTTATACTACCCAGAATCTTACACAGTTTAAACCTTAGATGTTTATACATCTGGAATTTTATTTATGGACCATGGTTGACCATGGGTAACTGAATCTGCCATCAATAAAACCACCAATGTCATATTATGAAATATATATTTGGTCTTCAACCCCATTTTCTGTCATACAACTCCTAAAATCCTCAGAACTTCCAACATGATATCATTTGTGTGCTCATGATTGACTTACGGCAGGCAGACTCCAGATGGCTTCAGGGTGGGGCTCATCATAAGAGTGATCAGGATGTGATTAGAGGGTTGGGACTTCCAGCCCCACCCCTCACCTCCTGGGATGTGAGAGGGGCTGAATGTTCAATTAATCAGTCATGCCTATGTAATGAAGCTTTCACAAAATCCCAAAAGGATTGGATTTGGAGAGCATCCAGGTAGCTGTATTCAGCTACCTGGATGCTCTCCAATACATGAAGGCATATGGAGAAAACATGGATGTTCCCAGAGGTTGACTGCCCTGGGAGGACATGGAAGCATGTTACTTTCCCCCCATATCTTGCACTATGCATCTCTTTATCTGTATCCTTTAATATTCTTTATAAGAAACTGGTAAATGTGTTTCCATGAGTTCTCTGAGCCACTCTAGTAAATTAATAAAACCAAAGAGGGGGTCCTGGGAAACCCAACTTGAAGTCCAACTAGAAGTTGATTAGAAGTTCTGGAGGCCCAGACTTGTAACTGCTGTAGGGGAATAGCCTTGTGGTACTGAGCCCTCAACCTGTGGGGTCTGACACAATCCCCAATTAGATAGTGTCAGAATTAGAGGGCACCCATCGGAATTGACTGTTTGCTTGTTGCTGGGGAATAATACATATTTGGTCACAGAAATCTTCTGTGTTGATAATTGTTGTTGTGGTGTGAGAGAAGAGGAACATCATGTTGAATATGTGTTTTCTACACATACAGCAGATAAGGGGGACTAATGTTCTAGCTGCACCTGGTTCATTTGTCCAGAAGTCATGTTCTTTGACAATGCCTGCTCATTATATTGATTCTACTAATGATGCCATTTTCTGTCAGTCTGATATGGTTCTGTTAGAATTATGACTATTTTATACTGCAATTCACATGTAAGGTAACAAATTTTGATAATATATTCTTCTTTGCATTTGATAAGTATATGCTAAGCACATAAGAAAGGAAATAAGGGTTCTTAATTCATTAGTTACCTACAAATGGTATAAATAATAATTTTAGTATATCCTCCAAGTATGTTTCTAAAGAACTGCTTTGTAACAAATCATGAGAGTCTCTGTAATAAAGCATCAAAGTCTTATACTTTTTTTCCTACAAGGTCTAAGGCAAGTACAAAAGTTCATGATTTTTTTTTCTTTTGAGATAAAGTGTCACTCTGTCACCCAGGCTGGAGTGGAATGGCACAATCTTGGCTCACTGCGACCTCTGCCGCTTGGGTTCAAGCAGTTCTCCTGTCTCAGCCTCCCAAGTAGCTGGGATTACATACATGTGCCACCACACTCGGCTAATTTTTTTTTGTGTTTTTGTTGAGACGGGGTTTCACCATGTTTGGCCAGGCTGGTCTCAAACTTTTGACCTCACGTGATCCACCCGCCTTGGCCTCCCAAAATGCTGAGATCACAGGCATGAGCCACTGTGTCCACCCTGCATGATTTTTTGTTTAGTAAAGAGTCTTGCTATGTTGCCCAGACTGTTCTCAAACTCCTGGGCTTCTCAAGTGATACTTCTGCCTCAGCCTTCTGAGTAGCTGAGATTATAGGAACAAGCCACTGTACATACACACATTATACACACACACACACACACACACACACACACACACCCCAAGTATATGCCCAGTAATGGGATTACTGGCTCAAATGGTATTTCCGGTTCTAGATCCTTGAGGAATCACCACACTGTCTTCCACAATGGTTGAACTAATGGCACTCCCAACAACAGTGTAAAAGCATTGCTATTTCTCCACATCTGCTCCAGCATCTGTTGTTTCCTGACCTTTTAACGATTGCCATTCTAAATGGCGTGAGATGGTATCTCATTGTGGTTTTGATTTGCATTTCTTTGATGATCAGTGATGACGAGCTTTTTTTCAGATGTTTGTTGGCTGCATAAATGTATTCTTTTGAGAAGTGTCTGTTCATATCTTTTGCCCACTTTTTGATGAGACTGTTTGTTCTTTTCTTGTAAATTTGTTTAAGTTCCTTGTAGATTCTAGATATTAGGCCTTTGTCAGATGGACAGACTGCAAACATTTCCTCCCATTCTGTAGGTTGCCTGTTCACTCTGATCACAGTATTGGAAGTTCTGGCCAGGGTAATCAGGGAAGAGAAAGAAATACACGGTATTCAAATAGGAAGAAAGGAAGTCAAATTGTCTTTGTTTGCAGATGACATGATTTTATATTTAGAAAACCAAATTATCTCAGCCCCAAATCTCCTTCAGCTGATAAGCAACTTCCTCATAGTCTCAGGATACAAAGTCAATGTGCAAAATTCACAAGCATTCCTATACACCAGTAATAGAGCACTAAATCATGAGTGAACTCCCATACCCAATTGCTACAAAGAGAATAAAATAGCAAGGAATACAACTCACAATGGATTTGAAGGACTTCTTTAAGGAGAACTACAAACCACCACTCAAGGAAATCAGAGGACACAAACAAATGGAAAAACATTCCATGCTCATGGATAGGAAGAATCAATATCTTGAAAATGGCCATACTGCCCAAAGTAATTTGTAGGTTCAATGCTATACCCATCAAGCTACCATTGACTTTCTTCACAGAATTAGAAAAAACTACTTTAAATTTCATATGGAACCAAAAAAAGAGCCCATATAGCCAAGACAATCCTAAGCAAAAGGAACAAAGCTGGAGGCATCATGCTACCTGACTTCAAACTATACTACAAGCCTACAGTAATGAAAACAGCATGGTACTGGTACCAAAAGAGATATATAGACGAATGGAACAGAACAGAGGCCTCAGAAATAATGCCATACATCTACACCATCTTATCTTTGACAAACCTGACAAAAGCAATGGGGAAAGGATTCCCTATTTAATAAATGGTGTTGGGAAAACTGGCTAACCTTACGCAGGAAACTGAAACTGGACCCCTTCATTACACTTTATACAAAAATTAACTCAAGATGCATTAAAGACTTAAAAGTAAGTTCTAAATATATAAAAACCCTGGATGAAAACCTAGGCAGTACCATTCAGGACATAGGCATGGGCAAATACTTCAAGACTAAAACACCAAAAGCAATGGCAACAAAAGCCAAAATTGACAAATGGGATCTAATTAAACTAAAGAACTTGTGTGCAGTTTTATTTGGGAGTGTGCATGGGGTACCTCTGAGTTTTAAAAATGAAGAAAGTAAGTAGTCATGCTTTCCTGACTCTTTGGTAGACATTGCCTTTTAAGACAGTCATTCTGAGCTGTTATGGTCTTAGGATTTTCTATACTACTAAAACTTATTGATGACATGTAACCAAGAACTTGAATTAAATTTTTTTTTAAAAGAAAAATCACCCAAATGCACATGAAAAAACTCTTACAATATATGTGCACATTCATAGATAACATGTAGAACTTGATTTTGTGTATTAAAACCTTGTAGAAAAGTTCAGACAGTGCACACAATAACTGCAACTTGGTCTTCATAAAATCAGTGATATATATTTCAGATCTATCCACGTTGACCCAGTGAGGTATTTGATTTATTGTGTGATCTAATGATATGCCATGTGATGACTGCAGCATATTTAATTATGCTCTCTTCATGCTGATACCATATGGACATAAATATGATGACATACCAGCATGGATATGCTTATGTGGTTGCTTTTATTGATTTTTACTATATTAGAAATGAAACAGAAATATTGGAAATCCTAGCAAGCATAGCTGTATCTCTCCCATGGCTGTGTTGATTGCAACTGTTTCCCCCTTAAAGCATGTATTTTTGACATGTCATGACCCTGAGAAAATCCAGTGTGTGCTTTTCAGAGAATGACAGTAAGGAGAGGAAATGGCCAATGGTCAAAGTGTTACTTGTCCTCTTGGCTCCCCCTCATGAATGTTAAACTCTAAACTACTCAGGTCACAATTTAGAACCCCTTTGTTTATCCCTATAGAGTGTTCCCAGATGTCAAATGACTAATAGGCCCTTGAAGAAAAAACACCCTGTAAAGCCGTATTGCTCTGGTTTTTGTGTTTGAATGTGTGTGTGTGTGTGTATTTTTTTCTCTTCTGAAAACTGTAAATAGAATAATTTTCATTACAAATGAAAATATTTCTGTTCCATATTTATTTCCTGTCTCATGGCACTCTGCTTTTCTCGGATCTAGTAAGGATGTCAGCGTGTCTTATTTATACCTGCAAAAAATTACATCATTCTTCATTTTTCATGTTAATTACTGACATGTTTTCAAGTCTTCACAAGTTATTTCTGAAGATGTTGGTGCATTGAGGAGAGGCAGTGCCACTGTAGTTAATGAAGTTTTTAAATAGAATATGTTCAATAACATTTCAGAGCCTGTTTCTCTGGAAGGCATAGACATAGTGGTTTTATGCGTAGTTAAACATAAAATAGCTCCACAAAGTCTTGTGTATGTGAAAGTGTTCATATCCTGGGAGATTCTAATTTACTACTCAGCAGTGTCTCCTGGAGAGGAAAATAGGTGAGATAGGCTGCTGAGCCTATGCTAATAACTGATAATATGAGGTGAAAGCATAGAGACAAAATGAGAGATGATAGATACTGAAACCGATGTCAGTGAAAAACAGCTGTGAAAGAGTGTCTATGGGAGAGAGAAGGCCATGGGGCTGCTTTTGTGAAGAAGGAATTTGTACACGTTAGTCAAATGTCTGATATATTTAACATTTTAATAAAGCAAAACCTTATTTTCACATGTGTCAGAATGGGATTGTACAGATGTCACAATATAGTAGTGGTGAGAATAATGAAGAAATGAATGTGGAGGGCAAAGAATGAGGTCCACCAATATGGATATTAGATTTATGAATGAAAAAGAGCGTATGTCAAATTAGGCAAAACAAAGAAAGCAGCTAGCTAGGTAATTTGGAGGTTTCTGATGAGGAGACTTGTGGGGAGTCACGTAATGGAAAGCGGAAGTTAGAAGGATGAGGGTGACCCCCAGGGTTTAATTTCTCCTCCCTAGAAGTTTTGCACATCAATGATGTGTGCTTCGTTCCCATCAGTTAGCATATTGGGATGCAGCTTAATATGCATCCCAATATGCATATTGCAATATGCACAGGAAAAGTGTTTTGTTTTTTTTTCTTTAGGAAAGCTGTGTTTGCTGAGGTAGTTATTTCGTAAAAGGCCTGAGAGACCCCTATGGTATATTATATCAAACTAGCTTTAGAAACAAAGTAATAAAAGAATGTATATCTTGAGTACTAAAAAAAACTACCAATATTCTTGGCAATCATGAGATATATATATATATATATATATATATATATATATATATACACACACATACACACATACACACATATGTATATATTTGGTTGGTTACTAATAAGAAAAGTCTTGGGATTTAGAGATTTTGTTTACCTTATTTACATGGGAATCTGATTATGCATGATTTCTTTGACATGTATGTTTTTGCAAAAGTGGAAAAAGAGATGGCAAAAGAGCTGAACTGCTGAATCTGGGAAATGTAGGAATATTAGGAGCCTTCATGAGTACAAAGAAAATGATTTTTTAAATTATGACTCTAAATATAACTGAACTCACTTCAGATGCATTTAGAATATTTGCATAAAAGAGGATTTGATTTTGGCTGCTCCAGAAACTACTGGAAGAAGGAAAGAGTACTAGAACTCAGCTAAACCACAGTGACTCGTTACTTCTCTTCGTTACTTTTGGGAATCAGAGACATAGATTTTGTTGATATTAGTTATTCAAATGAAATAAACATGAATGTGCATACATTGTCTTTGTTTTCCAAGGAGCTAACTTTTGGATACAATAGCAATTTAATGAAAATTATTTAGAGAATAACATGATAATTAAAACCAGATGATTTTAGAAACAAGAATAATGTTGAATTCATTAATTGATTCATAAAATAGTTACTTTCAATGAATATTGGAGTCATTTCCAAATGTGAAAGCTTATTAATATCTAATGCTTGTAGCAGTTTTATTTTGTAGAAGTATGTCAATATTGATAAATGATGATACTTTTTATTGAGGTTTATATATTATACGTATTGCCGTGAGTGGATGAAAAAACTTTCAGAAGGCTGAACTAGAGAACACAAGAAACTTGGGCAATTATTACACCACATGGGTCTGAGAAATAATGAATACTCTCTACTAGGATTCACCAAACATATATCTAAGCTGATCAATTTAGGACACTTCCACTGAGGAGATGTGAAGTGTACATTCAGCTGAAGTGTCATCGTAATTGTGTGCCTTCTCAGTTATTGGGCAAGTTAAAGAGCATGATGAATGGTTGTAGTATAATGGTGTATTTCCTTCTCATCTCTTGCACTAAAGACATGTGAAAGCATGTACCACCTGCTTTGACATTGATTCCCAGGTGCATGAGTTGCTCCTCTGTTTTTAGACCACATTTGTTTTTATCCCTCCGCATATCCACATTGATACTGACACTGTTTCATTTTAGTTTTAGACATATGACAAATCATATCACATTTGAAATTGTAAGTGTATATTTCATGAAGCCTGTATTGGTGTTTTCTTCAGTGTATTTCTGTCATGTTCCAGTCTCAAGACACAAAGTATAAAACAAAAACCTAAACTAATAGGGGCAGGAGGATACAGCTTGATGGTAACAGTGCATGAATGTATGGATAATTTTATCATATTTACATATGATTGATTATGTATCCCTTTTGCTTTTCAGTGTCTTCTCAGAAACAAGCAGCCTTGAAGGTAATTACACATTCATTTCTGTTTTGAACTGTTAACTATATAGTCTGTGAAATATATTTTATGTATTGATTATTTTGTTTCAAATCCCATTCAGGCTACAAGTGATAAGAAAGATTCTGTTTTGAATATAGCCACAGAAATAAAGGATGGACAAAAATCTGGGGCAGGTAATTTTGCAAAACACATTTAATGTCATGTTCACTCAGGATAGAAGAGAACTTCTCTTCCTTGAATAAATCGCAGGGGGCTCATTGAATCTGCACATTCTGATTCAGGAGGCCTGAGATTCTGCTTTTGTAATAACTTCTTGGGTGACGCTGATGCAACTGGTCCTTGGCCATGATCTGTGTAGTAAGATTATATTCTTCCCCACAGTGAAACTGGCAAGAACGACTGGAGAGCAGTGCAAGATATAACAGGTTAAGGGACAGCATATTCTTGCTTTAATTCTACAGCATGTTTCCATCGTAAAGGGAAGGAGAAAGAGATTAAGTGATAAAAATTATAGGCATCAGATCATATTGTTAAAACCAGATGGAAGAAGTGATTGGAATAACCCATAAACAATGTAGAAAGAGAATTGAGACCTCTGATGTGGTAATTATTTTACTCAAGGAAGAGGGATTGAGCGGCAAGAAGGAGGGAAAAGAAGATGTTATTTATGTAATTTTGGGGTTTCTGCTGCAGAAACCTGATGGGACTCACTTCAGATGCATTTGGAATATTTGCATAAAAGAAGATTAGATTTTGGCTGCTCCAGGAACTACTGGAAGCAGGATAGAGTGTTAGAATTGTGGTGACCCACAGTGACTCATTACCCCTCTTTGTTACTATTGGGCATGAGAGATATATGTTTTGTTGGTATTAGCTATTCAAATAGGATAATCATGAATATGTATACATTGGCTTTGTTTTTCAAGGAACTAACTTTTGGATAAAATAGCAATTTAATGAAAATACTTTAGAGAATAACATGATCCTTCAAACCAGACTATTTTGGAAACAAAAATAATGTTGAATTCATTAACTGACTCCTAAAGTGGTTATTTTCAATGAATATCAGAGCAATTTCCAAATGGAAAAGCTTATTCATATTTAATGCTTTTAGTAACTTTATTTTGTATAAGTTTGCCAAATTTGATGGTTTATTATACTTTTTGATGAGGTTTATATATTATACCTTCTTGCCATGAATGGATGAAGAAACTTTCTGAAGGCTAAACTAGAGGATTCAAGAAATGTAGGCACATTATGACACCACAGAGGTGTGAGAAATAAAGAATATTTTATACTAGGATTCACCAAACATATATTTAAGCTGATCAGTTCGGGACACTTCCACAGAGCACTTGGGAAGTGTACATTCAACTAAAGTGCCATTGTCATTGTGAACCTGCTCAATTGTCAGGCAAGTTTAAGAGCATGCTAAATATTTGTAGTATAATGATATAAATCCCTCTGATGTCTTACATGAAAAACATGCAGGAGCATTAATCACCTGCTTCGACATTGATTCCCAAGTGTATGAGCTGCTGCTCTGATTTTAGATCACATTTGTCCTCATCACTCGGCATATCCACATTGATGTAGACACTGTTTTATTGTAGTAATTGACATATGAAGAATAATATCACATATGAAATTGGAAATGTTTGTTTCATGAAGACTATACTTCTGTTTTCTACATTGTAATTCTGTCATGTTCCTGTCCCAATACACAAAGTAGAAAACATCAAAGCCTACGCTAATTCAGGCAGGAGGATACAGCTTGATGGTAACACTGCATGAATGTATGGATAACTTTATCATATTTACATATGAGTGATTATGTATCCCTTTTGGTTTTCAGTGTCTTCTCAGAAACAACCGGCCTTGAAGATATTACACTCTCATTCATATTTTGAATTATTAACTGTATAGTCTATGAAATATACTGTATGTATTGATTATTTTGTTTGAAATCCCATTCAGAATACAAGTGACCAGAAAGACTCTGTTTCGAACATAGCCACAGAAATAAAAAATGAACAAAAGTCCGGGACAGGTAATTTTGCAATACACATTTAATGTCATGTACACTCAAGATAGAGGAGAACTTCCCTTCCCTGAATAAATCAGCAGGGGGCTCATTGAAGCTGCACATTCTGATTCAGCGGGCCTGAGATTCTGCATTTGTAATAAGTTCTGGAGTGATGGTGCTTCTGCTGATTTTTGGCCATCATCTGAGTAGTAAGATTATAGACTTCCCTGCATTGAAATTGGGAAGAAGAACCATTGGAGAGCAATTCAAGACATAACAGGCTGAGGGGACAGCATAATTTTGCTTTAATTCTACAGGATGTTTCCATCCAGAGGGGAAGGAGAACAAGATGAAGTACTAGAAATTATAGGCGCCAGATCACATTGCTAAAACCAGAGGGAAGAAGTGATCGTAATAAGCCATAAACACTACAGAATGAGAAGTAACGAGACCGCTGATGTAGTAATTATTTTCCTCAGGGAAGAGGGATTGTGAGGCAGGAAGAAGGGAAAAGAAGTTATTTATTTAATTTTAGGGTTTCTGCTGAGGAAACCTGAGGGAACTCACTTCAGATGCGTTTAGAATGTTTGCATGAAGGAAGATTTGATTTTGGCTGCTCCAGGGACTACTGGAAGCAGGATAGAGTGCTAGAATTGTGATAAACCACAGTCACCTGTTACCCCTCTTTGTTATTATTGGATATCAGAGATATATGTTTTGTTGTTATCAGTTAAATGAGATAAATGTAAATATGCATACACTGGCTTTGTTGTTCAGAGAGCTAACTTTTGGATAAAATATCAATTTAATGAAAATACTTTAGAGAATAACATGATCCTTCAAACCAGACTATTTTAGAAACAAAATAATGTTAAATTCTTTAATTGACTCCTAAAGTATTTATTTTTAATGAATAGTGATTTCCCAATGCACAACCTTATTCATATCTAATGCTTGTAGCAACTTTATTTTGTGTAAGTATATCAAATTTGATAATTTTTATTCATTTTGATTAGGTTTGTATATTATACCTTGTTCCCATGAGTGACTGACAAAACTTTCTGAAGGTTAAACCAGAAAATACAAAAGTGTAGACTCATTATTATACCACATGGGTATGAAAAATAATGAATACCATATAATAGGATTCACCAAACATAGATCCAAGGTGACCAATTCGGCACACTTCTACTGAGGAGCTTTGAAGTGTACATCATCTAAAGTGTAATTGTCATTGTGTACCTGCTCAATTGTCAGGCAAGTCAAAGAGCACGATGAATATTTGTAGTATAATGGTTTAAATCCTTCTGATGTCTTGTATGAAAGACATGCACAATTCTGGCTCACTTCAACTTTCACCTTCGGGGTTCAAGTGACTCTCCTGTCTCAGTCTCCTGTGTAGCTGAGTTTACAGGTGTGCACCACCAACCTGGTAATTTTTGTATTTTTACTAGAGACCGGCTTTCACCATGTTGGCCAGGTTGGTCTCGAACTCCTGACCTCAAGTGATCCACCCACCTCGGCCTCACAAAGTGCTGGGATTACAGGCATGACCCACCTAGCCCTGTCTACATGATTTTTTTTTAATTTTTTTAACTTTTTAAAAATAAAGATAGAATGTTTCTGTGTTGCCCAAGGTGGTCTGAAACACCTGGGCTTCTCAAGTGATACTTCTGCCTGAACCTTTTGAGTAGCTGAGATTATAGGAACAAGTCACTGTGCTCTTTTATGTTTTTAATATTTTATAGGTTCCTATTGATTTAAAATGCATTTTACTTTTTGTTTAATAGTGCTTCCTGCTGTTGAACAGTGTTTAAACAGGTATGATTTCATAGATTTTTTAAAGTGATATGTTAACTTAGTGAATAGAGAGAATAGAAACTAGTATCCATTTAGTGTTCTACTCTGTGCTAGACACCATATTACATGCTTAATATTTATCATGTCATGTCATCTCCACACAGCTTTACAAACTATTTGTGCTATTATTGCTTTTTCACTAATTAGGCAACTCTGCTTTAAAGAGGTTGAAATATTGGCTCATGATTCCACAGTTAACAGGTAGCCAACCCATGATTTGGCCATCATCCTGCCTGGCTCTCTAATCACTTCATTTGCCCCTAAGCATAGATGGATACAGACCTATGCAGCAATGGGGCCACGGTACTGGTGTAACTCAGATCAATTTAGAAAGTCACATTTTGTTATATATTAACTCTCTTTAGAGTATTTCTTAGAAGCCTGGATACTCTAAAAGTTTGTCCAAATATTTTGGAAATGGCAGTGGTAACAACATTACATTTTTTTTAACCATCAAAATTTTAAAGGCAGGTATCAGTTACCTGTGGCCACAGGAACCTAAGATTTTCATAAGCAAGACCAGGCCAGTCCTAGAAAAAATATCGTCTTACTGTGCATGGAGATTATCTAAATATAGACCATGTTATGTTAACTATATTTAGCATATATTAAAAGGATATTTCTAATTCATTTCTCTACTTACTGCCTACCCACTTAGGTTTTCTCTTTAAGTGAGTACACTGCCTAGTTCGCTGAAGATTTTTCTTATTCTCTGGATTCTTTTATTTCCTTCTATGACATTTTAATAATAGTTTCTTGATTGCTTTTTACTTCTCTTCTGCTTTTCTTATGATCTTCTATTATAGTTTTCGTGAACGGCAGCTAAATATTTCTCATTTTCCTTTAGACAAAATCAGAGGTGCATAGAATTTGAGAATGTTAAGAAATCCTAGAGACTAAACAAAATACCCTCTAGTACTTGAATCCTTGCTTAACATCCTGATCAAGTGGTTGTTCAGGTGGAGAACCTGAAACTCAAAGAGAGAAAATTATTTGGATACAGTAAATCAGAGAAATGAGAATTGCACTCAGGTTTCTTAGTTCAAAACCCAGTCTTCTTTTACATCATTCTGTCATTGAGTGATTTTAGTTTTAGAAAGAGGGAGTGGCTCTAGTGAACACAGTGGAAGAGGATGAGAATGGAATGAGCTGTTGAACCCAATGAAAGTGGATAAGAATGGAATTTCCAGGGGACAGCCAAATTTGAAGAGAAACAAACTCTTAGTTGGATAGAAATGAGGGTTTTAGGAAAAAATCTGAATATTTGGTTTAATGCAAGTTTGATAAAGATAAGGGAATTGAAAACACAAGATGTTGAGAGCTATCAAGAAAGACATATTAGAATACGGCATTCAAGGAGTTCTGAAGAGGTTGCTGCCTTTTTGTTTGTTTAACTGGAGGAACTGACAAACTTCAAGGTTTTATTGAAAAATGTTAAAAGAATTTGAGCCACTGGAAAGAGTCTCTGGAGCAGATAGGAATGTGGTATCGTTTTCTTCCATCCCAGCTTACAGAGAGCTTAGAATCCCTCAAGAACTAGGGAGCTGGACATTGCTTAAGTACATAGATCTGTGACCCAGGGTGGATGTCCCTTATTTTCTGACTCTTTTCTCAATGCTCTCATGTACATGTAGGGTAGGGCAAATGTAGGATTGGCTGGCAAACCAGCAATGAAGCTTCATTTGGGTAGTTGGTAACATGTGTATGCTTGGGGTGGATGACTGAGACTAACTTATTTTCCAGAAGCAGAGGAATAGAGAGCTCCTACTCTCCATTATGTTAGCCCATCTTTTGAGGAATCTGGGCTTTCCTAGGCTGAAGATGTAGATTGGAGATTGCCATGGATACCTGCAGAAGAGTGATCCAGAAGTGGGAGCCCATAGGAAGGAAGATATTTAGATAGTGATGAATGAAATGGAGCTGTAAGTACTTAGGAGGGAGACTTTTCCAGCAGTCTCTCTCTTGGGTATCTGAGTGTCTATGAAGTGTCTTTATTCAGGGGATTAGGCATGTTTTTTTTAGAGAAATTGTTTTTGTGATATTTCCTATCTGCTTTTGTCACTTTGCTTTTGTCTAAGTACATAATATTTATAATATTTATAAATTTATTATTTACACTTTAATACCAACATTTTTTATTTATTTTGTTTTATTAATAGGAGCTCTAATTCATATTTCATAGCCACCTTTGTATAGACAAAAGAACTGAAAATTAAAAAAATTTTCAAAGGTGAAGGAAAAATAAACTTTCTAGTTCATGGTAATTATTGTTTATACTACTTTGTATATTCTTGCCTGTTTTTCTCCATTTACTGTGATTGAACTTTTATCTTTTAAATCAAATAACATTGAATAACCACAGTATTGCAAGGCACTTTGGGATGGAACAGTTGAGTCTATTTTTATTTAGCTGTTAACCTCAGCAGATTTATAATCTAGTAGAATGCAAAAATCCCCTTTTTGCGTGTCCTCAATACAAGTGGGAAGCACTTAGTAGGCACTTAATTATTTTATGTTGTGTGTGTGAATGAAGGCTTCTGCCTTTAGAGGGCTTATCTGGTTTGGGATGAGATAAATTATGAACATTTTGAAAATTCAAAGAGAACAAGACAATAATTATGTCACAGTCCTAATTAAATGAGATTAATTATAGGAGGTGTTTGGTGGAGTACGTGATACGTATTCAGTATGCTAAAGTCCTTATTTTCTTGACTTTTTGCTGAACATTAATCTAAGTCTCATAAAGTGTTAAAATATGTACATACAGAGGTTTTTTTGTTTTGTTTTTAAATAGAAAATAAATGCTCTTGGAATTCAGAGAAGGGATTACTGTGGTGTGTGTAGGCTTAGACTAGGACATTGGTAGAATCTGAAAATGAAAGGGCATTTGGAGAGGTAGGAGAGAGAAGAGCATAAGCCAAGGCATGGAGATGGGAAAGTTCAGGTAGCATCTGAAGACTAATTGTCTACTTATTTTTTTAAAAATATAAAATTGTGAGTTTCGTTCTTTCCTTTGCCCACCCTCCTCCCCTCTGTTGCCCAGGCTAGAGTGCTGTGGCGTAGTCTCAGTTCATTGCAACCTCTGCCTCCCAAGTTCAAGCGATTCTTGTGCCTCAGCTTCCTGAGTAGCTGGGGCTACACTTTTGAGCCACCACACCTGGCTAATTTTTATATTTTTAGTAGAGACGGGTTTTCACCATGTTGCCCATGGCTGGACTCAAACTCTTGAGTTCAAGCAATCTGTCCATCTAGGCTTCTCAAAGTGCTGGGATTACAGGCCTGAGCCACTGCACCCAGCCTAATTGTCTACTTTGATTGGAGCATAGGAAGTGTGAGTAGGAATGTGGAAGACAAAGCTAGATAGAGGGGATGGGAACAGATTGTCGATAGCCTTGTTCCATTGGGAAGAGTTTGGGCTTTATGTAGTTCCTTAAGATTTATGGATTCATAATTTATACAATAACGACTGAATGTTTTAAATATGAGAAGTGTTGCCTATTGAAGAATACTTCTTTAGAGATTATATACCTATCAACAGATGATCATTTTGATTTAAAACATGTTAAAAACTCTTTTGGAGCTAACCATAAACAAAATCATACATTATAGAAGACTTATCATTTGCAAGTAATACTTTCTGAGAGCTCTGTAAATCCTCAGATTTTAAGATTAAGACATCTTTTTGTGGAATTCTTTATCTGAATTATATTTCCATTGAGAGTAATACGTTATGTTTCTTACATGTGCGCATATTCTACAGGTTAATATCCTTTTCAACTTCAATGAAGGTTTTATTTCACTTGAATCCTTTTTGCTCAGGTTAGAGCGTTTGCTGAATTAGTTCAGTGATTTTTGGTGGGGGAGGTACAGAACATTTCTGTTCTTTTTCTGGTTAAGAGCTGCCATTTTCTTAGTTCTTTCATTTTTCTTTCTTTCTGGGGGCAGAGGGCATTTTACGTCAATAGATTTAGTTTTTTTTCTTTTTTCTTTTTTCTTTCGAGATGGAGTCTCCCTCTGTCACCCAGGCTGGAGTGCAGTGGTGTGATATCTGCTCACCGCGAGCTCTGCCTTCCAGGTTCACGCCATTCTTCTGCCTCACCCTCCCGAGTAGCTGGGACTACAGGCGCCCGCCACCACACCCAGCTAATCTTTTTGTATTTTTAGTAGAGACAGGGTTTCGCTGTGTTAGCCAGGATGGTCTCGATCTCCTGACCTCGTGATCCACCCGCCTCGGCCTCCCAAAGTGCAGGGATTACAAGGTTGAGCCACCATGCCCAGCCTAGTTTTTTTTTTTCTTAAAGTGTTTAGAGTCATTGCCTTTTAACTTTAATACAAATGCTTGGCTGGGCATGGCGGCACACACCTGTGTGCCCAGCTCCTTGAGAGGCTGAAGCAGGAGAATCGCCTGAGCCCAGGAGGTCAAGACTACAGTGAGCTGTGATTGTGCCATTGCACTCCAACCCTGTCTCAAAAAAACTTCCAAAAACAAATGCTTGATGTTAGGCTAGACTCATGTATTTAGCCCCTAGATTGGGCCTCTAGCTTCTCCTTTGCCTTAACAAAGTATCTTCTGGGTAGCTCTCAAAACAGTGCTAACCATGAATGTTAAATCTATGAATGTCATACTGTCTCATACCATAAGTCTGCAGAATTCCTCCCTTGATTGATATCTTATTCTCTCTTTTTGTCTGCATATGTGTATATGTACATATACAGTTATCCTTCGATGTCTGTAGGGGATTGGTTCCAGGAACTCCCCCATCCAATACAAAAAACTGAATTCTCAAGTTCCAATTTTCTTATATAAGGTGGCATAGTATTTGCATATAAACTATGCACACCCTCCCATATACTTTAAATCATCTCTAGATTGTTTATAATACTTAATGTAAATGCTGTGAAAATAATTGTTATACTGTATTTTTAAAATTTTGTGTTTATTGTTTATTGAATGTTTTTGATAGATGGTTGATTGAATCTGCAGATGTAGAACTCATGGATATGAATGGCTAACTGCATGTGTGTGTGTGTGTGTGTGTGTGTGTGTGTGTGTGTAAATTAAAAAAGAAAAACAGAATTTCTAGCCCTTTGAGCAAACATAAGGAACATTTATAAAGAGTTGAAAGATAGGAAGATGTGCTGAGGGAATTTAACTGACTGATTCAAGTTCTGAGGTAGCCTTTGGGATCTCAAGAAACCTACTGATGTACATTTATTTATAAGCTGCCATAAGGTGATAATGTGGGTGTAATTAATTTAGTGCTTTAAGTGAGAATTTGGGCAGTTGAGGGTTTTCTGTATACGAAATTCTGTGTTTGTAATCTTACATTTAGGGATGGAGAGATTGCTTTTGAAAGAATATACCAGTATCTCCTATAGCATTTCAGAGGTAAAATGTTATCTAGAAGGATCACTTGAGCCCAGGAGTTCAAGGCTGTAGTGAATTATGATCATGCCACTGCACTCCTAACCTGGCAGCAAAGAGAGACCCTCATCTCTAAAAAACATAAAATGAAATTTATCTTTATTTTCAATATAATCCATAAGTGCACATCTTATCTTTTTTGAAATGTAACAATAGATAAAGAAATACAATGGTACAGTAATTTTATTTATTAGGAAAATTTCAGGAGACTCACTAGTTTGTTAAAATGTAAAACTAGGCCGGGTGCGGTGGCTCACGCCTGTAATCCCAGCACTTTGGGAGGCCAAGGCAGGGATATCACCTGAGGTCAGGAGTTTGAGACCAGCCTGGCCAACATGGTGAAACCCCCTCTCTACTAAAAATACAAAAATTAGCCAGATGCATTGGTGGGTGCTTGTAATCCCAGCTACTCTGGAGGCTGACATAGGAGAATTGCTTCAACCTGGGAGGCGGAGGTTACAGTGAGCCAAGATCGTGCCACCATATTCCAGCCTGGGCAACAGAGCGAGAGTGTCTCAAAAAAAAAAAGTAAAACTAGCTGTAGAATAAATACCAGATTAGAATACAGTTTTTAGGCTTGGTGCAGTGGCTTATGCATGTAGTTCCAGCACTTTGGGAGGTCAAGGTGAGAGGATTGCTTGAGGCTAGGAGTTCAAGACCAGCCTGGCAAAATAGCAAGACCCTGTCTCTACCAAAAAGGTTAAAATTAGCTGCATGTGGTTGTGTGTGCCTATAGTCCCAGCAACTTGGGAGGCTGAGGCAGGAGAATTGCTTGAGTTCAGGATTTCGAGGCTGTGGTGAGCTATGATTGCACTCCAGCCTGGGCAACAGAGTGAGACCCTGTCTCAAATAAATAAACAAATAAATGAATAAGCAAGCAAGCAAGCAAGCAGTTTTTAAGTTGAACATCAGTTCTCTACTTGACTCCAGAGTTAAATAGGCATCCAGTTGCTTTTTGTGTTTACTTTTATATTCACTGCTTTTGCCTGCAGCAGTGTTTCTGTTTCTAAGTAAATATAACATATGCTACTGGTTACTCATATGTCTTAGGCAACATATGTTTCATTCACTGTATTGTTAGTTCTGTTTTGTTTTGTCACTGCTTTAGTCCCAGTACCAATAACTGTGCCAGGCACAAAGTAGGTGTTTAGTTAATATTGTTAAATGAACAAATACAAATATTTGATTTTATCACTTGAATCCTCATTTATTAGTACTGCACTATCTTTTCTTAGCTGTTTTTGTGAACATATGTGTACTGCTCTTTTATCCTAACTAGATTGGAAGTACATTGTGGGTAGAAACTTGGTTTCATTTGTTTTTCCTATATTCTCCTTTACAGCAGTTTAGACCTGATGGGAAGTAGGTATTTCCCAAACATGTGATTGAATTGAAATACATTGGTAGATTTCATTTTATCAGGAGACTGCCAAAAGTATAGTCATAAATAAGGAATTTGGAAGAGAATCAAAAAGCTAGTATGCACTCATCTGTCAGCTTGAAGGCCTGTATGACTCCACAGTTCTGTGGAGTAAAAAAGGTAGCGTTCTGGGACTATTCTTTGCTGCTGCTGCTTTTTTTTTTTTTGAGACAGTTTTGCTCTGTCATTCAGGCTGGAGTGCAGTGGCATGATTTCGACTCACCACAACCTCTACCTCTCGGGTTCAAGCAGTTCTCCTGCCTGAGCCTCCTGAGTAGCTGGGATTAAAGGTGCTTGACACCACACCTGACTACTTTTTTTTATATTTTTAGTAGAGATGGGGGTTTTACCATGTTGGCCAGGCCGGTTAAGAACTCCTGACCTCAAGTGATCCACCCGTCTTGGCCTCCCAAAGTGCTAGGATTACAGGCATAAGCCACTGTGCCTGGCCTCTGGGACTGTTCTTTTCCTTGCTCCTTAACAGACTATTTCCTGCTTTTTGTTTTGTTTTGCTTTGTTTTTTTATTTTTGGCCTTCTAACTGTGTTGCAAATGGTTTAAGTCAGTGGTTCTCCAAGGGTGGTCTCAGATCAGCAGCATTATCACCTGGGTACTTACTAGAAATGCAAATTCTTGGGCCCCACTCCAGACCTACTGAATGAGCAACTCTGAGGGTAGAACCTAAAAAACTGTGTTTTAACAAGTCATCTGGGTGATTCTGATGGTAAAGTTTGATGTCACCAAATGATAATGACACTTTTGTGTGTGTGTGTGTGTGTGTTGGAGTCTCGCTCTGTCACCCAATCTGGAGTGCAGTGGCATGATCTTGGCTCACTGCAACTTCCACCTCCCAGGTTCAAGTAATTCTCCTCTCAGACTCCTGAGGAGCTGGGACTACAGGCACACGCCACCATGCCAGGCTAATTTTTGTATTTTTAGTAGAGATGGGGTTTCATCATACTGGTCAGGCTGGTCTCGAACTCCTGACCTCAGGTGATCCACCTGCCTGGGTCTCCCAAAGTGCTGGGATTACAGGCATGAACCACCGTGCCTAGCCTGATAAAGACACTGTCGTTAAGAGAGAGGGCTAGAGGCAGTGATTATGTGCCAGAGAAAACTAGCAGCCTAGATTTAAGAGGATAGTATAATCCAAAGCTTTTCAGAAGGAATAGATATATTTTATAGAAGGCATTAAGACATAAAGCAGATTATTGAAACTTCATTGTACACTGTAACCATATAATTGGCCTTTACTTATATATTTCTTCTTTTACTTTGAAGTTTGTTTTCATATCAAAAGTTGAGAATGTAAAATTATTCAAGCTTTATAATATTTTATTTTAGATTTGTGTAAAAGTGAATGCTCTTTATATTCCATAGCAAGTAACTGAAAAGCTACTGAAAAGTGTCCAACCCAAGAATTTTGTGTATTTTTCATTTTGAATATACTTCTCAGTGATTTCATTTTTGAATCCTAGCCCTTTTAAATTTTAGAATACAAGGTAGTTTAAAATGGCTTCAATAAGGCTGGGTGCGGTGGTTCGCACCTGTAATCCCAGCGCTTAGGGAGACCGAAGTGGGTGGATCACGAGGTCAGGAGTTTGAGAACAGCCTGACCACCATGGTAAAACCCTGTCTCTACTAAAAATACAAACATTAGCTGGGCGTGATGGTGCACACCTGTAATCCCAGCTACTCAGGAGGCTGAGGTAGGAGAATTGCTTTGACCCTGGGAGGCTGAAGTTGCAGTAAGCCAAGATCGCACCACTGCACTCCAGCCTGGGTGACAGAGGGAGACTCCGTCTCAAAAGAAAAAAAAAGGGTTGGGGGGCTCTAATAAATTAAGTGGTACATTTTAAATAATTGTTTATTAGATACTGTGTATGCAGATAAACCTGTTTAAATATAGAAGATTTATATTCCTATTTACATGTATTCTTTTGACAAATTAGAATTGAAAATTATATGAAAATAGATTTTCAGCTGGGCGTGGTGGCTCACGCCTGTAATCCCAGCACTTTGGGAGGCCGAGGCAGGCGAATCACGAGGTCAGGAGATCGAGACCACGGTGAAACCATGTCTCTACTAAAAATACAAAAAATTAGCCAGGTGCGGTGGTGGGTGACTGTAGTTCCAGCCACTCAGGAGGCTGAGGCAAGAGAATGGTGTGAACCCGGGAAGCGGAGCTTGCAGTGAGCTGAGATGGTGCCACTGCACTCCAGCCTGGGCAACAGAGTGAGACTCCATCTCAAAAATAAATAAATAAATATAATAAAATAAAAAATTAAATAAAAAAACTTTCTTTCTGTCATGAAGACTTAAATAGTAAAATATCTTCCTTCTATTATTTTTATCTTTTTTGTTTATAATGGTTAGGAAGTGAATATCTAATTTTCTATACTGTGAAAAATACGTATAAAGTATCATGGAAGTTCAAAATTCATTTTCCTTGAAGATAATTGCAAAGTTTTCTTCTTCAGAAATATATCCTGTTATCATTAGGTTTAGTTGTACTGATAAATGGCAGTTGATGATTTGTAATTTTTTAAACATATTTTATTCATAACAGTTTTTTTTTTTTTTTTGAGACGGAGTCTCATTCTGTTGCCCAGGCTGGAGTGTATTGGTGTGGTCTCGGCTCACTGCAGCCTCCACCTCCTGGGTTCAAGCAATTCTCTGCCTCAGCCTCCCAAGTAGCTGGATTACAGGCACCTGCCACTACACCTGGCTAATTTTTTTTTTTTGTATTTTTAATAGAGATGGGGTTTGACGGTCTTGGCCAGGCTGGTCTTGAACTCCTGACCTCGTGATCCACCCGCCTTGGCCTCCCAAAGTGCTAGGATTACAGGCATGAGCCACCGCATCCTGTTTTTTTTTTTTTTTTTTTTTTTTAAGGTGGAGTCTCACCATGTTGCCCAGGCTGCAGTGCAGTGGTGTGATCTCTGCACACTGCAACCTCCCCCTCCCGGTTTGAGTGATTCTTCTGTCTCAGCCTTCCGAGTAGCTGGGAATACAGTGCCTGGCTAATTTTTGTACGTTTAATGGAGACAGGGTTTCACCGTGTTTGCCAGGCTGGTCTCAAACTCCTGACCTCAAGTGATCCCCCCCACCTCAGCCTCCCAAAATTCTGGGATTACAGATGTGAGCCACTTGTCTGACCTATTTTCCTCTTTTTCTTTTTACCTTTTTTCCTTTCCTTTTTTTCTTCCTTTCACTGTTTTCGTCTTTATGTCTCTCACCCTCACCCTTCCTCAGTTCAATTCAAAGAGCAATATACTGCCATATCTGGAGAATTTTTAGCTGGAATTTAATCTTTATTTTAAAAGAGTAAGAATTTATACCATTATTATGTTTTCAACTGAGGTCGTTTTACAGAAGGAATTCTTTTTTTTATGTAGGAATGTGTTTTAAGACTTTTTGTTTCTAACGTCTAAGTTTCATAGAGAAAAAAAGGTAAAAGATTGACATTATTCTCATAGTCTTTTACTCTTTTCTCAAAGGTTCAGGTCCTAATTTTCTTTCAATTATACTAATTTATTTAAGCAGTCTCCTTTAGGTGGTCATTTGGGTTGTATACATATTCTTGTCTGTGTTTTATCAGTCATTTATTATTTAATTTCACATATGTGCAAGTATATATTTGAAGGATAGCATTCTAAAATTGCTGAGTTAAAGGGTATATGCATTTACAAACTTGACAGATATTACCAGTTGTCCTCTATAAAGTGAAACTGGTTTATATCACCACAGCTAACATATAAATGTCTGTTTTCTACCATATTATTAAATTACTGAACTTCATCCATCTGATGGAAAAGGAGAAATCTGATTGTACCTTACTTTTTATATTTTTAATTTTTTTATGAGATGTCTTGGTATGTTGGCCAGGATGGTCTCAAACTCCAGCCTCAAGCAATCCTCTCACCTCAGTCTCCCAGAGTTCTGGGATTACACGCATTAGCTACCATGCCTGGCCCTGATTACCACCCCACCACTCACCCACCGCCCCCCCCTTTTTTTTTTTTTTTGAGACAGGGTCTCAGACTCTGTCACCCATGTTAGAGTGTGGCAATGTGATCACTGCTCACTGCAGCCTTGGCCTCCTGGCCTGAGGTGATTCTCCTGCCTCAGCCTCCCAAGTAGCTGGGACCACAGACACATGCCACCATGCCTGGCTGATTTTTTAAATTATTTGTAGGGACGTGGTCTCACTGTGTTGCACAGGCTAGGCTCAAACTCCTGAGCTCAAGTTATCCTCCCGCGTCAGCCTCCCAAAGTGCTGTGATTACAGGGCTGAGCCACTGTGCCCAGCCTCTGATTATACTTTTAATTGTAATTTATCTTATGCTTGAAGTTGAACGTATACAGTAAAGACTTTACGGTATTGTAGGCTGAAGTTTCAGAATCATCCAGGACCAATGATGTTAGCAGAAATGCAAAACTAGCCAAGGAGTATCGAGAGGACAAAATTGATAACTGATATTGTTATTACCTTCAAAGTTTGATTGCATTGGTTAGCTTATTGTTTTTATTAAAGTCATTTTAAAGAGCATATAAAGTTCTATGCCAAAGCGTGTTTGGCCTGACAAGTTGGGCTGTCACTTCCTTTTGACAAGACTCATTTTTATCAGCTTTAAATGCATGTGTCATTACTATTCTGGTTAGATAACATAATTATCCTACTGCAGAATATATAATTTCAAGAGTCTTGTGGATATTTGATGCCTTTTCCTCTGAAAACAATGGAATTGTTTTCAAACCACTTTTATTTCAGTAAGATAAATGTAATCCTTCCTTTAATTGTAATGCAAAATTTAAGAGCACATTGAAATGAAAACAAAAGCTTAACACTACCTACATTTTGAAAGTTGTAAGACACTAGATAAGTTAGATTTTATGTTTCTTGTGGTACCGCATAGAAACAAAGGTCATTCAAACTAAGTTTGAATGAGAATTAAGTTTAATGGCTCACTTGCTAAACCTGAGTTGCACAATTCTCACAATTCCTTAGGGATGTGGCAAGGTTATCCTTAAATGTAAAGTTTTTGCTCACTTAATGGAAAGCACTGTAGATATATAAATAACATTGTTACCTGTCTTAGTGGGTCAGTATAATAGGGGTGGTGGTACATGTGAAAATGGTGAAATTTATAGCTAGTTTTGAGGCCCTTATGACTTTTAAGAGGTATTATGAGTCACTTTAACAAGTTAGTGTTTGTGACATAGTTTCAATTTCTTATGTGAAAGACGTTATTTCAATTGTAAATGTTCTTTTAATATTCTGGAGAGCTACTCTTTCCTAGCCACTCAGTTTTACTGACTTTAAAAGTTGTTTACAGTTTGTTTCATGTTCAAATGTAGGGTTTTAGTAATTCCTTGGGGTGGGGGGCAGGAATGGGCAGAAGGCCATTGTCTCTAATTTTCCTTTTTCCAACTTTCACTTTCTTTTTTCTATGGATTACATGTCAAGGTGGGTGAGAAAAATGGGGGAGATTGAGAAAAGGGAGCAATTTATTGTTTGTAGGGGAGGTACAAAGTAAAGTCACTTAAGGAATCTGTCATAAAATTTAAATATATGATGAAGCTTGTGCAAGGGGATTATAAGAACTGATTTTACTTTAACCCTCCCTGCTTTATAAAAAGATCTTGTTGATGGCAAAAAGACAAACACTTTAGCAAATTGTCCTGTAAACCTTGCATTTGTTTGTATTAATATTAGTTGTTTTATTTAATTTTTTGATATGGAGTCTCACTCTGCTACCCGGGATGGAGTGCAGTGGTGCAATCTCAGCTCACTGTAACCCCTGCCTCCTGGATTCAAGCAATTCTCCTGTCTCAGCCTCCCGAGTAGCTGGGGTTACAGGTGCCATCAGACCCGGCTAATTTTTGTATTTTTAGTAGAGACAGGGTTCACCATGTTGGCCAAGCTGGTCTTGAACTCTTGACCTCAAGTGATCCACCCGCCTCAGTCTCCCAAAGTGCTGGGATTACAGGTGTGAGCCACCACACCCAGCAGTATTAGTTGTTTTATATTGTAGACTCTTAAATGATGTGGACTATGTGTTGTAAAATCCATACCCTGAAGTAAAATGCATTTAGATGGCCCCCACTTCCCTTTTTAACTTAAATCCTTTTTCCCCCTTGCAGTCAGTGCATTTTTATATTTGTACATACTTTGTGAGAAATGTGTAAAGGAAATATTTTTGCATCTAATTGTTCTAACTTCCAAAGATTCTTTACTGAGTTAAAAAAACTTTTTTTTTAGTCTAAACTGAATTTTGTCTGTCTTTCCCCTACTCAGGCCCAGATTGCCTTCCTACAGGGAGAAAGGAAGGGCCAAGAAAATTTGAAGAAGGATCTTGTGAGGAGGATCAAAATGTTGGAGTATGCTCTTAAACAGAAAAGGTAATTCAGTAAAATGAAAAGTGATATTCTTTTTTTGTTTGTTTGTTTTGAGACAGAGTTTCATTCTTGTTGCCCAGGCTGGGGTGAAATGGTGTGATCTTGGCTCACTGCAACCTCCACCTCCCTGTTTCAAGCAATTCTCCTGCCTCAGCCTCCCCAGTAGCTGGGATTATAGGCATGCACCACCACACCCAGCTAATTTTGTATTTTTAGTAGAGACGGGGTTTCTCCATGTTGGTCAGGCTGGTCTCGAACTCCTGACTTCAGGTGATCTGCCCACCTCGGCCTCCTAAAGTGCTGGCATTACAGGTGTGAGCCACTGGGCCTGGCCAAAATATTGGTCTCTTAAATGTTGGAATAAATTTTTCATCTTTCCTAAAATAAATTGAAATGTTAATACTGCTTGAGTTCAGGTGTGTCTGTAGTAAATATTTGTATGAATGGTTGTAATATGTTAATTTTATTATTAATAATTTAATAATGATCAAAAAACTGATTTATATGATTTCTTAAAAATTAGCAACATTTTTTTCCTACTCTGCCTGTTCTGAAGAAGCAGATGTGCTCCCTGAACTGTTAATACCCATTCATTTTAAAGTTGAAATAGTTTTTAATTTTTAAAGGAAGTTTCTATAATGTTTACTCCTTTTCCTGTCATTTAATATTATTCAATTTGATGTGTTTTCTTTAGAAAAAAATTGTTCTAGCTGACTATGTTAAGAGACTATGTTAAGATTCTATGTAGACATTTTTTTTTTTTTTTTTGGTTTTTTTGAAATGGAGTCTCACTCTGTCGCCCATGATGGAGTGCGGTGGTGCAATCTCGGCTCACTGCAAGCTCCTCCTCCAGGGTTCATGCCATTCTCCTGCCTCAGCCTCCCAAGTAGATGGGACTACAGGCGCCCGCCACCACGCCTGGCTAATTTTTTATATTTTTAGTAGAGATGGGGATTCACCATGTTAGCCAGGATGGTCTTGATCTCCTGACCTCGTGATCCCCCAATCTTGGCCTCCCAAAGTGCTGGGATTACAAGCGTGAGCCACCACTCCCAGCCTATAGACTTTTTTTGTGTATTTTACTCCTTTGCTGTCTTCCATTACAATCTGTCCAGAAGCTTATCTTACCTATTTTGTTAGTGTCTAAGATACTCCAGTAACTAAATTTGGGTCACAAGTAAAGGAAAATAGGTCGTGAGTGAGATTTTTGGAAGTTATATGAGTTATTTATTTGCTTTAATGAATATGCCTTGGATTTTTTTGTCAACAATCTGAGTTCATTTGTTTTAGATAACTGAGTACTTATAGGTGATATTGGAATTATCTATTTTGCTACTTTCTTGCTTTGTTTTTAATGATGCTTGTTTTGTTTTTCTCTTTTTGAAGTTGGTGAATGGGATATTTGCAATAAAATAGCATTTAGATGCAGTTAGATAAATAGATTATATTTATGAATAATGAGAAACAGATAAAATTTTATTAGAACTTATGTTCATCATCATGTAGAATCTTTAAATGGTGTAAGACATTGAAAATAGGTTGACCTCTTAGTGAAAAATACGTGTTTCTTTTCATACTTTGGGAAAGTTGATGAAAAGCTGTAGTAGGGACATGGAAAGAAAAAACATTTTTAGGCTGGGCGTGGTGGCTCACGCCTGTAATCCCAGCACTTTGGGAGGCTGAGGTGGGCAGATCACAAGGTCAGGAGATCAAGACCATCCTGGCTAACACGGTGAAACCCTATCTCTACTAAAAATATAAAAAAATTAGCCAGGCATGGTGGTGGGCGCCTGTAGTCCCAGCTACTTGGGAGGCTAAGGCAGGAGGATGGTGTGAACCCAGGAGGTGGAGCTTGCAGTGAGCCAAGATTGCACCACTGCACTCCAGCCTGGGTGACAGAGCGAGACTCCGTCTCAAAAAAAAAAAAATTTTTTTTAAAGTACATAATTTTGGAGTAGTGAGATTTTTTTTTTTTTTTGAGGTAGAGTCCTGTTTTGTTGCCTAGGCTGGAGTGCAGTGGTGTGATCTCGGCTCACCGCAGCCTCTGCCTCTCAGGCTCAAGCAATTCTCCTGTCTCAGCCTCCTGAGTTGCTGGGACTACAGGCGCATGCCACCATGCCCGGCTAATTTTTTTGCATTTTTAGTAGAGACAGGGTTACACCATATTGCTCAGACTGGTCTTGAACTACTGACCTCAGGTAATCCACCGCCTCAGCCTCCCAAAGTGCTGGGATTACAGGCGTGAGCCAATGTACCTGGTCGAGTATTTGAGATTTTTTTTTTTTTTTTTTTGATATGGAGTTTTGCTCTGTTGCCAGGCTGGAGTGCAGTGGCATGATCTTGGCTCACTGCAACCTCCACTTCCTGGGTTCAAGCAGTTCTCCTGCCTCAGCCTCCTGAGTAGCTGGGATTACAGGCGCTCGCCACCATGCCGAGCTAATTTTTGTATTTTCAGTAGAGACGGGGTTTCACCATGTTGGCTGGGATGGTCTCTATCTCTTGACTTCGTGATCCGCCTGCCTCAGCCCCCAAGGTGCTGGGTGGTGTGAGCCACCGCGTGCGGCCCAGAGTGGTTATTTTCATCTGGAAGATGAAAGTAGAAAGGAGTTCAGAGTAAGAGGAGGTGTGGCTTGAATAGCATCAAATAAGAAGGTGCTTGTGAGACAGACAAGGTGCAGGAAGTAGAGAGAACATGTTTGACATGGAACAAAGCAGTTTGGTGGGTTCAGAAATTTGTAATCTTTGTGTGTGGAGAGTAGGATGTTGGTTGTGGTCCTCCTCTCAGTTGATGACCGATAATGGTAGAGGGGGCAAGAGTCAGATCATAGAGAGCCTAACCAAGGAGTTCAAACTTTTACCTTACATGTAACAGGGAATGTGGGAGGTTTAAATTTTTTTTTGTTTTTTTTGAGACAGGGTCTTGCTCTGTTGCCAGGGCTGGTCTTGAACTCCTGGGCTCAAGCAGGCCTCCTGCTGTAGCCTCTCAAAGTGCCGTGATTATAGGCGTGAGTCACCATGCCCAGCCAAAAATTTTTTTTCTAAAATGATCTCAAACTAATAGAGGAGTTGCAAGAATCTAGTATACACTTTACCCAGATTCACCAATTGAAAATGTTTTGCTATATTTGCTTTATTCTATTAGCTCTCTCTATAGGTATCATTTTTTCCCCTAAATCATTAGCTAGTTTGTCCCTAACTACCTCTGTGTATATTTCCTAAGAACAAGGACATTTCCTTATGTGATTATAGTACATTACCAAATTAAAGAAATGTAACATTGATATTCTGTTATCTGATATAGTCTATATTCAGATGCTCTAAAAAATGATCTTTACAGCATTTTTTTTCCTGGTCCAGGATCCAATCTGGAAATATATACTGCATTTAGTTGTTAAGCGCTTGAAAGTTTTAAGCAAGATAGAGGATGAAATACATTTTAGAAAGATCTCCTGACCTCAGTGTGGGAGTGGACTGGAAAGATCTGTAAACACAGGCAGAAAGATTGTAATAGTCTAAGATGAGAAATGATAACACAGTAGCTGCTGAAATAGAGACACATCAACTATAAAAAAGATTAAGTAGAGTCCATGAAATCTGAAGCTTATATAAAAATTTGGAGATGGGACAGTGGGTGAGTGAGAAAGATAATTTGAGAACGACTCCCAGGTTCCTGGCTTGAAGGACTATCTGAATTATGAGAGACTTTTAGAAGGTATCAAATGAATTAAAAAGAAGAATTAAAGAGCAGATATGTGAGGGGGACACATGATGAGAGATATATGCTTGGGAATCATCAATATTATTGTGAATGAAGTGAAAGGAGTAGTTGATAGAACAAGTATTGTGGAAACAGAAGAGAGAACTAGAAAGAGTGACAGGAAGTAGAAATATTTGAAGAGAAGGCAGAGGAAGAAGAGCCAACAAAGAAATAGAGAAAGAAGGAGGAGAGAGTAGTATTTTGGAAGTGAGTTAAAGGAGGAAGTTCAATAACTGAAGATGCTAAGTAGAGTCCAAGTAAGTTGTATACTGAAAATAGTCATTTGGAGTTGCCATTTAGAAGCTTACTGGTACCCTTACTAAAGCAGCCTCAGTAAGGCAGCAGGAACATGAGCCAGATCACAGAGGATTGAGGGCTGAGAAGGATGAAGTGGGGAGAGATGGAGTTGCTTATTATTATTATTATTTTCTTTGAGACAGAGTCTTGCTCTGTCACCAGGCTGGAGTGCAGTGGCCTGATCTGCAATCTTCGCCTCCCAACTTCAAGCAATTCTAATCCCCCAGCTGAGTAGCTGGGATTACGGGCGTGCGTCACCACACCCCGCTAATTTTTGTATTTTTACTAGAGACGGGGTTTTGCAGTGTTGGCCAGGCTGGTCTCAAACTCCTGACCTCAGGTAATCCGCCCGCCTTGGCCTCCCAAAGTGCTGGGATTACAGGCATGAACCACCATACCCGGCCTGTATATTCATATTGTACCTGCAATAATACAGGGTACTGTGTTTCATGTATTACATAACGTATGTATTGCTTAAAGGATGTTTCTGTGTTCTGGAAGGTATCAGGGTAAGGTAAAAAGACCAACGCCTTTTTAAATTGTACCAACCTGAGTACCAGCTCTTTCCATTATTGACCATTTGCCTTTGAGGAAATTATTTGAGCACCTGGGCCTTAGTTTCCTCTTCTGCAAAATAATATCTGATATTAAGGAAATATTTGGTCTACTCTTACAACATGTTTGGATTTCATTATTTGAAGAAACTTGGATGTTCCAAGTCCTCATGGTTAAAAACTTGATTTGAAAACCCAGTATTAGGCTGGGCATGGTGGCTCATGCCTGTAATCATAGTTACTTGGGAGACTGAGGCAGGAGACTCACTTGAACCCAGGAGGCAGAGGTTGCAGCCAAAATTGCACCACTGCACTCTAGCCAGGGTGACAGAGTGAAACTCTGTCTCAAGAAATAAATAAATAAATAAATAAATAAGGAAGAAAGAAAAAAAAAACAGTATTGAGGTATAATAATGTGACTTTATTCAGGAGAGTCAGCGAAGCATAGTGGTTAGAAGTTCAAGATCCTGAGTGAGTTACAGAATTGATCCCTCCAAGCCTCACTTCCTTCATCTCTAAAATGATGGGAATAATAATAATAGGACTTCCTATATGGCACTGGTGTGAGGAGTAAGTGAGGTTAACCAGTAAAGCATCATCACTGTCATCATCCCTGTTTCTACAGCAACAACATTGTGAGGGAGTTTGCTTCTGTAACTATTTTCTGTTGTATACAGTAACATTTTATTTTTCAAAATTTTACTTTATACTAGAACATTTTAAATCTTAGAATATTAACAAGGATAGTATGTATTATCTGGGAACCCCCAAACAGGGTGGTAGGAAAGCACGAACTCATGGTATATTGACATCAACAGTGAAACACTTAAGAGCATCAAAATCATGAGTGATCAAACTCCAATGGAATTTATCTTAAATTTGACCTCGTTTCTGAGAAAATTTAATTTCTAAATAGCTAAATTTTCACTTTTTAATTTATGTCTTCTTTTTAAAACTCTCATTTGTGTCTCTAATTTTTGTTTTCTTCCTATTTTTTTTTATTTCCAACTTTTATGTTCAGGGGTACATGTGCAAGTTTGTTACATGGGTAACTTGAGGGTCATGGGGGTTTGGTGTACAGATAATTTTGTCACCCAGGTAATCAGCATAATACCTGATAGGTAGTTTCCCAATATTCATTCTTCTCCCACCCTCCGCCCTCAAATAGGCCTCAGTGTCTGTTGTTCCCTTATTTGTGTCTGTATGTACTCCGTGTTTAGCTCCCACTTATAAGTGAGGACATGCAGTATTTGGTTTTCTGTTTCTGCATTAATTCACTTAGGATAATGGCCTCCAGCTCCATCCATGTTGCAGCAAAGGCCATGATTTCATTATTTTTGTAGCTGCATAGTATTCCATGGTGTATATGTCACCCATTTTCCTTATCCAATCCACCATTCATGGGCACCTAGATTGATTCCATGGCTTCATTATTGTGAATAGTGCTGCAATGAACATACATATGCATGTATCTTTATGATAGAATAATTTATATTCATGTGGGCATATACCCAGTAATGGGGTTGCTGGGTCGAATGGTAGTCCTGCTTTAAGTTCTTTGAGAAATCTCCAGACTGCTTTTCACAGTGGCTGAACTTATTTACATTTCCACCAACAGTGTATAAGCATTCCCCTTCCTCTGCAACCTCACCAGCATCTATTGTTTTCGATTTTTTAATAATAGTCATTCAGACTGGTGTGAGGTGGTATCTCGTGGTTTTGATTTGCATTTCCAGGATGATTCATGACATTGAGCATTTTTCATATGTTTGCTAACCATGTGTATGTCTTTTTTTGAGAAGCGTCTGTTCATGTCCTTTTCCCATTTTTTAATAGGGTTGATTGTTTTTGCTTCTTCAGTTGTTTGAGTTATAGATTCTGGATATTAGACCTTTGTTGGTTGCATAGTTTGCAGATATTTTCTCTCATTCTGTAGGTTGTCTGTTGATTGAAATTTCTTTTGTTGTGCAGAAGCTCATTAGTTTTATTAGATCGCATTTGTCAATTTTTATTTTTATTACAGTTGCTTTTTTTTTTTTTGAGACAGAGTTTTCACTCTTTTTGTGGAGGGGAGTGCAGTGGGGTGATCTCAGCTCACTGCAACCTCTGCCTCCCGGGCTTAAGTGATTCTCCTGCCTCCGCCTCCCAAGTATCTGGGATACAGGCGCCCGCCACCAAGCCCAGCTAATTTTTTTGTATTTTTCATATAGATGGGGTTTTGCCATGTTGGCCAGGCTGGTGTTGAACTCCTGATCTCAGGTGATTTGCCTGCCTTGGCCTCCCAAAGTGCTGGGATTACAGGAGTAAGTCACCGCACCTGGCCTACAGTTGCTTTTTGACTTTGTCATGAAGTCGTTGCCTGGGCTGTTGTCTAGAATGGTATTTCCTAGATCTTCTTCAGGGTTTTTATAGTTTTAGGTTTCACATTTAAGCCTTTAATCCATCTTGAGTTGATTTTTGTATATGGTCAAAGGTGGGGGTCCAATTTCAGTTTTCTGCATATGGCTAGTCTAAGGCTATTTTTGATGTGCTTTCCTAGAGTAACTCTCAATTTAGAGGCTTCAGTGGTGAAAGAAGGTCAGGATGGATGTTAATCACACTTTTGTTTCTATTCTTTAGTTGGCTTAAACCTTTTCACTTCTTACATATCCTCTATGGTATCTGGAATATATCTATAATATGAGCCAAGAAGAACAGTGAGATAAGTTCAAATTACCATAAAACCCTAAAGAAGGGCTCTGTTATTTGGGCAAGTATAGTGTGGGAGAAAATTAGGGGAAGTGTAAAGATTATTAGGTATGTGCTAACTGAAAGGTAGCAGGATCTGTTTGTTGTTTTAGATGAGATAATGGCCTGTGAACAAGAGCCTTAAAACACTGACAGAAAAAGAAATAATAGTTTTGATAATACATAGAAGTGGAAACAACAATTAAAAGTGAAAATGACTGAATTTGGTTCAGTGCTCTACTATGCCCTTCTCAAAAAGAATTGGTCATTGCTATTAACTGCAATTCACCCTTTATTTGTTGTACCATATTTTAAAAGTATTCAATATTTAAAGCAGACACAATTAACCTGTCACCTTATTTGATTGTGCATCATATAGAATTTCCTTCTTACGTTTAATGTTTTACTATCTCTTATGTTTTCTTTACTGTATTGTGCTTCTTTGGTTTATTAAACATATTTTAAATCATATAAATAATAATGAAAGTTTACTTGCAAAAAAAGTCAAATGGTGTAAAAGAATATTATACTTTACCCCTCATTTCTCTTCTTTTTTTCTGAAATAACCATTGTCGTTAGTTTGATATATGTTCTCTCAATCCACATTAAATGGCAGTTACACATTTATCTGCTGTTTTATTTGACTTGTATGGGACCATACTATACATATATTGTCCTGCAGTGTGCATATATATATGTATTTATATTCATTACTTAGCAGTATGTTTTGAAAGCATTTCCTTGTCAGTACACAGAGATAGACCTTACTCATTTTATAGTTCTATATGTCCCATTGTTATGAACGCAGACCATAATTTCTTTTACCATTTTCTTTTTGAATAATGGAGCTATAGTACATCATTTTCCATATGTTCTTGTGTACATGTTTGAGTACTTTCAATTCCTAGGAGGGTCAAATAATAGGTGTATTTTAAATTGCCATAAATACTTACAAATTCTCTTCTGAAATGATAGCCAGTTGACCCACTCCAACCAATTATGTAAAAATCCTATTTCTTCACAGCCTAACTCATACTGGATATTGTTAATCTTTCAATGTTCTGGATGAAAACTGATATCAATGGTGTTTTCATTTGCATTTCGCTGATTGATAACCAGATTACATGTCTTTTCATATGATTATTGGCTATTTGTACTTCCTCTGTGACTTAACTTTTTACATCCTTTGACTATTTCTGTTGAGATCTTTGTTAATTGTGTTTGTAGGAACTCAATATATTATGGGCTTCAATTCTTAAACTCTTACATGTGCTGGAAATATGTTTCCCTGTCTGTCTCTTTGCCTTCTTTTAAAATAATTTGACTTTAAAAATCATAGTAAGCATTTGGTTTAATATAAAAGGTGATAATATAAAGCACAAGCTTATGAAGCAGTTCTTTTTATCACCTATTAGGCCTGTTCTCAGAGCCAACGTCTTTTAATCTTTTAGATGTATTTTACTTTTTATACTTCTAAATTATATGCTTCTATCTATTTTAGATATCATCTAGTGTATATATCTTCTCCTCATCCTTCCAATATAGATACATCACAATTTTTTGTTAGACCTGTATTCATTGTTTATACTAATATGACTATGGACAAATGTGTGGGGTTTTTTTTGTCTTTTTTTTTTTGGTGTTTTTTGAGACAGAGTCTCACTCTGTCACCCAGGCTGGAGTGCAGTGGCAGGATCTTGGCTCACTGCAGCCTTGAATTCCTGGGCTCAAGTGATCTTCCCATGTCATCCTTTCTAGTAAGGAGGACCACAGGCACTTTTTTTTTTCTTTTTTTTGGAGACAAGATGTCACTATATTGTCCAGGCTGGCCTCAAACCTCTGGCCTCAAATGATCTTCCCACCTTGGCCTTCCAAAGTACTGGGATTACAGGTGTGAGCCAGTGTGCCCAGCCTGGAAAATTGTTTAATGGTAAGACCAAAAATATTCTACGAGTATATGTTCTTTTCTTTCTTTTCTTTCTTTCTTTTTTTTTTTTTTTTTGAGAGAGAATCTGCTCTGTCACCCAGGCTAGAGTGTAGTGGCATCATCTTGGCTCATTGCAACCTCCGCCTCCCGGGTTCAAGCAATTCTCCTGCCTCAGCCTCCCAAGTAGCTGGGATTTTAGGCTCCCATCACTGCGCCCAGCAAATTTTTGTATTTTTAGTAGAGATGGGGTTTTACCATCTTGGCCAGGCTGGTCTCGAACTCTTGACCTTGTGATCTACCCGCCTTGGCCTCTCAAAATGCTGGGATTACAGGTGTGAGCCACTGCACCTGGATGAGTATATTTTCTTTCCTGTTCCCCTGTTCCCACCCAAAGTTAACAATTGCTTTATTTTTTTCCTATTTGTTTTTCCTACATTTCAAAAAATATTGGATTAACTGTTAATTCTGTTTTTTGTCCATGGGTACCAGGAGCTGTCTGTCTGTAGCTGTCATCTATACCTAGCTTTTTTGGCACAACTGTCTTCCTATCATTTTGCCCTCCTCCTGGGCCTTTTGTCTCTTCTATGTTGAATACGCTTTCTTTTTGGACCACATATTTTCTTCTCTATCTCATTTTGTTGGAGCACATGCTTTGAGATCCTCGATCTATAAAAAAATCTTTCCTCTGTCTTGTTACTTTTTTAATGGTTTACTTGAGGATAAAATTCAAGATTGGAAATAGTTTTATTTCACATTAAGCCTTTGCTGGAAATAGTTTTATTTCCCGTTAAACCTTTGCTCCATTGTCTTTCTTGCTCTGTCACCCAGGCTGGAATGCAGTGGCGCGATCTCAGCTCACTGCAACCCTCACCTCTCGGGTTCAAGTGATTCTCCTGCCTCATCCTCCCAAGTAGCTGGAATTACAGATGTGAGCCACTGTGCTTGGCCTTTTTTTTTTTTTTTTTTTTTCTGAGACAGAGTCTCACTCTGGTTGTCCAGGCTGGGGTGCGGTGGCGCATTCTTAGCTCACTGCAACCTCGACCTCCCAGGCTCAGGTTATTCTCCCACCTTGGCCTCCCGTACAGGCGCTCGCCACCATGCCTGGCTAATTTTTTATATTTTTATTAGGGATGGGATTTCTCTGTGTTGCCCAGGCTGGTCTTGAACTCCTGAACTCAAGCAATCCACCCACCTCAGCCTCCCAGAATGTTGGGATTATGGCTTGAGGCATGTTCCCGGCTACTCCACTGTCTTATGTTGTTGAGAATGCTGTTGCCATTTTTTCCATTCTATCCTAGATCCATTGTATGTGATCTCTCTCTTTTTTTTTTCTTTTGGTAACTTTTAGCATCTTCTCTTCATAATATTAATAAGTTTCAGGAGGGCTATCCTTGGTAAGGGATTTTATTTGTTTACAATCATTGTTCTAGGCATTATTAGGTAATTTTAAGTAACTTCATTTTTCAATTCTGGCTAAATTTTCTTGTTTTATTTTATAATTTCAGCCTCCCATTTTTTTTTTCTTTTTCTCCTATTGTTCTATGCTCTGGGGACATTCCTTAACTATTATCTTACAACCTCTCCATTGGGTTTTTGTTTCTGATGCCATGTTTTTAACTTCCACATGCTTCATTGGGCTGGGTGTGGTGGCTCATGCCTATAGTCCCAGCACTTTGGGAGGCTGAGGCGGGTGGATCACCTGAGGTCAGGAGCTCAAGACCAGCCTGGCCAACATGTCGAAACCCCATCTCTACTAAAAATACAAAAATTAGCTGGGTGTGGTGGTGCATGCCTGTAATCCCAGCTAGCTGGGAGGCTGAGGCAGGATGATTGCTTGAACCCAGGAGGCAGAGGTTGCAGTGAGCCGAGATTCTGCTATTGCACTCCAGCCTGGGCAATGAGAGTGAAACTGCCTCTCAAAAAAAAAAAAAAAGAGAAAAAAAAAAAAACCCAAAATCAAACTAACTAAATGCTTTGTTCTTCTTCTTCTTTTTAGTATTATATTTTTTTCCCAAAGTGTTGGGATTACAGGCGTGAGCTATTGTGCCTGGCCCAGTTCACTCTCTTGAAGGCTCTGGGCTATAAATGTCACACATCACATCTATTTAGGTTCTGCTGGTGATAATTTAAACATATGCCCATACCTAAACCAATAGGGGCTGGGAAATGTAATGTTGCTGAACAGCTGTGCACAGGTTTTTTTTCTTTTAAGAGGTGTGATGTCACTCTGTCTTCCAGGCTGGAGTGCAGTGGTGTGATCACAGCTTACTGCAGCCTCAAACTCCTGGGCTCAAGTGATTGATCCTGCTGCCCCCACCCTTCCAGGTACTAAGACTACAGGTGCATGCCACAACACCTGGCTACTTTTTAAATGTTCTGTAGAGATGGGGTCTCACTTTGTTACTCAGATTGGTCTTAAACTCCTGGCTTCAAACTATCCTCCTGCCTCAGCCTCCCAAAGTGCTGAGATAACAGACATGAGCCACCATCCCCTGCCCATGGACAGATTTTTAATTCATTTACCAAGATAAAAAGCAAGAGTAGATTTTGAGAGATAGGTATGAGTTCCTGCCAAGGAGTCTGTCACTTATGTTAGACACTTTCTTAAAATATCTACTGTTCTTTGAATGTTTATTAATACTTGAGAGGAAGGCCATGAAAAGCTGTTTGTTAGATGCATGAATGGACGGGACTAGTTAACCACTGGCTTCATTTGAGAGGAATCGGGAAGAAATCTCTTCATGTAGGGACTTCTGTAACTCCTTATTTATAATTTTTCTCACTGAGTTTCTCCAATGAGAGCTCTTCCAACCACCTGACTTGAGGCTGTAGGCTTTGGCTGTGTGCTGAGAACTGGGTGGGGGAAAAGGATTGGGGTGAGGGGGCTATCTCACCATTCAGCATACAGACTTTCACTTAATTCTCCTCTTATAAATCCAACAACTTATTTCCTCTTTCCATTTTAATTTCTCCAAAAAGTAAACTGCCCATCTTCTTCAGGAATGGAGGAGGATACACATCTAGAGGTACATGTGGGAGTTGGGACATGGGGGATCTAACTGTTCCCTAAACCTATTTTCAATTAATCCTCCTGTTTTTTGTTCCTTATCCCCACTCATAGCTTCAATGGTACCTGATTCCTCTCTTCTTAAGGCTTTTTGAAGCCTTTTTGCTTCTTGTCTTCCCTTTTACAGATAGTTTTAGTATCTTCTTCTCTGCTAAGTCAGTTACTACTCATTTGTGCACTTTTCATCATTTACAGTTTTACTCCCATCTCTTGTCTGTCCTTTTTCTTTTCATCTTTGTGCTTTTGTACTTTTTCCTCTTTTCTGGCCATTTGGTAGGTGTTACAAGGGAGCAGAGATTTAAGCATGGATTCGATTTGCCAGTTTTAGTCCTTGCTGCCTATCGTGTGTGTGTGTGAGTGTGCATGTGTGTGTTTTGCTTTTTGTTTTTGAGACAGAGTCTCACTCTGTCACCTGGGCTGGACTGCAGTAGCACAGTCACAGTTCACCACAGCCTTGAAGTCCAGGCTTAGATGATCCTGCCACCTCAGCCTCTTAAGTATGATAGCTGGGGTGACAAGCGCATGCCACCATGCCCGATTAATTTTTTTGTATATTTGGTAGAGATGGGGTTTTGTCAGGTTGCCCAGGCTAGTCTTGAACTGCTGGGCTCCAGCAGTCTACCTGCCTTGGTCTCCGAAATTCCTGGAATTACAGGCATGAGCCACTGTGCCTGGCCTGGCTGCTTATCTTTTAATACAATAACTTAGAATATTTAGAATATTTTTAATGAATAGAGATTTAATTTGTACATAGGTCCATAGCCTTTTTCTATTTAATCTATCTAGAACTTATTTTTGTATATAGTATATCCTCTTTATTGCTCTGTTTTTTTCCTTTGCATTATATGTGCCAGTACCACTTGGCTGTCATTCATTCATTGATTCATTCAGGAAGGATATATACATTCTGCCCTCGTGGAGCATTCTAAGTTAAAAAGACTGTTGATCTACGTTATCTTTTATTCATATAGCCAATTATACTTTTGAAAAAAATACAATGTTACCAAGATAACATTAACCATCCTTTTTACTTTCAATCTACCTATATTGTGTTTAAGGTGAATTTCTTATGAACAGCATATAGTTGGTTCATGTTTTTATATCCACTGTGCCAGTCTCTGTCTTTTAATTGGTATACTTAGATTATTTACATTTAAAGTATTATTTTCTATTCATTTTCTCTACTTCTCATTCTCTGCCTTTTCTTGGCTTTTTTTTTTTTTTTTGTTGTTGAGACAGGTTCTCACTCTTCGCCCAGGCTGGAGTGCAGTGGTGTGATCACAGCTCACTACAGCCTCCATCTCCCAGGCTCAGGTGATCCTCCCACCTCAGCCTTTCAAGTAGCCAGGACTACGGGCATTACCATCACACCTAGCTTAATTTTGTATATTTTGTAGAGACAGTGTTTCGCCATATTGCCCAGTCTGGTCTTGAACTCCTGTGCTCAAGCAATCCTCCTGTCTCAGCCTCCCAAAGTGCTGGGATTATAGGGGTGAGCCATGGCACCTGGCCTCTTGGCTTCTTGTCAGCTGCCTGAACATTTTTCACAGTTTCATCTTGTTTCATTTATTTATTTAAAAATATAATTTGTATAGTATTCTTGATGGTTGCGATTATTTATGAAAATATTCATTAGTGGCCGGGCGTGATGGCTTACGCCTGTAATCCCAGCACTTTAGGAGTCTGAGGGAGGTAGATCACCTGAGGTCAAGAGTTCGAGACCAGCCTGACCAACATGGTGAAACCCTGTCTCTACTAATAATACAAAAATTAGCCGGAGTGCTGGCAGGTGCTTGTAGTCCCAGCTACACGGGGGCCTGAGGCAGGAGATCACTTGAACCCAGGTACAGAGGTTGCAGTGAGCCTAGATGGCCCATTGCACTCTAGCCTAGAATACAAGAGTGAAACTCTCTCTCTTAAAAAAAAAAAAAAGAGGCTGAGTGTGGTGGCTCATGCCTGTAATCCCAGCACTTTGGGAGTCTGAGGCAGGCAGATCACCTGAGGCCAATGTGGTGAAACCTTGTCTATACTAAAAATTACAAAAATTAGCCAGGTGTGGTGGCACACGCCTGTACTCCCAGCTACTTGGGAAGTGGGACGATAACTGGAGCCCAGAAGGTGGAGGTTGCAGTGAGCTGAGATCATGCCACTGCACTCCAGCCTGGGTGACAGAGCAAGACTCTGTCTTAATTAAAAAAAAAAAAGAAAAAGAAAAACTGAAAATCAATGAAGTAAATTTATAATCTTAAGATACGAGAAAAGCAACAAGTGTTTTCTTTTTTCTTTTTTTTTTTTTGAGACAGAGTCTTGCCCAGGCTAGAGTACAGTGACACATAGCTCACTGCTGCCTTGACCTCCTGGGCTCAAGTGATTCTCCCATTGCAGCCTCCCATGTAGCTGGAACCATAGGCTCACACCACCCTGCCTAGCTAATGTTTTTATTTGTAGGGACAGGGTCTCACCATGTTGCCCAGGCTGGTCTTGAACTCCTGGGCTCAAGCTATTCTCCTGCTCAGCCCCTCAAAGTGTTGGGATTATAGGCATGAGCCACCATGCCTGGCCTACATGAAATATATGCTTATTTGGTTTTGATTTTTACACTTTTATGAGGCCAAGATGAACCCCCATTACCCCCCAAAAAGGAACATCCTACTAGCTTCACATTAGAAATGGAATATTTACACAATATAAACAGAGAAAACTGAGATGGGGTCATTAGGAGATTTAATAAGTCAGAGTAAATCTTAAAGAGAAATAGAATGAAATATCTAAGGTAAAGGCAGAAATTAATAGAAATAGTATAATAGGATCCATAAAGTCAAACACTAATTCATTTAAAAATCTAATAAATTTCTGTCCAGATTTATTTTTTAAAAAAGCTAAGTTTTAAAAAGGACCACAGTATGGCTGTCACCTTGATTACAGTCTTGTGAGACCCTGAGCAGGAGACTTTCAGAAACTGTGAGAGTTGCTCACATCTGTAATCCCAGTGACTTGGGAGGGAAATGGAAGGATTGCCTAAGCCCAGGAATTGGAGGCTGCAGTGAGCTATGATCGTGCCACTGTACTCCATCCTGAGTGACAGAGCAAGACCCGTATCTAAAAAAATATTTAAAATGTGAATAACTATTGATGTTGTAAAGATTAAGAGATTCATTTTTAAAGAAGCTATTATGAACAATTTCATGGCAACAAATTTGAAAATTTCATGGGCAAATTACTCAAAACTATGTTATCAAAATAATTTTAATGAAATACTGAATAATCATTAAAGAAATTTGATTGGTATTTTAAAATCTTCCCAGAAAACAAACCCTAAACTCAGAGAAGTTTTCATGAATGTTCTACTGAACATTCAGGAAAAAAATAATTCCAATCTTATATAAATTATTCCAAAGCATAGAAAAAGAGGAAGCACTCCCCAATTAATCTCAATCATGAAGACAAATTTGAAAAATCCAAAGCAAGATAGTAAAGCAAATTCAGCAATGACTAGAAATCATTATCAAGTTGAGTTTGTTCCACAATGTCAGGGCCATTTAACAATGGAGGAGAAAGGTCACCCATTATCTCAAAAGATGCAGAAAAAAAAGTTTGGTAAACCTTGGTAGCCATTTATAATTTTTTAAAAAATAAATCTTAGAAAACTTGGAGTAGAAGAGAACTTTTTAAACCTGATAAGTGGCGTTTACAAAAAGCCTACAGCAAATATCTTACTTTATGCTGAAGTACTAAATGATTTCCTTTAAGATTATAAATAAGAGCAGGATAATCACTATCATGATTTCAGCATTGTACTGGGGGCCTAGCCTATGCAGTACAGCAATAAAAAAAGTGATTAGGATTGGAAATCCACTCTATAGTAACCCCAAGTAAATCACAACCTCTCTTTGATTGTGGATGAGACCTGAGACATGCTTCCAACAACAGAATATGGCTAAGGTGATGGGGATAGTCCCTTCTTTGATTGGTTCATGTTATATGGCAAAAGTAATGGAATAGTTACTCTTGTGATTATGTTATGTTATAGAAGACTGCTTGTTAGTGGACTAGAGTGCGCTATCATGTTGTAAGACGGCCTATGAATGAGCCACCTGGCAAGAAACCCTGGGGACCACTAGGAGCTGATGGAAACCCTCAGCTGACAGCCAGAACAAGGCAGGGACCTCCATCCTATGGCTTCAGGTAAGGGAATCCTGCCAACAACCACCTGAGCTTAGAAGAGGACACTAAGTTTTAAAAAGGACCACAGTCTGGCTGTCACCTTGATTACAGCCTTGTGAGACCCTGAGCAGGAGACTCTCAGAAACTGTGAGAAAATAAGTGCATGTTTTAAGCCACGAAGTGTGAGGTTATTCATTATGCACCAGTAGACAGCTAATAAAGGAAGAAAGAAACCTGTTATTAGAGACTAGATTACATAGAAAACAAAAGAATCTATGGCTAAATCATAAGAATTAACAGCATTTATTTGGCACTTTTGCAGTTGCATTTCTATATGCTAGCAACAAACGTAAAACATAATTTATAAAAAGTTAACATTTACAGTAGCATCAAAAATATAAATAAATAAAATCTTAAAATATATGCAAGAAGATTTTGAGTAAGATGTTTTAAAACTTTAATGAAACACAGATTAGTAATAAAAATAATAAAGAGATATAGGCTAGGCGCAGTGATTCATGACTGTAATCCCAGCACTTTGGAAAGCTGAAGCCGACAGATCACCTGAGGTCAAGAGTTCGAGACCAGACTGGCCAACATGGCGAAACCCCATCTCTACTAAAAATACAAAAGTTAGTTGGGTGTGGTGGCACATGCCTGTAGTCACAGCTACTTGAGAAGCTGGGGTGGGAGGATCGCTTGAACCTGGGAGGTTGAGGTTGCAATGAGCTGAGATTATGCCGCCACTTCACTGCAGCCTGCGAGACAGAGCTAGACTTTGTCTCAAAAATAATAATAATAATAATAAAGAGATTTAATTGGGTAGATAAGTTCTAGAATAAAGAGGCTCAGTATCATGAAGATGTTAATTCTTTCCACATTAATCTCTAGATTTAATGCAGTTTCATACAAAATTCCAATAGGATTTATTTTATTTTATTTTTTGAGATGGTGTTTTGCTCTTGCTGCTCAGGCTGTAGTGCAATGGCACAAGCTCAGCTCACTGCAACCTCCACCTCGTGGGTTGAAGCGATTCTCCTGCCTCAGCCTCCCGAGTAGCTGGGATTACAGGTACTCGCCCCCACACCCAGCTAATTTTGCACTTTTAGTAGAAGTGGGGTTTCAGCATGTTGGTCAGGCTGGTCTTGAACTCCTGACCTCAGGTGATTCACCCACTTTGGCTTCCCAAACTGCTGGGACTACAGGCGTGAGCCACCATGCCTGGACCCAATAGGATTTGTCATGGAACTTCATAAATGTATTGTGAAATCATCATAGGGAGAAGCAAAGAACCAAGAAGAGCCAAAATACTCTTGAAAAAGAGGACGAGGTGAGAGAGTTGCCCTAATTTGAAAGCTTTCGAGATTTATTATAAAGCTATAGTAATTAGAAATGATACACACAGATAGTTAAATGGACTGGTGGAAAAGAATAGAGAACACAGAAATAGAACATTAGTATATGGAAATTTTACACGTGGTAAAATCAGTGCTATGGTTTTGTATTAGTCCATTTTCATACTGCTATGAAGAAATACCCAAGACTGGGTAGTTTATAAAGAAAAAGAGGCTTAGTGGACTCACAGTTCCACATGGCTGGGGAGGCCTCACAATCAGAAAGCAAAGGAGAAGCAAAGGCACATCTTACACAGTGGCAGGCAAGAGAGCATGTGCAGGGGAACTGTCCTTTATAAAACCATCAGATCTCATAAGACTTACTATCACAAGAGTAGCATGGGAAAAACCCACCCCGTGATTCAGTTACCTCCCATCAGGTCCCTCCCACTTCATGTGGGGATTATGGGAGCTACAATTCAAGGTGAGATTTGGATGGGGACACAGCCAAACCATATCAAGTTTGAATGTTCCCTCCAAAACTCATGTTGACCCTTAATCCACAATGTGGCAGTATTGAGAGGTGGGGCCTTTAAGAGTTGATTGGATCATGAGGGCTCTGCCCTCAATGGATTAATCCACACATGGATTAATGGATTAATGGGCTATCATGGGAGGGCACTGGTGGCTTTATAAGAGGGAGAATCTAGCATAGCACCTGAGCATGCTCAGCCACTTCAGAACTCTGTAGAGAGTCCCCACCAGCAAGAAGTCTCTCACCAGATATGGCCCCTTGAGCTTGACATCTCAGCTTCCATAACTAAGAAATACATTCATTTCTTTATAAATTCTCTGCTTCATACCATACATACAAAAAATCCAATTCTGTCGGATTTATGATTTAAATGATGAACAAAATTTGAAATGTTTGAAGCAGCCTGGGTGCATTGGCTCATACCTGTAATCCAAGCACTTTGGGAGGTCGAGGTGGGCGGATCACTTGAGGTCAGGAGTTCAAGACGAGCTTAGCCAACATGGTAAAACCCTGTCTCCATTAAAAATACAAAAAAATTGCCAGATGTGGTAATCCCAGTTATTCGGGAGGCTGAGGCAGGAGAATCACTTGAACCTGGGAGGTGGAGGTTGCAGTGAGCCAAGATCATGTCACTGCACTCCATCCTGGGCAACAGAGGGAGACTCCATCTCAAAAAATAAAGAAAAAAGAAAAAAAAAGGCTGAGCGCGGTGGCTCACACCTCTAATCTCAGCACTTTGGGAGGCCCAGGTGGGCACATCACAAGGTCAGGAGATTGAAACCATCATGGCTAACATGGTGAAACCCTGTCTCTACTAAAAATACAACAAATTAGCCGAGCATGGTGGCAGGCGCCTGTAGTCCCAGCTACTCAGGAGGCTGAGGCAGGAGAATGGCATGAACCCGGGAGGCAGAGCTTTCAGTGAGCCGAGCTGGTGCCACTGCACTCCAGCCTGGGTGACAGAGTGAGACTCCATCTCAAAAAAAAAAAAAAAAGTTTGAAGCAAAATACAGGAGAATATCTTTATGGCTCTGGTGTAGGCAAGGATTTAAGATATCAAAAGCATAATCTCTGAATAAATTTGACTATGTTAAAATTTAGAACTTCTTTTAAGCAAAAAGGCAAAACCAAGAGTGAAAACATAAGCATCAAACTTGGAGAAATATTTACATATAATCAATAAATGGTTAGTATTCAGAAAATAAAAAGAGTTTCTGTAGCCAAAAGTACCATTTATGAATCTACTTATTGATGGATGTTTTCTGAAGGTCTTTTGCCCAGAGAAAAAATAGTGCATTAAAAAGCTTCTGTCCGTCCAGGTGTGGTGGCTCACACCTGTAATCCCAGCACTTTGGGAAGCTGAGATAGGTGGATCACCTGAGGTCAGGAGTTTGAGACCAGCCTGGCCAACATGGTGAAACCCCATCTCTATTAAAAGTATTAAAAACCTAGCTGGGCGTGGTGGTGGGCACCTGTAATCCCAGCTACTCAGGAGGCTGAGGCAGGAGAATTGCTTGAACCCAGGAGACAGAGGTTGCAGTGAGCCAACACAGTACCACTGCACTCCAGCCTCGGTGACAGAGGGAGACTCTGTCTCAAAAACAAACAAAAAAAAAAACAAAACAAAAAAACCAAAAAACTTCTGTCCCAAACAAACAAACAAGCAAACTTCTAAAAATCAAATAGAATGCCTGGGCCTCACGCCTGTAATCCCAGCACTTTGGGAAGCTGAGGTGGGCAGATCACCTGAGGTCAGAAGTTTGAGACCAGCCTGGCCAACAAGGTGAAACCCTGTCTCTACTAGAAATAAAAATTTAGCTGGGCATGGTAGCAGGTGCCTGTAATCCCAGCTACTTGGGAGGCTGAGGCAGGAGAATAGCTTGAACCTGGCAAGTGGAGGTTGCAGTGAGCCAAGATCATGCCACTGCACTCCAGCCTGGGTGACAAGAGCAAAACTCCATCTCAAAAAAAAAAAAAAAATCAAGTAGAAAACAACCCCCAAAAATAGTGGCAAATGCCATAGCACTTCATACATTTCATAGAAGAAAAAATATAAGTGCCTAATAAAGATATAAAAGAATGCTCAGGGAAATGCAAATTAAAACCATACTGAGGTAGCATTTGTACCCCTTAGATGCATACCTCTTAGATGGCCAAAAAATTAAAATTTAGGTGGTATTACTTTTACACTGTTGGTGGCAGTGTAAATTGGCAACCCCTTTTTGGAATTACATTATTATATTTATAATATATGTTCTATATAATTATATAACATTTATTTCATATTCATATTAAACAAGTATATTTATGAATATATACATAATTGTGTATATGTATCATATATATTTATATATGTAATTACATAATTTATGAAAATCAATCCTGTTCCTGGAGAACATACCCCCCAAAAAAACCTCTTGCAGATGAGGACTGGGAAGCAAGTACAGAAATGATCGAAACAGTACAAATCAGGGGAGAATGCGCCCAAGACATGGAGAACTGATAATACATTGTGGTTTATCCTTGCAATGGAACACTATATGGCAGTGAAAATGATTGAAATAGAGCTATACACATCATCACAGACAAATTTCAGAAACAACGCTGAGTGAAAAAGTAAGTTGCAGCAGAATACATGCAATATAATTGTATTTTATAAAATTCAAAAGCCAAGTTTTGAATATACTTTCTTAGCTATAAATGTGACAAAACTATAAAGAAAAGCACAGGAATGATCAACATAACATGGTGATTGAGGAGGGACACACAGGGGCTTCGATAGTACTGTCTCTGTTCCTCAAGTTGGATGGCAGATTCACAGGTGGTCATTTCATCATGCTTTCATGTTATACTCATTATATGATGACTATATTATAATTATACTATATGTTATGCATATTATACATTATATTATACATATTTTGTATGTAACAATGTTTCATAATATTTTAAGGAATGAATGGAAATGGGCACATAAATGTAGATATGCAGTGCCTCGTCGTTAGTAGAGTCTCAGAATTATCAGATTCCAAGATAATTCCTACACAAAAACAAGCAAACAAATGGCATGTTATCTTGAATGAAAAGACCATCCATATTCTAATAAACTGAGACAATCAAGTAGGGAATCCCTCTTTTAAGGTTGGCATTTGTTGTATGCTTGGAAGTGATTTGAAGCAGAAATTGGTTGTGAATAAATCTTCTCCTTATTAATAAAACAGAAGCTTGTTTTTAATGTCATATTATCCCTGCCAAGAAATTAAAAATCCTGGAGGTAGGCTGGGCATGGTGGCTCACACCTGTAATCCCAGCACTTTGGGAGGCCAAGGCAGGTAGATCACTTGAGGCCAGGAATTCGAGACCAACCTGGCCAACATAGGGAAACCTCATCTCTACTAAAAATACAAAAAATAGCTGGGCATGATGGCAGGCACCTGTATGTAGTCCCAGCTACTCGAGAGGCTGAGGCAGGAGAATCACTTGAACCCAGTAGGTGGAAGTTGCAGTGAGCTGAGGTCACATCATTGCATTCCAGCCTGGGTGACAGAGTGAGACTCCATCTCAAAATAAATAAATAAATAAATAAAATAAATAAATAAATATTAAAATCCTGGAGATAGTATTACTTATAACCTCAATCATTTATTAATCAACCTAAATTTAATCCTTGATTTTATAATATCTTTCTATAGAGTTTTGTTTTGGTTTTGCTTTGTTTTTAGAAAAGGCAGGTGCATTTACCTTCTTAGGGGATGACCATTGGTATTTTAAAAAATAATACATTTGCTGAGAATTCCTTAAATTTTTCTAATTTCCACTAGCCAGTGATGACATTGTCCCTTTTTTGCAGAAAAGTTTGGAAGATGATGATACCACCACAGTTCACACCATGTTGCTAAAAACATTTTTCGTTTGACCATTTATACATTTGGTTCTAAAGAAGGTGTTATCCTTAGATTCTTGGATCTAACAAATATATTTTTTTTTTTTTTGAGGAATCTCACTCTGTCACCTGGGCTAGAGTGCAGTCTGTGATCTCAGCTCACTGTAACCTCCACCTTCTGGGTTCCAGGGATTCTCCTGCCTCAGCCTCCTGAGTAGCTGGGACTACATGTGCCCGCCACCACGCCTGGCTAATTTCTGTATTTTTGGTTGAGATGGGGCTTCAGTATGTTGGCCAGGCTGGTCTCGAACTCCTGACCTCAAGTGATAACGCCCGTCTCGGCCTCCGAAAGTCCTGAGATTGCAGGCATGAGCCACCTTGCCCAGCAAGAGTATGTTATCTTAAGATTCTTGCCTCATTACTATTCTTAAAATTGCTCTAAAACTTGCTTAAACAATCAGATTTAAATTATGTAAATACAGACAACAAAACTCTTAATTGTAAAGGTGCTTTTAAAATTCATGCATTTATACATGGCATGCAAATTGGCTACAAATTGGGAAGATTTTATTCTAAGTAACCAAATCTTAAAGAGCTAAAGCAAACCTGCTTTATAAAATACATTAATTCAAGGACTAAGCAATTCCTGAAAACAGACTGATTTACTGTGCTTCTTAATATTTCCTCAAACTAGAATATGAGTGATGGTGGTAGAAGGAGGAAGTAGCTCATACTTGGAGGAACAAACAGCTGCTGGAATATGCTTGTGGTTTAGAGCTTCTTTGAAAAATCCTGTTAACTGCAAAAGAAAGGAAGGACTAATATTTTCCATGATTTCAGTAACATCTTTATGAAGATACTCCTTTTGAATGTGGTACAGAAAGTTAGAAAACACTTAGGCATGGTATCTGGCATAGTGCCCCCAAGGGAGCATTTCATAAACAGATGGTCTGTGGCTTATGATGCTTTGACTTAAAATTTTTCAACTTTATGATGGTTCCAAAGGCAATGCACATTCAGTAGAAACCATACTTCAAGTCCCCATACAACTATTCTGTTTTTCATGTTCAGGATGTTGTTCCCATAAATTACATGAGCTATTTAACACTTCATAATAAAATAGGATTTGTGTTAGATGATTTTGCCCAACTGTAGGCTGATGTAGTGTTGAGTATGTTTAAGGTAGGCTAGGCTAAGCTCTGATGTTCAGTAGGTTAGGTATATTAAAGGCACTTGACTTATGATATTTTCCCTTCCTAATAAACACATCGTAAGTCAAGAAGCACCTGTATCTGATAGAGGTCTACCTTTACCAATTTAAATTGACAAATTTAATATTCCTGTCTTGTTTTTAAATTGAAGAACAATAGCAGATCTGAAATAAATACCGCAGTTAGCTTTGCATTTTGACTATTTATTGAACAGTTCAGAGGGCAAGGTAGCAAAGAGAAACGCTCTGAGTGTGTCTTTGATTGCCAGCTCCTTAATTGTCAACAATTCTACAGTGGCTTTCCTGTATTTTTCTGTGCTTTTTTCTGTTCTCTTCTCTGCTTTGGAGTCAGAAACTTCAGTTCAAATCCCTGCCGTGACAACATAACAATCTATCAGCCTGTTTCCTCCTTCATAAATGATGGCTATAATTTCCATCTCACAGGATTTGTAAGTGTTTGAATTGAATGAGGTAATGTATTAATACATACTACTTGGTTCAAAAATAATATCCGTCTCTTTCCACATGCTTCTTAGAACTCCAGTGCCACGATGGACAAAGTGAGCCACTTTCTTCACTGTCCAATATCAATTTGGGAATGGCAGCTTGCTGCGTTTGTATTTTCAGATTTAGTTAACATTACCTTCCATCAGTGAAATAGAATACTTAATCTTTATTATGTATTCCTCTCATTTTCCAATATCTTTAAAGTTATTTTATCACTATTTTAAAAATCAATCTTGTGAACTTTTGCTTTTGCATGGAGGAAAGTGGGATTGGTCAAACATTGAAATGGGGTGATTGGTTCTTTAATTTCTCTGTATTTAGTCCTACACCTAATAGCTTCAAGCTCTCTCCTAGGAAGACAGGACTCTGGGTATGTCCAAATGAGTAAACACTCTTAATGACTTTTCTCTGTCGTATGCCATAATATCTTTTTGAGTGTTCCAGAGAACTGAATAAAAGTAGATCTCTCCATATTAACTAAATGATAATGGCTAACATCTGTGTGGTACTTTGCATATATAGTGTTTTCACATATAACACTCATTCATTAATTTGTTAAGTATTTACTGAGCTCTGCCATGTGCTTTGCCTCTACTAGACATCAGAGTATAGTATAATGAAGTACTCCTTGACCTTGAGGTGTCATCATAAATTGACTTCCCAAGAAAGCCTTCTCCTCCTGCTTTGTTAAGTCACTCCTCCCTTCTTATTGTCTAGTACCATACTCTGTCTCCTTTACAATATTTTCTGTGCTGATCTCCTTAAAGGTAGGGGTTGTGTCAGTTTCTGTCACGTCTGTGAGGTCCTGACTGTAAGACCTAGGTATTGCTAGGCCCAAAATGGGCACTTAAAATCAGTTGAGTGAGTGGAAGAATGGATGAAGGCAACATGCTCATAGGAAAGAGACAGGCTACAGATTCATTGCTACAGAATGTGATGGGTACTAAGGCAGAGAGGTGGGTTAAGGGCATTGTGTTAGTCTGTTTTGAGCTGCTGTAACAGAATACCACAGACTGGGTAATGTATAAAGAACAGGAATTTGTTTTCTCAGAGGTCTGGACGCTAGGAAGTCCAAGATGAAGGCACTGGCAGGTTCATTTATCTGGTGAGCGTCTAGTCTCTGCTTCCAAGATGGCATCTTGACTGTTGCATCCTTGAGGAGTGGGGGAAGAATGCTGTGTTCTCATTCCATGGATGAATGGATAAACAAAATGAGGTATAGATTTACAGCGGAATATGATTCAGCCTTGAAAGAAGTGCAGTTCTTATATATGCTACAACATAGATGAAACTTGAGGACATTATGCTAAGTGAAGTAAGCCAGTCACAGAAGAACAAATATTATATGATTCTGCTTATGTGAGACACCTAGAATAGGCAAATTCATAGAGACGGAAAGTAGTTTCCATGGGGTGGGGGTAGGGGAGAATAGAGTTAGTGTTTAATGAGTATAGACTTTCTGTTTGGGATAATTTTTTTAAAAGTTCAGGGAATGGATAGTAGAGATGGCTACATAACAGTGTGAATGTACTTCACACCACTGAATTGCACACTTAAACATGGTTAAGATGGTACATTTTTTTGTGTATTTTACCAAAAGAAAAAAAAAATTTAGGGCCAGGCAAGGTGGCCTACATCTGTAATCCCAACACATTGGGATGCCGAGGTGGGAGGATCACTTGAGCCCAGGAGTTTGAGACGAGCCTGGGCAACATAGTGAGACCCCATCTCTTAAAAACAAATGGTGGGTGCCTATGGTCCCAGATACTCAGGAGGCTGAGGTGGGAAGATCACTTGAGCCCATGAGTTCAAGGCTGCAGTGATCTGTGATCATGCCACTGCGCTCCAACCTGGAAAACGGAGTGAGACCCTGCCTCAAAAAAAATTTGTATGATAAAGCACAGACCATGTATATAATAAAGATACTTCAGCCATTTGAAGGAGTGTTGTGTTCTCAAGCCAAAGAGAGAAGCACATATTATCCCCAAAAAACACACAGTTAGCAAAGCATCCAGGGAAGCTGGAAGTGCTGGTGTTTGGTGGCTGAGGTTAGTAGATGTGACTGCTCTGTTCTTGGCACCCCATGGGTACTTATCATCATCTTCTTAGCCACCACTGACAGGGTCCTGCTTGACAGACTGACCCTGTGCTGTGTATATCACATACATTATCACTGAATTTTTGAAACACCTTATAAAGTAGACATTATTCCAATTTATAGGAATTTAATACCTTTCTGAAATTTGCTAAGTGGTGCAGCCAGCACTTAAAGCCTAGATCAGCAGACTCCAATAATGAAGTATTTTCCTCAGTATATCCCAAGGATAGCTTTTAAGAATAATTGTATGGACAATCTGGAGTAAAAGGAATATGAATTTCTTCATTTAGGTTCAGCAAGATGCCCTGACAAGATGACCACAAATGCAGGAATGTTGGAGTGGTAGTTAATATTTAGATGAGAAATCATTAAAGAGTGGAATAGTAATGTGAGTTTCTGGGGCTACTTCAGTAGGGCATTTTGGAGCTGATTGAGGGGGCAAAAATTAAAGCCAGAAAGCTCAGTGGGGCAAATGTCATAGTGGCCACAGAGAAACAAAGTTTCAAAATGAGATGCTAAGTGAGAAACAGCAACTGAGACAAGAAGTAATGTTTCCAGGATCACAATGGGCATAAGGAGAATTGTTCTTTTAGACTCTGGGTGAGCTTGCAGTAATCCAAGGATGGGTGATTTAGGCCACTGAACTCTGGCTCTAAGTACAGCTCTAATCCCTAAACTTTCACCAAGAGGGATCAGGAGAAGAAAGGGGAGGAGGGGAGTCAGGTGTGCCACATATCTGCTACTGAAAAATGCCTGGATGGGAAAGGAGTTTGAAATGTTGTCCTAAAATGAAGTTTCTGAGTTAGATGGGCTGAATTTTACCATGTGTTCACTGTTATTACTGTGTAAAATCAAGAGATTTAAATGAGACTAAGATCTAATTAGCTTTCTGAGATATTGAAAACTGAGAACCTGGCTGGGCATGGTGGCTCACGCCTGTAATCTCAGCACTTTGGGAGGCTGAGGCAGGTGGATCACCTGAGGTCAAGAGTTTGAAACCAGCCTGGCTAACATGGTTGAAACTCTGTCTCTCTTATCAGTGAGAACCAAACCTGAGTCTGCAGTCTTAGGGCAGGGGCCCAGACAATGACAGGGGCTCTTCTCTTTGAGACTTGTCACCTAGAACTCATTGTCACTGGAAGCCAGAGCCTAAATGACACTATCAGTTTCCTTGGGTTACAAGAACAAGTTTTCATTAATTAATTAATTATTCATTTATTTTGAGACAGACTCTTGCTGTGTTGCCCAGGGGCTGGAGTACAGTGGCACGATCTTGGCTCACTGCAACCTCTGCCTCTGGGTTCAAGTGATTCTCCTGCCTCAGCCTCCCGAGTAGCTGGCACTACAGCCACATGCCACCACACCTGGCTAATTTTTTTTATTTTCAGTAGAGACAGGGTTTTGCCATGTTTCGAGGCTGGGCTTGAACTCCTGACTTCAGGTTATCCGCCCACCTCAGCCTCCCAAAGTGCTGGGATTACAGGCGTGAGCCACCACGCCTGGCCAAGTCTGAGTTTTTACTGGGGAAGCCAAGTAGCAGTTCAGGGACTTGTGGCCACCAACTGTCTCTGAGATTCAAGGTCTATTCTTTCTACTGGGGACTGAGATGGGCGGATAACCATGCAGACTTAAGGAGGAGTCATATGAATGATTCAGCCTGGGAGGAAGTCTGAGCTAGCTATAACTGGAGGAATAATTTCCCTCTGTAGGAATTCCTGCTCTACCTACTTATTATAGGAGTAAAGTGGTCATGATTTAAACAGTCTTGTCTATACCTGTTATGTTATAAGGATGTGTTAATGGCCCTATCTGCTAAGAGTGAGTTGTTCTTAAAAATAAAATAAAAATTAGTAAATTTATACACACACTATTTGTTATGCAAATCCTAAGAGTGATGTTCCAAAAAAACAAATTTTGGAAGTAAATAAGTATATAAATAGGCTTTTTTTTTTTTTGAGATGGAGTTTTGCTCTTGTTGCCTAGGCTGGAGTGCAGTCATGCAATCTCAGCTCACTGCAGCCTCCGCCTCTTGGATTCAAGCGATTCTCCTGCCTCAGCCTCCTGAGTAGCTGGGATTACATGTGTCCGTCACCACTCCCAGCTAATTATATATATATATATATATATATATATATATATATTTATATATATATATTAATATATATATTTATATATATTTATATATATATATTTATATATATATATATATATATATTTTTTTTTTTTTTAGTAGAGAAGGGGTTTCACCACATAGGCTAGGCTGGTCTTGAACTCTTGACCTCAGGTGATCCACCTGCCTCAGCCTCCCAAAGTGCTGGGATTGCAGGCATGAGCCACCGCACCAGGCCTAGAAAGGTACTTTAGATAGTGCCAGAGTTGAGGATTTGGCCTGCGACTTACTGTAGTTGCCACACTGCAGTTTCCACACTGTGGCCTTAGAACAGTCTTATCCAGTCCTGAAACCCCAGTGCCTTGGAAACATCAGGACTGGTCAGAAGGACAGTAAGTCCTCAAGGCATCAGCCTCTGCTCCTCCTGACAGATTGAGGGGTAAGTATTCCAAGCTCTCTGCAGGACCCATAACCTGGATGTGGACACCAAGTCCTGCTAGGATCTGCTTCCAGAAGAGTTGATCCCAGTCATGAAACTGTCCTGATGCCTTCATCCTGTATCAGCCTCGTGAGTAGCCAGTAGCTGGGACCACAGGGGCGCACCACCACACCTGCCCAATTTTTTTTTGTTGAGACGGGTTTTGTCATGTTGCCCAGGCTGGTCTGGAACTCTTGAGCTCAAGTGATGTGCATGCCTCAGTCTCCCAAAGTGCTGGGATTATAGGCGTGAGCCACCACACGCAGCCAAATTTGTGATCTTTTATGCATTGTTTCTCTCATGTAGCATGTTTTCAAGTTTTATCCAACTTGCAGTGTATTAATGCTGAATAATACTCCATTGTGTAGATATACTATATTTTTATTTTTTTAATTTTATTTTTAATTGGTACACAACAAATATTTGTACATATTTATGGGGTACAGATGATATGTTGTTACATGCATAGAATGTGTTATGACCAATCAGGGTATTAAAGGTATCTGCCACTTTGAGTATTTGTCATTTCTGTATGTTGGAAACATTTCAAGTCCTCTTTTAGAGCTATTTTGAAATATACTATACATTGTTGTTAACTGTAGTCACCCTACTCTGCTATAGAACATTAGAACTTATTCCTTCTGTCTAACTGTATTAACCAACCACTCTTCCCTGCCAACCGACACACACTTCCCAGTTTCTGTTATCTGGTATTTTTGTAGAGATGGGGTTTTGCGATGTTGGCCAGGCTGGTCTTGAACTCCTGACCTCAGGTGATCTGCCTGCTTTAGCCTCCCAAAGTGCTGGGATTACAGGCATGAGCCACCACGCCTGGCCTTTTTTTGATGTTTATTCCACATTGTGTCAGTCCTCACACGTCTCCTGGGATCCATCTGACATGTAATCTGTTGGTTTTCCAGCAGTAATAATTTCACGTAAAATCCTAAATCTGACCTGAAATATTTTCTCTTCTCTTGTTGATTATCTTTAAATCAACTATTTTGATATACTGAGATATTAACTATTTTGATATACTGAGATATAATTCAGTTGGTTCATGACTGTGCCAATAGCTCTATTTTTATATACAAATAGACATGCCTAAATCCAGTTGTTTTTTTTTGTATGTACATTTTATTTAATTAATTTTTAACTTTTATTTTAGGTTCAAGGGTATATGTGCAGGTTTGTTATATATGTAAATTTTGTGTCATGGGGGTTTGATGTACGGATTGTTTTGTCACTCAGGTGATAAGCATAGTACCTGATAGGTAGCTTTTTGATACTCACCCTCCTCCCAGCCTCCAACCCTCAAGTAGGCCCCAATGTCTGTTGTTCCCATATTTGTGCCCATGTGTACTCAATGTTTAACTCCCACTTATAAGTGAGAACATGAGGTATTTGGTTTCCTGTTCCTGTGTTAGTTTGCTTAGAATAATTTTTAAGCTGGAGCTGGATGGCCTCCAGGCTTTTAGGCTTTTAGACTGGATTGCTGCAAAGGGCATGATCTTGTTTTTATTTTATGGCTGCATAGTATTCTATGGTATATGTGTGCCACATTTTTTTATTCAGTTCACCATTGATGGGCACCTAGGTAAATTCTGTGTCTTTGATATTGTGAATAGTGCTGCGATGAACATATGTGTGCATGTGTCTTCATGGCAGAATTATATTTATATTCCTGTGGGTATATACTCAGTAATAGGATTGCTGGGTCACAGGGTAATTCTCAAGTTCTTTGAAAAATCACCAAACTGCTTTCCATAATGGCTGAACTAATTTACATACCCAGAAGTAGTGTATAAGCATTCCCTTTCCTCTGCAACTTTGCCAGCATCTATTTTTTGGCTTTTTAATAATAGCTATTCTGACTGGTATGAGATGGTATCTCATTGTAGTTTTGATCTGCATTTCTCTAGGATTAGTGATGTTGAGCGTTTTTTCATGTTTGTTAGCTGTGTGTATGTCTTTTGAGAAGTGTCTGTTCCTGTACTTTTCCTGTACTTTGCCCCTCCCTTTTTTTTAGTGAGGTTGTTTGTTTTTTGCTTGTAAATTTGTTTCAGTTCCTTATAGATTCTGGATATTAGACCCTTGTCAGATGCCTAATCTGTAAATATTTTTTCTCATTCTGTAGGCTGTCTGTTCAGTCTGTTGATAGTTTCTTTTGCTGTGCAGAAGCTCTTTAATTAGGTTCCACTTGTCTGTTTTTGTTTTTGTTGCAATTGCTTTTGGCATCTTTATCATGAAATCTTCACAAGGTCCTATGTCAGAATGGTATTTCCTAGCTTATCTTCCAGGGATTTTATAGTTTTAGGTTTTACATTTAAGCCTTTTATCCATCATGGGTTGATTTTTGTTTGTGGTGAAAAGAAGGGGTCCAGTTTCAATCTTCTGCATATGGCTAGTCAGTTATCCCAGCACCATTTGTTGAGTAGGAAGTCCTTTCTCCATCGCTTGTTTTTGTTGGCTTTGTCAAAGATCAGATGGTTGTAGCTGTGCAGCTTTATTTCTGGGTTCTCTAACCTGTTCCATTGGCCTGTGTGTCTGTTTTTGTACCAGTGCCATGCTGTTTTGCTCACTGTAGCCTTGTAGATGGTTTGAAGTTGGGTAGTGTGGCATCTCCAGCTTCATTCTTTTTGCGCAGGATTGCTTTGGCTATCGTCCACATAGCTAATCAATCACAAGTTGTGCTAATTTTTTCTGCTGTTTCTCAAATCTGTGTCTCCTCTCAATTCTTACTACCACCCTGGTTTTTCAGGCCCTCAACATCTCTCACCTAAGCTGTGTAGTACCCTCCTAACTGATCCCTGACACTTCAGTGTTGCTCTCTCTCCTCACCACTGAAAGACAGTCTACATAAAACAAAATTATCATGAGACTTCCCTTTTTAAAATCCCTTTTTGACTCTCTATTGCCTATTAAATAATGCCTGTACTTCTTAATATACTGTACAGGCATCTCCTATTACTCCCTGCTCTACATTTGTTATTGCAGTAATAGGTAAATGTTTATAATTTCCCCTGAAGTCCCTCTGCTATTCAATGCTTCCATGTATTTGTTCATTATGATCTTTTTCTCTGAAATTCACTCCCCACTGTTTCTCCTGGTTTCTTATTTATTGTCCTTCACACCCAAGCTCAAGCATGGTCTTTTTCAGAAAACCTACTTTGAAGTTCCAGAGTGGACCAAGGGCCACTTTTAATGTTCCCCATAGTGTTAAACTCTATCATTTCACTTTAAACATACTTTTAAACCTGCTTCCTGAGTGTAAAGTTTGTTATAATTTTAATATTTGTATTTTTCTATGTCTTTTTCTTCTCTTTGTGGTTTCTGTTGACTCCTGCTTATGGTAGTTTGACTCTTCAACTCTGTTAAATTTTAGAATTACCTCATATTTGTCTAAACTTTAACTTTGGGTATCCTGAGAGAGTGGAATTGAGATGATTTGCCTGGTTTATGCTTGGTTCTGGAAGTAGTACCAATCAGAATCCATTCTAGTTTGATTTATTGGTTTGAGGTTTCTTGGACTATGAATATGGTATAAATTCAAATTCCAGCCTAAGAGTAAAGCTGTTTAGAAAACATTAGGGAAGACTTAGAATTATTAATGTTTTTAAATCTACTGCCTGCAGACTGATTTGCTTATTGGTTCATTGTCATATCCTTCCAACTTTGTCTTTTCTACTAAATATATAGCCGATTTTGGTCCCTGGATTTATATGGAGGTCTCAGACTCAGTTCCCTACTTTGTCAGGTTTAAATCCTGTTAGTCAGTTAACCAGAAAAATTCTACATCCCCAGCATTGCTGAACAGATTCCAAGGAATGTGTCAGAGCATTTCAAAGTCCCCTATTGACATCTCGTTCCCAGCTTTTTTAAAAAGAAAGTATTTTGACGTTCCTATTGATTGCCCCAATTCCTATTTGCTACTTCAGGCAGCCACAGTGTTAACTAACAAAGCTCTAGGTTTTTGGTTTTGGCACACTTCCAGGGCATCTCTGTCTTCTGTGTTGACTGATGACTTTAGTTTCACCTCTAGATTGTGTGTACATGTGTGTAATCATTTTGTACTTCCTTCACATTTTGTGAGTTGAGAAATGTATTTAAAAGTGTATTTGGGGCTGGGCATGGTAGCTCATGCCTGTAATCCCTTTGGGAGGCTGAGGTGGGAGGATAACCTGAGGTCAGGAGTTTGAGACCAGCCTGACCAATATGGTGAAACCCATCTCTACTAAAAATACAAAAGTTAGCTGGGCATGGTGACATGCACCTGTAATCCGAGCTACTAGGGAGGCTGAGTCAGGAGAATCACTGAACTTGGGAGGTAGAGGTTACAGTGAGCCAAGATTGCACCACTGCACTCCAGCCTGGGCAACAGAGTGAGACTCTGTTTCAAAAAAATAAATAAATAAAAATAAAAATAAAAGTGTATTTGGAAGTGATGTCACTAAAAATGGCAAGCTAGGAACCTTCAAAAATTCCTTTATTCATAAAAGCAGCTGGGAAAAATAAAAGCAACTTTTTCAGGTCTCTGGAACATATCCAAAGGCTTGCTGCAATCTTGGGAGCATTTATTCAAGAATGTAAGCTGAATTTTGGTGGGAATATTGAGCTTTGTAGTATTCTTACTTTATGCTCATTATATCCTTCCAGCTCCATGGTAGCCTTGAAAACCAACATCCTACAATTTTGGTGAAAAACAAGCTCCTGGGAGCCATAGAAAGGAACAAAAGGGGGTTGGGACTCATTCAAAGCCTTATTCCCAGAGAAACGTCATTATGGGACCTGACTAGGAGGTCCAAGGAAGACCCCACGCACAAGGCTATCTTTATTTGGCCTGACTTAGAGCTCCCCCAGCCTTTGTTCATATTTGTTGAAGAAAATCAGAGGCAATTGCTGAACATAATGTCTACATGGGGTATAGATAAGTTGAGATACACAATATGCTAACAAAAAATGTAAACAAAGGCTGGGCGCAGTGGATCATGCCTGTAATCCCAGCACTTTGGGAGGCCAAGGAGGGTGGATCATGAGGTCAGGAGATCGAGACCATCCTGGCTAACGTGGTGAAACCCCGTCTCTACTAAAAAAAAAATACAAAAAAATTAGCTGGACGTGGTGGCAGGTGCCTGTAGTCCTAGCTACTTGGGAGGCTGAGGCAGGAGAATGGCTTGAACCTGGGAGGCAGAGCTTGTAGTGAGCTGAGATCACACCACTGCACTCCAGCCTGGGTGACAGAGAGAGACTCCATCTAAAAAAAAAAGTAAGCAAAACAAAGAAAAAAACAAATGCTGAGAGTACTAAACCTGCTTGCTGTCAGAAGACATTTCTATTCATGTCTTCCACCTACAAATTTAATGTATTTCCCATCTCAACTAAGTACTTATCATGCACTGTAGCTGTAACTTTTGCAGCTTTTGACAGCAAAACTGGCACAAATGTCTTTGTTCTTCTTCACAATTTTATGAATGGAGGATTTTTCCTTACTGTAAATCTTAGCAACCTCAGCCTATAATATTTTTCTTTTCTTATGATGTCAGAGACTTTCACCTTTTTGCTTAAAGGAAGCACACTGTGGCTTCTCTCTGGCATATCCAAATTGCCAGGATAATTACCATTGCATATTGGGCCAATTATGAAGTGAAATAAGGGTTACTTGTATACCACCCCTGTGATGCCATGACAGTCGGTGTGATAATCAAGATGGCTACTAAGGGTCTAATGAGACTTATTAATCAAGAATTCTATATGTAGCAAAAATATCCTTCATCATTGAAGGAGAAACATAAGGCATTAAGTATCTTAGGACATTTAAGACATTCCTCGGTAAACAAAACTAAAAAAGTTTGTTGCTTGAAGAAATCTCTATAAGACATACTCATGGGAGTCATTTAGGCTGAAAGGAAAGAATACTAGGTAGTAACTCAAATCCACATGAGGAAATAAAGAGCTGAGAAAGATAACTATATGAGTAAATATAAAAGGCGGTATAAGCATAAAGCAATTCTCATAAATGGGTTGATGAACATAGAGTATATGAAGATATGGTTTATAAGGCATTAACAGCACAATGGAAGAGAGAGGGAATGGAGCTACACAGGAAAAAGTTTATATATACTGTTGTAATTAAATTGGTATTAATATGAACTACATAGTTATAAATCAACATGTTAATTGCAATATCCAGGGCAACCACTAAGAAAACAACTCAAAAATGTAGTAAAAGAAATGACAAATAAATAAAAATTTTACACTATAAAACTATTTAGCATAAATCTTACTTTATCAATGATTGTATTAAATGGAAATTTCTCTCCATTTAAAAGGAAGAAATTTGCAGAATGAATTAAAGGACATGATCCTACTATATGCTGTCTATAAGAGACATGTTTTAGACCAAGACTCAAATAGATAAAAGTAAAAGTATAGAAAAAGATAAAACAAGCAAACAGTAACCAAAAAACTAACTAAATAAATAAAGAGATGGAATCATGATAAAAAATCAGAAAAAAAGGACTTAAAGGCAAAAATTTTTATTAAAAACAAAGGACATTTTATAATAATAAGAGGATCAATCCATCAAAAACATATAACAGAGCCCCAAAGTACATGAAGAAAAAATTGACAGAATTGAAGGGAGAAACAATTCAGCAATAATAGTTGAGGACTTCAATTCCCCACTTCCATTAATAGTTAGACAATTGGGCAGAAAATCAATAAGAAAATGTAAGACTTGAATAATACTATAAACCAACTAGATTTAACAGATATCTATAGCATTCTTCATCCCCCAGCAACAACAGAGTATACAGTCTTTATAAGTGCACATGGAACATTCCCCAGGAAAGACCATATGCTAGGCAATAAAACAACTCTCAATAAATTTTAAAAGATTTAAATCATACAAAGCATGTTCTCAACTGCAATAAAATGAAGTTAGAATAGTAAGAGAACAAAATTTGTGAAGTTCACAAATATATGGAAATGAAACAATGTACTCTTAAATAATCAATTGGTCATAGAAGAAATCCAAGAGAAATCAGAACATATTTTGAGATAAATGAAAACAAAAATTCCACATCTCAAAACTTATGGAATGCAGCTAATACCATGCTTAAAGGGAAATTTATAGGTGTAAATTCTTACATTAGAATGGAGGAAAGATCTCAATAAATAATTTAACTTTCCACCTAAAGAAACTAGAAGAAGAAGAGCAAACTGAAACCAAAGCAAGTAAAGCAAGGATATAATAAATTTTAGAGTGAAAATAAATAAAATAGCAAGCAGAAAAACAATAGAGAAAATAAAACCAAAAGTTATTTGAAAAGGTCAACAAAATTGATAGCTAGCCTGATCAAGAAAAAAAAACTCAAAAATGTGGTAAATAACTTAGGTAAATAACAACAACAACAAAAAACCTAAGCCCTTAGATAATCTGTTAAAGATTATGAAAAACCAACAGCTAACATTAAACTTAGTGGTGAAAGTCTTAAATCTTTTCTCCTAAGATGAGGAACAAGACAAGGATACCTGCTTGCTTTTTCTGTTCAACATTATACTGGAGATTCTAGCCAGGATAATTAGACAAAAAACAAAACAAAACAAAACCAACCACAGAAAAGAAAGAAAAAGCATCTAGATTGGAATGGAAAAAGTGAAACTCTATTTTTTGCAGATAATGTTTTATACAGAAAATCTAAGGAACCCACAACAACAACAAACCTGCTGGAACAACAGTTGAGTTCACAAAAGATATAAGATCAATGTGCAAAAAATTAGTTATATTTAGAAACATTAACAATGAGTAGGCTCAAAATGAAATTAAGGAAGTGATTTTATTTACAATAGCATTAAAAAATAAGACCAATACAAAAGAAATGTAAGACTACAAAACATTATTGAAAGTGATTAAGACCTAAATAAGTGGATACACATTCGGTATTTATTGAATGGAAGACATTACTATTAAGATGACAGCACTCCACAAATTGATCTACATATTCAACTCAGTTCCTATCAAAATCCTAGCTTCTCTTTTTGCAGAAATTGACTTGCTGATCTAAGATTCATTTGAAAATGCAAGGGACTCTGAATAACCAAAACAATCTTGAAGAAGAACAATGAAGTTGCAGAATCCACACTATATTATTTCAAAACTTACTATAAAGCTATAGTGGTTAAAATTGTGTAATACTAGAATAAGGATAGATATGTAGATGAATGGAATAGAATTGAGAGTCCAGAAGGAAGTCCATACATTTAAGGTCAATTGATTTTCCACAAGGGTACCAAGACTATTGAGTGGAAAAGAACAGTCTCTTCAGCAAGTGGTGCTGGAACAACTGGATCTCCACATACAAATGAATGAAGTTAGATCTCTTTCTCACATCATACAGAAAAATTAACCTCAAATGGAAGAAATATCTAAATGTATGATCCCAAACTATGATCTTAGACAAAAATGTAGGTGTACATTTTTTATGATATTGAATTAGTAATGATTTCTTTTTTTTCCTTTCCTTTTATGTGGAACAGGAAAGCTAGGGGGGTTTAGAGTTGTCTTACTGCTTTTCCCCTATGTCAGACAAGGCCCTGATAAAGCAGTTTTTCTTTAGAGCAGGTCTTTCACCCAGAGAATAGAATGCCCTGGGCATATTTCAAAATGGTTGCTATACCCACTCACTCTCTCTATCCTCCAATTAGGGTGTATTTTGAAATGGTTGCTTTTGCCTTTTCCTTGTGTAAAGAGCCTGAGGAAATTTTCTTCAGCCTTCATCATGAGAACCTGGTGGGGTTTCTGGAAGTAAAATTCATGAAAGTATGAGGGGCCCCCAAGACGGGACTCCAACAAGTTTTTAACTCTCAAGCTAGTCCACACTCAGCCACCAGTAAATTTATTGATTACCATTTAAGTGTTCCTACCAATTACTGGCTCTGTGGCTTCTGCTCTCAGGTAAACTGTGGTTTTCTATAGTCACCCATCTCTTTAGTGTTTGAGGAAGTGGTTTCCCTGTGACCTCTATTCTCGGACAGATCTAAGAAAGGTTGTTGATTTTCAGTTTGATTATCTTTTTTTCCATTGTGAAGATGGGAGTGATGACTTCCAAGTTCTCTACGTGTTGGAGTGGGAACTGGAAGACCTAATTAACTTCTTAAGAAACTGTCAAACTGTTTTCCATAGTGGATCTAGCACTTTACATTCCTGGCATTGTATGAGAGTTTCAGTTTCTCTCTTTGTCAACACGCCATCTTTCTAATTTTAGATATTCTAGTAGGTATCTAGTGGTTTCTTATTGCAGTTTTAATCTGCATTTCTCTAATAGCTACTGATGATGACCATTTTTTCATTTGCTTATTTGCCAGTTGCAAATCTTTATTAGTGAAGTATCTGTTCACATATTTTGCCCATTTTTTAAAAGTTGGGTTGTTTTCTTACAATTGAAGTTTATTTTTTCTTATACTCAAAATTTTAATTGCCACATAATTAATTGTACATATTTATGAGGTACAATGCAATGTTTCAGTACATTTTACATTGCATAATGATCAAATCATGGTAATTAGCATATCCATTGCCTTAAACATTTACCATGTCTTTGATGTAAGAATATTCAAAATCCTCTCTTCTAGCTAGAATATGAGTGTATTTTAAATGTACAACTATTTGTTTTCTCACAATCCTATAAAATGATAGCTTGAGTCAATGAGTTATCCCCCCAAGTCCTATCAATCTTGTCGATTTTTGTGAAATTTAATATTGTCTAGAAAACACTAAACAAACATAGTTATTCAGAGAGGATAACTGAGCCCTCTGGTTATTCTCTCTAACCCACAAAGGAAGCTGAACATTTGATGTAAACTTCTTCATCAGAGTAAATAATAAGAATCCCCTCCATTATATACAAAAGAAAAAATAACTGGAGAGATAGTCTCTGTTCTGAGGTTATTATGCTGTGGTCTTTGGTTTTGGTACATTCTCCCCCACCCCATGCCCTTCTCCCTCATCTTTAATGAGTGTCTGTATGTATGGCAGAACAGTATTTTTTTTTATTATTATACTTTAAGTTTCAGGGTACATGTGCACAATGTGCAGGTTAGTTACATATGTATACATGTGCCATGCTGGTGCGCTGCACCCACTAACTCGTCATCTAGCATTAGGTATATCTCCCAGTGCTATCCCTCCCCCCTCCCCCCACTGCACAACAGTCTCCAGAATGTGATGTTCCCCTTCCTGGGTCCATGTGTTCTCATTGTTCAGTTCCCACCTATGAGTGAGAACATGCAGTGTTTGGTTTTTTGTTCTTGGGATAGTTTACTGAGAATGATGATTTCCAATTTCATCCATGTCCCTACAAAGGACATGAACTCATCATTTTTATGGCTGCATAGTATTCCATGGTGTATATGTGCCACATTTTCTTAATCCAGTCTACCATTGTTGGACATTTTGGTTGGTTCCAAGTCTTTGCTATTGAGAACAGTGCCGCAATAAACATACGTGTGCATGTGTCTTTATAGCAGCATGATTTATAGTCCTTTGGGTATATATCCAGTAATGGGATTGCTGGGTCAAATGGTATTTCTAGTTCTAGATCCCTGAGGAGTCACCACACTGACTTCCACAATGGTTGAACTAGTTTACAGTCCCACCAACAGTGTAAAAGTGTTCCTATTTCTCCACATCCTCTCCAGCACCTGTTGTTTCCTGACTTTATAATGATTGCCATTCTCAAAGAACAGTATGTTTTTAAGTCTCTGCCATCTTGGGCCAAGCTCGTTCTATTCCTCACTCTACAAGAATCACAAGAGCACCAGGATTCTGTTTGGGTTGCCATGGACACAGCGTTCTTATTACAGAACTGACTTATTCTCAATACGAGATAAAGACCTAGAGGTGAGGTCTCTGCGCAAGGGAGTCCCATCTCATCCTCTGCCCTCTCTGTTGGCTAATGTTGTCCTCTCATCTTCATCAGGAGAATTAAAATCATGTAAAGTTTTGGCGGGGAAACTAGATGGTGGTCTCTGGGCCCATAGACTGGAAAGTTTGCTTATACCCAGCTGGGGGGACCACTAATTTACATTCATTTCCCCTCCCAGGGACCTTACAGAGTCCCCTTACCCTCAGGGTACTGGGGGACAACCAGTGGGTGTAAGGTCAAATAGCAATAACCTTGTTACTTGCCAGGAATTGAGTCAAGATTTGATTTAACAAGCTTGGTTTTGGGAACTAAAAAATGAAAAAAGGAAAAGCCGTAATCTTGAAAGGCAACAAGAGAGAAAACTGCTAACAGGATCTTGATTAAATTTCTCCCTCTTAGAGAATGTTGTACCAACTACACAAGACCTCAGACTTGTGTTATTCTAGCAGCTGAACACAGACCAGGCTCTTCTGACTGGCAATGGCTCTGAAAGCAGTCTGGTCTATAGGTAAGCAGGTCCAGGGCTTACAGGGAGAAACTCCCAGAAATCCAGCTCTGCTTTGGGTTGCCCCAGTTCATGTCCAAAGATGTGCTTGGGCCACATCTCTGGAGCACAAGGTGGTAGACTGAGAGCTTTGATATTTCTACTCCTACTGCAGATGAGCTGGTGTAACTCTGAAGGTATGGAATTTGCTGTTGTCTGTGACCCAGCAAATAAAAATAGAAAAATAATTAGATAGAAAAATAATAGAAATAGAAAAAATTTAAAAAACAAACCAAGCCTCATTCTATGCCTGTTAATGTCCTTAAAAATATGACATTTTAGGCAGTGTGATAATATGCATATAGTGGTCACTTTAATCTTTCCTACAGGGGAGGCAGGTTGCCCTAATGGTGGCTGCTCTGTTCGAGGATGGTGAGCTAGTGTTCATTTCAGGAAGCCACTCCACAGAGATGGCCACCAAAAGGGCTTCAGTGATCTCATCTCAATTAACACCTGAAACATTGTTAATTATTACAGTGAAGGTCACAAATGAGTTTTTATTAGTGAAATTGGTAGCTTACAAAGCAGCATGATGGATGTTACAATTATACGACATTTTAAGGTCTGTGAATCAACTAACGTGTTTTGGAGACAGCCCACCCTTGCATAAGCAGGATAAAGGTGTATGAGGGTGGCCTGTAGTGTATATTTAGAGACGACATCCAAGGCTTGATCCTCATATGGTCCTATCTCCAGGAAGGTTTAGGAAGATTTTGGCCTCTGAAACATTAGGAATCTGTTGAGATTGAAGCTTTCATGCTTGGAGCACCTAAAGTGCAGAAAGCTTACAGAAGCTTATGTACTGTGCCTGTTTGCTACTGAATGTTTTGTTAAATGAATATCTGTATGTGTGGTAGATTTGGTCGGAGACCTACTTTTCATTATAACCTGGTAGCATGATTATAAAGGTGTAGCTAACCTTCACCTAACTCAAACTTCTGTGGTTTCTCCTATCTACCAAAAAGCATTTAAGAATTCTGCATGACCACTTACTTCAGTTTAGGACAGTTTGCAATTCTCACCTTCCTTAGAGGGCAATTTAGCTAGTTACTTATTCATGTCCCATGAGGGAAGTCATTCTGTGTCCCAAAGCAGCTTATCAAAGTATTATTTCAGGATTCATTTAATACTCTCCCTGAAAGGAGTTCAGGTAACATCTATGGATGTCTCCTGCCCTTTTTGGAGATTAGTTTCCCAAGGAACTTGCTTAGCAATCCTTGCTTGTCACCTGAATCTGGAGTAATTTGAGTGTCTTCCAGTTCTCTTCCTCAGTAGAGGATGTCTGAAAAATGTAGTAATCATTTAATAAGGGTGCTTATGTCAAAAACTCAAATTCTTACCTTTTTGATGTTTTGAACATTTTCCCCATTATGATTTATTAGTGTATTCTGCATAGACAATCCAATTATTCATCCTGCTGAAAAGTAGTGGATGCCTATAGATGCCTTTCTTTTTGTAAAAGGTATTGTTTTTCCTGAAACCTGGATGAATTTCCAGGAGCCATTCAAGGACATGAGAACACCCACTTAGAACTTGAAAGGTTCCCCTCATGGCCCTCAGACCAGGCTAATGAGATGCGATAATTTGAACTCTGGCACTCCTTTCCTCACAGGCTGAAAGACTAGCACAATATTAATGTCTATCTGTGCTTAAAGGTTGGAGCTATTGATCAGAGTCCAAAATTAGTTTGTGTAGGAGAACTTTTCTTAAAGACATAAAAAGATACCATTTAATATATTGTTTCCAAAATGTGTTTCTCACACATTTCCACTGTAAGAAAGAGGTTCTGTGGTCAAATAAGTTAAGAAACCTCAGCACACTCTTAGAGAATCCCAGTTTTTATCAGCAGCAAAAAAATGCATGTGATCAGTTTCTTAAACTTATTTAAACGTTTGAAAAGTTAGAAAATTGTGGTGAAGAGCATTAATTCTTGAGTCTTGGGAGTGTATTACCTTGATGAGAATGTTTGTGTATTTGAAATTAAAAATGTGTATCAGTTTATATTGCCACATACTGATTTTTATGGCATAATATATGGTGTAGAGAGCAGGTTGTTTAAAAACCAATATTGGCAAAATGCTGAATATTCAACATGGTTTTATGAAGTTGACAGATGTGGAGTGTATTTTGCATGTGTCTTAACTTACAGATGAGGAAATGAAGTTGCAGAGAGATTAAATTAGCCAAGCCAGGGGTTTTGGTGCTAGTAAGTCTTGATATTGTAAAATGTAGCCATATAACTTTAAAAAAATGAATCCAGAAAAAAAGAAAACAAAATCATTGTAAACACATAATCCACTTTAAGTTCACAAAATGTTTTAAACATAATTAAGGCTATGCTTGACTTACCTACTTGTTTATTTCCTACCAAGGATGACCAGGAACTAGCCATTGATATAGAAACATTCATTATTCTTACATTTTCTTTCTTTTTTCTGTGTCCTCTCTCTCTCTCTCTCACAGACACACACACACACACACACACACACACACACACACACACACACAGTCTCAGAAGTACTAGTGCTGTATCCTGAAATTGTTTTAGTTCTTGTCAAAATTCCTCCGATTTTATTTTTTGTGTCTTGAAATACTGTTGAAATTAACATCCTCATTGCCTTCCAAAATATCTGACTTTATTTTTTTGTATGTGATTTTTACTCTTTGGTAGAGTTATGGATTCACTAACAGATTCTGCTTTATGCTCTGACAACTATGACCACAATGGGTGAGTTGACTTATCTAAGTGGTAAAAAATACTGGGAGCATCAATGGCAATAACAGCTTTCTATCAGAGACTTTAAGCATCTTTGGTAACATTGTTTTTGAACCAGAGTGGAAAAAATAAGATCAGGTCAGAAGAGGGATGCTTGGTACTCAAAGATTGTTTGTGACCCCAAGTAATTAGCAGCCAAAACCTTAGGAAACTGTCAGAATGCCTGTGTATGAGACTCTGTCAGGAGTGATCCAAAAGAGTTAGGGAATCCTACTTGGAGAAAGAAAGTGGTAGCATTGGACAGGCCCCAGAGGAGCCCTCAGCAGAAAGAAAGGAGCTAAGAGACCCTGTATCTATCCCTCACCCTTCAGAGCTGGTGCCCCGAACTCAAAGCCATCATCACATTGGATGGAGCCCCTGCCTCATGTTTAGTCACTTGATCCTGATTGAGGGGAAGCAAAGATATCTGTGACTCATGAAGAGCATGAAGGTGGTGGAGGGACTTGATAATTGGGAAATCAAAATGGGCAAGAATAGTGTGTGCCTACAAATCGGACATAAATTTGAAGCAAATTTAAGTTAAATTTGCTGCCACACATGATGATCAGGTTCAGTAATAAAGAATTGTATTTAAATCTTGATTCATTAAACTTTTTTGAGAGTCCTAAACAGTTTTTATTACCAACACATAAAGACTTCTTTCTAGAGAAAAATCAAGTACCAGGTGCCAAATAACAGATTTACCTGAGAATTTTTAGGAACAACACATTGCAATTTGTAGCGCAATCATAGCCAATTTGAATCAAAACAAAACAAAAAAAGTCGTGTATGCATTTATGTTGTTTCTTACTATTTACCTTTCAATCCTTTGCACTGACGCCAATGAATTGACATCAGAAATCTGTGCTGGAGTCAACAATGAAAGGTGATGTCATAATATATATTGGAGATGGGAGGAATTCAGGTTTTTGAAATTCAGTCTCAGAATTATTCATGGGAAAATAGTTTTCTGGACACTGATTCTAAAATTCTTTCTAAAAAGTTAGGTCTTAAGTAAGCTAATTCATATTTACCATATTTTTTAGATCAAGGAATTTTGTTGTTCACATAAATTGGTCATATCATTGCTCCATGTGGCAAATCTCTAATATATTTTTGCATTTGATGTTTGAAGTAAAATGCAGCAACCTTACATAGAGCTTTATAATAAGCTTCATGTGTTCAAATATAATTGGTACTTTTATAACCGATGCTGTTGTGTTTTACTTAGAATGTTATTTCTTATCGTAAGATTACCAATATAGTCCCCAAAATATTTTTTTATATTTTGAATTAATTGTCTACATTTAAATAAAACAAGAGCTGCTGCTGTTGTTACTATTCCCTTTTAACATCTCCCCAAATTAGTGTTTTATTCGGTACACTTTATGAGATGGCAGCTTAACAATACCCTTAATATGGCCCAAGGATTCTACAAAAGGAAATGCTGGTGTGTTTGTCAAAAGTGTTTTCTGGCTGGGCATGGTGGCTGAAGCCTGTAATCCCAGCACTTTGGGAGGCTGAGGCAGGTGGACCACGAGGTCAGGAGTTCAAGACCAGCCTGGCCAATATGGTAAAACCCTGTCTCTACTAAAAATAGAAAAATTAGCTGGGCGTGGTGGTGCATGCCTGTAGTCCCAGCTACTTGGGAGGCTGAGGCAGAAGGATCACTTCAATCCGGGAGGCAGAGGTTGCAGTGAGCTGAGACAGCACCACTGCACTGCAGCCTGGATGACGAGCAAAACTCTGTCTCAAAAAAAAAATGTTTCCTGTGCAGATTATCTATTCACACTTGCAGATTTGAAGTTTACTAAGCATGTGTGATATCTAAAAGTTCATTCGAAGAAAAAGTTCCAATGCCAAAAATGTTTAAAAGTGGGATATAGGAAGATGATGCAAAGATGGAATCTCCAAACATTTCCATTTTCACCAGGAGGACTTAATAGAATGTCTAACAGCTACTTTTAGATATTTTTGAAATGTGAGAGGGGTTAGTTAACACAAAGTAGACTGTGAGATTAAAATGTCTATTCATTCTAAAATCTCAGCATTCACTTTCTTATTGTCAAGTTATTCATCAGACTCTTTTCAGAGACAACCTAAATGCAAGCTCTTAGAATATTACAACATCTTTTATATGAGATGACAGGAAATAATTTCATGGCTTTTTAAAGGATAGATGAGGGATTTGAATACCACTTTCAGATTAAGTAACTCCTCTATTGAATACTACACTGTTTTACAGTTCATATCTCTATCATGGTTGAGAGGTATTGCCAGATTTATTCACTGACAAGTAAATATTATTCAGTTTATAATTAGTATCCACTTTGTGGGGAGATACTTTCAGTCTATGTTAAAACTATCTTCAATGTTCAGTATCCTGTTGCACATAAAACTTTCATGCACTAATTTTAGCATTCATTGATTTTTATGTGAATCAGTTGTAACTGATCATTACAAAATGGTGATTTTTTTTTAAAAATGTAGTTTTTCTGTGTTTAATAAGCATCATTCTATTATAAGGAGAGCTATTCCTACCCCTATTTATTCACTATTACTATGAACTTATAAATCCTTAACATTATGTCAATGAATTACAATCCTTTCTGTCATTATTTATTTTGATGTTTAAATGGTCCCATATTTGGCCAATGGGACTCCCTAAAATCTAGCCCGTTTGTCCTTTTGACTTGACATGTTCCCATCACTTTTTGAGCATTTCCCCAGCCCTGGAATCAGCCATTTACCCAAAGAACCTGATGTCCTTTGGAAACCAATATTTTGCATTTGGTATGCTCATTGCCATTGGCTCATTGCTACTTGTAGGCCTTTTTAATATCTAGATGAGAGTACAGATATACATATTGACATATGCAGATATATGCATATATGCAACAATTTTAATGTGTTTAATATACAGTATATACATTTATATGTGTTCTGTAAACTATGTATTATTGTTTTGCCTATATGTTTTTAAATTTACTTAAATGGTATTAAGTTGTATCTCATTTTGTTAGTTTTTTGCTGAGTAACATAAGATTATTCTTCTTGTGCATACCTTTTGTTATTGCTTTTAACTGGTATGAAAAATTCCACAGCATGCATCCCCTAGTGAGGAACACATATATGGCTTCCTACCATTTGCCTTCACAAAGAGTGCCGCTAAATGATTATCCTTATGCCAGACCCCTATAGACCTATTTGAGTATTTCTGTAGGAATATGAAACAGGACTTGATGGGCCATGGGATTGCGTATTTTGAATTTGACTGAATACTGCCTATTGCTCTCACAATGCTTATACCAGTCTGCATCTCATGAACAATGTATGATGGTTCCTACACATACACATTCACAACAACACTTGACATTATCAAACTTTCTAATTTATATAATCAGTCTAATAGGTCATAACATATTGCATTATGTTTTACTTTGAATTTATGTGATAACTTATGAATTTGAGCATTATTTTTTTGTTCTTATAGCATTTGGGATTTCTTCTGTAATGGTCCATTCATGAACTTAGACCATTTTTCCGCTAGTATTCCTATCTTTGTCTTGTTAATTTACATGTGCTGTTTTTGAATATTTTATATTTTAGAATAAGTTAATCAAATTTCTTTTAAAATCATGTTTAATTTTCAAAGTGATTATGTTACATTTGTAAACAATATAGCAAGAATTCCCTCTTTTTAGTAACATTAAAAACATGGTACTATTGTTTGGAGATTTGTAGCCCCAAACTGCATGTTGAAATTTGATCCCCAATGTTGGAGGGGGCCTAATGGAAGGTGTTTGGAAGATAAATAGATTAATTCCCTCCCTGGGAGTGAGGGTGAGTGAGTACTCACTCTGTTAGTTCTTGCAAGAGCTGGTGGTTTAAAAAGAGACCAGCGGCTTCCCCCACCTTGCTTCCCCTCTTGCCATTTGATCTCTGCACGTGTTAGTTCCCCTTTATCTTCCACCATCAAAGGGAGCAGCCTCAGAAGCAGATGTTGGCATCAGGCTTCTTGTGCAGCACACAACTGTGAGCCAAATAAACCTCTTTTCTTTATAAATTACCCAGCCTCAGGTATCCCTTATGGCAACACGAAACAGACTCAGATTCATGGAATCCCATTCAAAAGTTTGGACTATCGCTTTATGTATTCAAATCATCCTTCATGTCAATTTTAGACATTGAAGTTATGTTCTCTAATCCGTCATCTGCCTGTTAGCTTTGGCATTGTTGTTCTTCATTCTCTTTATGACAGAACTTTTTGCCTTATTATTTTACTTTTGAAGTTTGAAATTTTCCCACTTTCAGTCTACAAAGGTAATTTCTAATCCTCATAGTTTTAATTTACACATTTAATGCTTTAATCTACTTACAGTCTACCCTTAAATATGGTGTTAGGTAGGGATTTGGTTTCATTTTTCTCCCAGTGGTAGGCTGATTTTCCAAGTACCATCTATGAAACAGGTCATCCTTTTTCCTTGTTTATATAATCATCATCAATGACATATATCTACATAAGTTTATCTCTGAGCTCAATATTTTGCTCCATTGATACTTATGGCATCCCTACACCTTTTTTTATTACCATGATTAGTTAAGTTATTAATGGAGCCTTTATATGTTGACGTAGATTTTGTAGTAAGTATGTCAATATTCTAAAAAATTTTGTAAAATACCTATGTGGGCCCTGTGGTGTTTGGGAGAGGGAAGGGGTTTAAATACTAGGTTGATTTCTTTGTTACTTGAGTATTCTATTTCTATATAAATATATTTTCTTGCACTAATGTTAGTGTTTTATATTTGTCTAGGAATTTTTCCATTCCATCTAAGTTTTCACATTTATTAGCATATAATTGAATAATCTCATTTTAAAAAATGTTAGTTGTGTTCTAGTTATGCTCCCTTCTTGTACATTTTATTTGGATATTCACTCTGTTTGTTCTTGATTATTATTGCCACAGGTCTATTGTAGTAATCTTTTCAAAGAGACACACTTTTGTTTTGTTAATCTTCTCCACGGTTTTTTCTTCTCCAGTTCAGTGTCGTATGCTTACCTCCTTATGTTTTGCTTCCTTATTACTCCATAGACTTTGCCCTGTGCTCCTTTTCCAACCTCTCTACTTAAATGTGTACTCTTTGCTTTTAACCATCTTGACTTCTTATTAATGCTTATATATCGGTAAATTTTCTTCTAAATATTCCTTCATTGTATCCTACAAACTTTGTCATGTTATTATCAATCAGTTCTTAGTATATAAAATATTTTGTGATATCCCTTTTAACATAAGAGGTATTCAGTAATGTGTAATTTAGTTTCAAATGTGGGTTTTTTTTTTAAAAGCTAATCATATTACAGTATATTCAGAGAACAGCAATATGATATTGATCCTGTGGACTTTATCCTGTGGAAGCTTTCTTTATGGTACAGAGAGCTATGATGTTGGTCTGTCCTTGTGCCCTCATAAGTCTTTTGCTCTATCTAGAAGGTGTTAGAATTTTCTCTTAGTCTCCATTAGATACTTAAAGCTGATTTATTTCTTCTTTCTTGAATTCTGGGAAATTTATCATCATAAATTTTCACATTTTATTTTGCATTTTTAGTTTTCATTTCTTCTTAGATTTCCATATTCTAGATGTTAGATGGCTGTTTTTATCCTCTCTAACATTCTTCTTTTCTCTAATGTGTTCGCTTTATTCTTTTCTACTATTTTCTGGGTAAGTTTCTCAATCAAATCTTCTAACTCTAAATTTATTAGCTTTTCACAGGTACCCAAACTACTATTTATCCCTCAACAATTTATATTTTTTTTGACAGTCATACTTTTACAGTTAAGGCTTTCTGTTTTATTTTTTCTTAGGACTCCCATTCTCATTTCATATTTCCACATCTTCCTTTGTGTCCTCTTATCCTTAAGAATATTTGTCATGCTTACTTTAAAATCTTGGTCAGGGTGTTCCAGTAGTTTTGCTACAGTAGGTATGCTGTTGTTCAGCTTGTTGTATTTCTTTTTCAGTAGTTGTATTCCTCAGGTATCTAATCATGTTGGTTTGTGAACACAGATTTTTTGTGGCTATTGGCTACTCTGGTCATTTGTATTGGGGAAGGACTGAAGTACAATCTCAGTCTGCTGCTGTTCTTGCAACATAATTATTAATGGCACCCACTTTTTCCTTTCAAAAGTGTCCTGGTTTGGGCAGGAATTATATAGTCAGTCTGACTGAAATCTAGGACGTAAGCTGCGTCATTGTCAGTAAGTTTAAAATGAAGAGAAGTGATGCGCCCCAGGGTAGAGAGTCTCAGGAATCATGAAACACTGACCAGGCAACTCCTCTGGGTTGTGAAAAGGAAAAACTTTAGACAAGGTAAATTTAAGAGTTTAATAGTGCAAGAATGATTCATGAGTTGGGAAGCTTTTAAAATCAGAACAGGTTCTGAGAACTGCAAACTGGCAATGTGGCCAGACAGCATTATGGACAGAAAATGGAAGTGAGGTCCAGAAAGAGCTTTGTTGTTTACAACTGGTTACAGCTGGATGTTTTGTCTTATTTGAATCAGTCAGCCACCCACAGTTGACTGAAGCTCAGCTGCTGTAATTGACTGAGACAGAGCTATCTGTTACAAGTGTATATTCTATTCATAATTATGCTGTTAGTTTACACACTAGGTTAGCTTGCAGTTTGTTGCATAAGGACTCAAGTACAGAGGCAACCTCAGGGAAAATTTATTTAATTAAACAACTGTATCACCTTGAAGCTCCTTAACAAAGCAGCATTGGAGGAGACAATCTCTCTGGTTTGTAACCTGGGCTTTGGAGATGGAGGCAGGTGGAGGAGTGAAGGCCCAAGGATGGCTCTTCAGCCCTTCCCTGTTTTCATCAGCCAGCCTAATGCTCTCCTAATTTTACTGTAACTACTCCTGGGTAGTTGCTGTTGCTGTCTATGGAGACAGGCAGGGATGGTCACTATTGTTTCCAAATGGCTAAATTGCATGTGTTGTGTTTTGTTTTGTTTTGCTTTGTTTTGTTTTGTTTTGTTTTTTAGAACAGCTAGTTTATTAGTTGTAGGGTTATTGTAGCTAATTTGAATAAAAATTAAGCCTACAAATTCACATGCTGTTTGATTATGTACAATTTAGTTTAATTCTTTAGCTCTGACCCAAATGAAGTGATATCACTAACCCATGATGGAGTCCTCAGTGAAAGTGAAATGATATCACTAGCCTATAATGAAGTCATGAGTGAAGGGTGTTGTGTGAGTGTGTGTTCATAAAAATACACCCAAATGTTAACTATAGAGTTTCTGGGACACTGTTTCTAAAGTACTGGTAGTTTCAGCTTCTGTATGTAACATCCTTTTCTTTTGGGGTCTAGTTGGATACAAGATAAATAGATCACAAGAAGTCTACTTCTTCTTCCTAGCTGAGTTGACTATTAGCCACAACTTTTAGAAAACTGTTGGATTGCCTGTGTATGAGATTCTACCAGGTTGGGCTATATTAGTTTCTAGGGCTGCTTTAACAAAGTATCACAAACCAAGTGGCTTAAACAAAAATTAATGATCTCATAGTCCTAGAGACTAGAAATCTGAAATTGAGATTGTCAGTAGGGTTGGCTTTTTATGAAGGCTATAAGGAAGAATCTGATACCTCTTTGCTAGCTTTTGGTGGTTGCTGGCAATCTTTGGCATTCCTTGGCAGGTAGACTCATGTCTAGAGTAACTGCAGCTATTTGACCAAAAGTGTAAGTCCAAATTGTGTTTTTATCTGAATAATATGCGTTTATAATTCCCCAGCCCACAGCCAATTGAGTTGATGGTAGTAACCTATGATAGAGCCACCCATGAAATGTGAATTAAAAACAAAGATTTATATACATGTAAGTGTATATATACATATATACACATAAGATACATGCATGCATACACATACACACACAGAAACATAAAACAATGAAAGAGAAAGAGAAGTTGATATTTGTAAAATTCACTGTCAGGCATATCCTTGGAAATACAGAGTATCTTTTACACTATGTCTAAATCTTCTCACTGTAGGATCTATAGATAACCTTCTATTTTTTTTTCAGACCAAATTGGATAAAAGAGGATGAAGTCATGAAAGGGATGCTTCTTCCTCTTAGTATATTTGTCACTCTAAGTTAGTAGTATCCAATCCCTTAGGAACCTCTGAGGTTTTCCACTTACGAGACTGTCCTACTACTAGAGTGGGCCAAAGGGAGAGAGAATCCTATTTGGAGCAATGGGGAGGTAACAGGTGACAGGGAGGAGTGAGGCACACAGCAAAAAGAACAGAGTTCATGAAACCGTAATGGGTTCCTCACCCTCTAGAGTTCTACCACCATGTGAGGCTGGTGCCCCAAACCAAACCCAAACCCACAATCATTTTGTAGGGAGTTCCTGACTCAGGCCTACAGCTACATGGTCATATCTTCTGGGCAGGAAAGATAGCCATGATGGGTGAAAGTAAAGAAGTGACAGAAGGACTTAGGAATCAAGCATTTAGATGGGGTAAGAGGCATGTTTCCTTACAGACTGCAGTTACATTAGAAATAAATGCCACTGGCAGGCATGGTGGCTCATATCTGTAATCCCAGCACTTTGGGAGGCCAAGACAGCTAGATCACTTGAGGCCAGGAATTTCAGACCAGCCTGACCAACATGGCAAAACCCTGTCTCTACTAAAAGTACAAAAATTAGGCAGGTGTGGTCATGTCTGTAATGGTGCATGTCTGTAATCGCATCTACTCAGGAGGCTGAGGAAGGAGAATTGCTTGAACCTGGGAGACGGAGGTTGCAGTGAGCCAAGATCGCACCACTGCACTCCAGCCTCGGTGAGAGTGAGACTCCACCTAAAAAAAAGGATACACCTAGTTTGAATTAGTGATATACACATGAATATTTAAATATTAACCAGATAGTACATTATAGGGTAAATGTAGCTGTTTGATCCAAAAAGTAAGTTTAGAATTACATGTGTGTCCAACTATCTACGTTTATATTCCTTTAGCCTGCATACAGAATTGACATCAATAACCTATGATAGAACCACCAATGAAATGTGAATTATAAAATATATATACACAAATATTTAAAGAAATATATATGCAGTTATACATACTTCTGTCAATCTAGACACACAAACACAGGGAGAGAGAGAAAGGGAGAGAAAGAGAAAAGAGAGAGAGAAACAACAGAGAGAAAGATGAGGATTATGTTCTTACTCTCAGGATCATCCATGGCCATACAGAATGTCTTTTACACTGTTTATAAACCTCCTCACTATAGGCCCTGCTGGCCCCTTATCCAGCTTTTTGATTAAATTGGATAAAAAAGGAACAGGGCAAAAAAGGGAAACTTCTTGTTATTGTCTTGTCACCCTTAGTAGCAGGCACATACTTAGGAAAGTCAGATTTCCTGTGTATGAGACATACTAGAGTGGACCAAGGGAAGAAAACCCTATGCAGAGCAACAAGCGAGTAGCAGTGGACAGGGAGCAGTGGAGCCCTTAGGGAAAAACAAACAGAGCTAATGGCCCTGGCAGAGTTCCTCACACCCAGAGCTCTACCACCATGTGAGGCTAACACTACAAGCCCACACCCATCATCACATTGTATGGGGCAGTTTCTTGACCCTGTGTGAGAGCAGAGGAGACAGCTATGATGGTGAAAAGAAGGCACTGATGAAGGGATTTTAGTGTCAGGAAATGAGATGAGGTCAAGGGGATTTGTATATAGAAACTGCAGCTGAATTTGAAATAAAGTAAACCACCAAATGCTTAGTTTGTGCTTCATTTAGTTGTAAAGAACTAAACATCGCTTGTGAGTAATTCAAACCAGAAAGTGAAGTCTAGGATGTCATATTGGTGTTGGACGATACATATATATATTTAAATTCTGTAGCACTGCCAAGTCTAAATTCAAATCACTACCCTGGAATGGAGCTATCAGTGAATAGTGAGACAGAAATAAATCAATATAGAGGCTGTGCACGGTGGATCACGCCTGTAATCCCAGCACTTTGGGAGGCCGAGGCAGGTGGATCGAGACCATCCTGGCTAACATGGTGAAACCCCGTCTCTACTAAAAATACAAAAAATTAGCTGCGTGTGGTAGCGGGCACCTGTAGTCCCAGCTACTCGGGAGGCTGAGGCAGGAGAATGGCATGAACCCGGGAGGTGGAGACTGCAGTGAGCCAAGATCATGCCACTGCACTCCAGCCTGGGCAACAGAGGCAGACTCCATCTCAAAAAAAAAAAAGAAAACGAAATAAATCAATATAGGTATAAGGATATATGAACAAGGGAGGAAACAATTATATACCATTTATATATACCTATATGCATTCATATTAAATCAAGGCATGCACCCACAGGTACTGCAGAGAAATATAAAGGTTGAGATTAGGGAAGTTCCCATTCAAGGACATTAATGGAAAAACAAAAAACTTTGACACATGTGTTTATGTGATCTCACTATAGGATATGAAGGTGACTTTATGTCTTGAATGAATTTAGATAAAAGATGACCACATAAAAAGAAGAATGATTTTTCTTACTAGTCTGTTTGATACTCTTGAGTAAAAATAAAAAATAATTTTCAGACTGCCTATATGTTAGACCTTACTATAATGGCTGAGGACAGCAGAGAATCCTCTTTGGAAACCGGAAAGGACAGCAGGGACGGAGAGTAGTGAAGACCTCAGGAGAAGAGAAAAAAGCTAACAACGCTTGAACTGTTTTTAACCCTGCAGAACTCTGCCACAATACAGGGTGGTACTCAAAACCCCAAATACCATCATATTGGATTGTGTCCTTGACTCAGACCTGCAGTTACTTTACCCTACTTGTGGACCAAGAGAGACAATCAAGTGAAGAAGTAATGGAGGGCTTTCAAGGCAGCACATTTAGTGGAATAAGAGGGCTGACTACCTCCACACAAAAGTTTAGTTTGAAATAGCTGCCACCACAAAGGCTGTCACACATTGGTACTGAGGTCATAATAAAGAGGTTTATTTAAATCTGAAAGCATTACTATTTTCCCCAGTCTAAGATGTTGGTTGCCATCATATAAATCATCCTTTCTAATAAAAAAATGGCATTTCAGAACCAAATAGTGCTATGCACATGAATAGTCAGAACTTAACTGGTTTATGTGCAGAGTAATGAAAGCTAGTTTTACCAGAAAAGTAAATTTTGAATTGTGTCTCCTGTCTGACTGTATTCTTTTGTCGTCCTCTAGTCCACCCACAAATGAATTATCAGGTGTGAACCCACAGGCAAGTATGAATGAAAGGTGAGTTATGCGTAAGTGTTTCTTTCTTTATCTAATTATAACTGAGCATAGTAGTATTCACACACACAGGCGCATAAACAAATATATCCATCCATCCATCCATGCATCCATCTGTACACACTTCTCTCAAACACATCCACTAACAAACCTATGCACACAACGGAAACATACAACAAGGAGACAGACGGACATTTGTGGAATTTATTCTGAGAAGCCTGCATGGCCATAGAGAGTGGTTTTTAACAGGATTTCCAATTCTTCTCATAGTAGCCTTTGTAGGTAACATTGCATCCTTTTCTAATGGAGTGATATAAAAAGCAGCAGGTCATAGGAGAGCTGCTGCTTCCTGTTAGTGTATTTGTCACTGTTAGTTCCTAGTAAGTAGCTTCTTAAAGGACTCAAATTTCCTGAGTTTGAGAGCCTACCAGATTGACAGAAGGGAGGAGAAAATCCTATTCACAACATGGAGGAGATAGCAGCTGACAAGAAGCAGTGAAGCCCTGGGCAGAAAAGAACAGAGCTAATAGAACATGAACTTGTCTTTCACACTCCAGAGCTCTGTCAACATATGAGGTTGGTGCTAAAACATAAGCACAAGCACACAATCTCATTGGATGCAGCCCTTCCTTAGGCCCACAGCTACTTGCCTGTGTCCCATGGACAGGAAAGACTAGCATGATGGGTGAAAGGAAAGACGTGATGGAGAGATCCAGGAAATGGGCCATAGATGGGATTAGAAGGAGGAATGCCTACACAGTGGAGTTGAATTTAAAAGAAATTCACCCACAAAAGGCTGTCTGTCATGCATTGGCCAGCTCCAGTGGTAGAGAGTTTTGGTGAACTCTTGAGTCAGTGAGTCTTAGATACGTGTAAAGTATGTGCTGCAAGCATATAAATTATGATGTGTAGGGTAAATGGCATGGCAGATTCCAAAGAACCAAATACACACATGACTTCTGTAATGGTAAGGCAATTTACAGGTTGAAAAGTAGTTGGAAGTTCGGGTGCGGTGGCTCAGGCCTGTAGTCCTAGCACTTTGGGAGGCCAGGGTGGGTGGCTAACGAGATCAGTAGTTCAAGGCCAGCCTGGCCAACATGGTGAAACCCCATCTCTACTAAAAATGCAAAATTAGCCAGATGTGGTGGCGGGCACCTGTAGTCCCTGCTACTCGGGAGGCTGAGGCAGGAGAATTGCTTGAACCCAGGAGGCAGAGGTTGCAGTGAGCCGAGATCATGCCACTGCACTCAAGCTTGGGTGACAGAGTGAGTCGAAACAAACAACAAACAACAACAACAAACAAAAACAATAAACCAAAATAAAAGAAATTGGAATTATTTTGAACTGAAAACCTTAAGTCTAGGAAGTTACATGTTGTCTTAGTATGTACATGTTAAGTTCTTTGGCATGGCCCTGTGTGTTAATTGAGAGTACCTTCCAGTAGGCTGGCCAATGCACCATGTAATATCAAGGAATAGAGTTATACATGTATCTATGCATATACAAACACATACATACATGCATTCGTACACACAAGAGAGTCTGAGTAGGGCTATTGAGTGTGACAAGCATCCATGGGAACAAGGAGTTCCCTTGAAACTATTTCTAGAGTCTTCTCAGAATGAGCTTTGTATGCAATATTGTTTTTTGGATGGAGGTAGGAAAATGGGGAGGAACTCATAGAGGGAGGCTTTTTATGTTAGTGTTTGTCACATTACCTTTATGTGAGAATGAGACTGTGCTAGTAGTGTGGACCAAGGGAGAAGTGAATCCTGCTTGCAGTGAGAAGGAGATAGGAGTGGACAAAGATCAGAGAAATCCCAGCCAAAACAAAGAACCGAGCTAATAACCCTGGAATTATTTCACCCCCTCCAGAGCTCTGCTGTTATGTGAGGCTGACTGCCTTTGCCCATACCCACCCTCACATGGGATGGAGCCCTTTCTTGAGGCCTCTAGCTACTTGGCCACAACTCTTGGGCAGGAAAGACAACTAGGATGGGTGAAAAGTGAGGAGGTGATTGGAGGTGATAGAGAATGAGGAACTCAGATGGGATTATAAGAACGGAGACTCAGAAACTAAATTTGAACTAGAATTAAATGCTCTCCAAAAATGCTGTTACACCTTGAGGTGTAGATACCCTTACTTAATCTGCATGCATCGGTATGTTCACAGCCTAAAATTCTCACTGTTGGCATATGAAACCTCATTTCTAATAAGACAAATGCCATCCCAGGTCAATTTAGTGATATACATACATGTGAATAATAAAAATGTAACTGGGGAATGACACATAGACTAACTATAGCTATTTGTTGCAAAACCTTAGAATTAAGCATTGTGTCTGACTCTGACCATATTTGTCCTCTAGTCCCGATCCGAATGACCTGGTGGGAGTCATCACTGAGCGCGGCCCCAGTGACAGGTGAGTTATAAAAGATGTACACATGACCAGGTGCAATGGTTCACACCTGTAATCTGAGCACTTTGGGAGGCTGAAGCAGGCAGATACCCTGAGGTCGGGTGTTCGAGACCAGGCTGGCAAACATCATGAAACCCTGTCTCTACTAAAACTACAAGAACTAGCCAGGTGTGGTGGCAGTTGCCTCTAATCCCAGCTACTCAGGAGGCTGAGGCAGGAGAATCTTTTGAACCTGGGGTAGTGGAGTTTGCAGTGACTGAGAACATGCCACTGCATTCCACCCTGGGCAGCAGGAGCGAAACTTTGTTGCAAAAAAGAAAAAAAAAAAAAAGATGTACACACACACACACAAAACAGTGACAGAGAAAGAGACCGAGATTGGTGGGATTAACTCCCAGATGTGTTCATGATAATACAGGGTTTCTTTGACACAGGTTCTTTATCATCTCACTATATCATGTATAGATAACTTCCACATTTTTACATTGTTTAGAAAAAAAGAAACTGACTATAGAGAGAGGCTTCCATCTGTTACTGTCTTGTCACCCTTAGTAAGTAGCAGGCAAATGCTTTGGAAAAGCAGATTTTCTGTGTACCAGACACACCAGAGTAGGCCGAGGGAAGACAGAATCCTGTTTAGAGTGAGGAGTAGGTAGGAGTACTTGGGGAACTGTGAAGCCTTCGGCAGAAAGCAACAGAGCTAAGAGCCTTGGAGGTGTTCTCCACCCTCCAGAACTCTGCCACCATGGAGGCTGGTGCTCCAAACCTCAAATCACCATCCTATTGGATTGTGCCCCTGTGTCAGACCTCTAGTTACCTGACCCTTTTTGTGGGGCATGAGAAACCACCATGCTGAGTGAACATAAGGAGCTAATGGAGGGCCTTTTAAGCGGGACATTGAATGGAATAAGAGGGCTGACTACCTACAAACTGGAGTTGAGTTTGAAATAACTGCCACCACAAAGTCTGTCACACATTGGGACTGAGGTCATAATAAAGAGGTTTACTTAAATCGGGAATCATTACTATTTTCCCCCACCTAAGATTTTGGTTGTTGCCATATAAATCCTCATTTCTAATAAAGAGAAAAAGACATTCCAGGTTCCAATAGTGCTATACACATGAATAGTCAGAAATTAATTGGTTTCTGTCTAGAGTAGTGAGAGGTAATTTTTCCAAAATATAAATTCAGAATTATGTCTTCTCTCTGACTGTATTCTCTTATTATCCGCTAGTCCACAGACAAGTGAATTTAAAGGAGCAACAAAGGAGGCACCTGTGAAAGAAACGTGAGTAATAGATAGTTAAATAAAGTTACCCATCAGCATAAGTGTGCATAGAACTATACACACACACAGGCACATGGGCAAATATATCCATCCATCCATCCATCCATCCATCCATCCATCCATCCATTCATCCATCCATCCACGCTTCTCTTCACCACGGAAACTACACAAACTAATCCATGCACACAATGGAAACCTAAAATAAGGAGAAAGGAAACTGATAGACATTTGTGGAATTTACTCTCAGGGGCCTGCATGGCCATATAGATTTTTTTTTAACAGAGTTTCCAATTCGTCTCATTGTAGCATTTTTTAGTAACTTTGCATCCTTCTTTGATGAAGTTGTATAAAGAGGAGCAAGTAATAGGAGAGTTGCTTCTTCCTGTTAGTGTATTTGTCACTCTTAGTTCCTAGTAAGCAGTTTTTTTTATCGGACTCAGATTTCCTGAGTTGAGACCCTACCAGATTGGCCCAAGGCAGGAGAGAATCCTATTTGCAACACGGAGGAGATAGTGGCCAATAAGGAGCAGTGAAGCTTTGGGCTGAAAAGAACAGAACTACTGGAATGTGAACTTGTCCCTCACCCTCCAGAGCTCAGTCCACATGTGAGGCTGGTGCCCAGACCCAACCCCAAACCAACCACCTCACTGGATGCAGCCCTTTCTTAGGCCCGCAACTACTTGCCTATATCTCATGGACAGCAAAGACTAGCAAGATGGGTGAAGGATGGAGGTGATGGAGGCATTCAGGAAGTCAGCCCTTAATGGGATTAGCAGGCTGACCACCTGCACAGTGGAGTTGAATTGAAAAGAAATTTACCCTCAAAAGGCTGACATGCCCTGGTCAGCTTCAGTGGTAGAGAATTCAGTTAAATCTTGAGTCACTGAGTCTTGGATAGATGTAAAATGTGTGCTACAGTTATATAAAGTATGATGTGTAGGGAAAATGGCATGGCAGATTCTAACTAACCAAATGCACCAGAATTCTGTAAGGTTCAAGCAGTTTACATGTTGAAAGTTAATTGGAACTGTTTTTCACTGAAAACGTTAAGTCTGGGAGTTACATGTTGTCTTACTATGTATGTTTTAAGTTCTTTGGCACTGCTGTGTGTGTGAAATGAAAGAGTGTCTTGTGGTAGACTGGCCACTGCAACATATGAACTACAGAAATACAATTATACATGTATGGATGTATATATGGACACACGTATACATGCATTCATACCCACAACATGCAGAAAGATTGAGATTCGGGATATTGACTCTCATGAGCATCCATGTGAATGAGGAGTTCCCTTGAGACTAGTTTTAGAGTCTTCTCAGGATGAGCTTTGTGAAGAATATTCTTTTGTTATTTGGATGGAGGCAGGAAAATGTGGAAGAACTCACAGAAGGAGGCTTTTTATGTTAGTGTTTGTCACTTTTAGTTTCTGTGGGAATGAGACTCTACTAGTAGTGTGGATCAAGGGGGAAGCAAATCCTGCTTGGAACCAGAAGGAGATAGCAGTAGACAAAGAGCAGAGACTCCCTGGCAAAGAAGAGAACAGACATAATAGCCCTGGAAGTATTCCCTACCCTCCAGAGTTCTGCCACTATGTGAGGCTGCCACTATGCCTGAGCCCATACCCATCATCACACAGAATGCAGCCCTTGCTTGATGTCTTCTGCTACTTGGCCCTAACTCTTGGGCAGGAAAGACAACTAGGATTGGTGAAAAGTGAGGAGGTGATTGGAAGTGAATGAGAATGAGGAATTCAGATGGGATTATAAGAAGGAGAACTTACAAACTAAAGTTGAACTGGAATTAAATCCCCTCAAAAGAGCTGTTACACATTGAGGTGAAGATACAGTCACTTCCCCTAGATGCATCGCTATGTTCACAGCCTAAGATATTCACTGTTGGCATAGAAAACCTTGTTTCTAATAAAAAAAAGTCATACCAGGTCAGTTTAGTGATATAAGTACATGTGAATATTTAAAGTGTAACCAGAGGGGAATAACTCATAGAGTAACTGTAGCTATTTGGTGCAAAACATTTAGAATTAGGCGTCGTGTCTGTTTCTGACCATATTTGTCCTTTAGTCCCCATCCAAATGAGCCAATGGCAGTCATCACTGATGGAGGCATCAAGGACATGTGAGTTTTAAAAGATGTACTCACACACACACAAACATAACTATGACAGAGAGATAGAGACAGACAGAGAGAGAGAGATTGAGATTAGTGGGATTTAGTCTCAGGAGTGTCCACAGCAATAGAGTGTCTGTGACACAGTTTATTTATGTTCTCACTGTAGCATGTATAGGTAAATTTCCACATTTTTACAGTTGTTTTGGAAAAAAGAGAAACAGACTACAGAAGGAGGCTTCTGTTTGTTACTGTCTTGTCACCCTTAGTAAGTAGCAGGCAAATACCTTGGAAACTCAGATTTCTGTGTATGAGACATACCAGAGTGGGCCAAGGGAAGAGAGAATCGTGTTTGGAGTGAGGAGGAGGTAGGAGTACTTGGGGAACTGGAAATTTGAAGCCTTCAGCAGAAAGCAACAGAGCTAAGAGCCTTGGAGGTGTTCTCCACCCTCCAGAACTCTGCCACCATGGAGGCTGGTGCTCCAAACCTCAAATCACCATCCTATTGGATTGTGCCCCTGTGTCAGACCTCTAGTTATCTGACCCTTTTTGTGGGGCATGAGAAACCACCATGCTGAGTGAACATAAGGAGCTAATGGAGGGCCTTTTAAGCGGGACATTGAATGGAATAAGAGGGCTGACTACCTACAAACTGGAGTTGAGTTTGAAATAACTGCCACCACAAAGTCTGTCACACATTGGGACTGAGGTCATAATAAAGAGGTTTACTTAAATCGGGAATCATTACTATTTTCCCCCACCTAAGATTTTGGTTGTTGCCATATAAATCCTCATTTCTAATAAAGAGAAAAAGACATTCCAGGTTCCAATAGTGCTATACACATGAATAGTCAGAAATTAATTGGTTTCTGTCTAGAGTAGTGAGAGGTAATTTTTCCAAAATATAAATTCAGAATTATGTCTTCTCTCTGACTGTATTCTCTTATCATCCACTAGTCCACAGACAAATGAATTTAAAGGCACAACCGAGGAGACACCTGCGAAAGAAACGTGAGTAATAAATAGTTAAATAAAGTCATCCGTCAGCATAAGTGTGCATAGAACTATACACACACAGGCACATGAGCAAATATATCCATCCATCGATCCATCCATCCATCCATCCATCCATCCATCCATCCATCCACACTTCTCTTCAACACATGTACACAAACTAATCCATGCACATGATGGAAACAGACCAAAGAGAAAGGAGACTGATGGACATTTGTGGAATTTACTCTCAGGAGCCTGCATGGCCACAGAGATTTTTTTTTTTTTAACAGAGTTTCCAATTAGTCTCATTGCAGCATTTGTTAGTAACTTTGCATCCTTCTTTGGTGGAGTTGTATAAAAAGGAGCAGGTCATATGAGAGTTGCTTCTTCCTGTTAGTGTATTTGGCACCCTTAGTTCCTACTAAGCAGTTTTTTAATGGAACTCAGATTTCTGACAGAAATTAATTGGTTTCTGTCTAGAGAAATAAAAGCTAATTTTCCAAAAAAGTAAATTTAGAATCGTGTCTCCTATCTGACTGTATTCTTTTATCATCCTCTAGCCCACACACAGGTGAATTTAAAGGAGCAGCCCTGGTGTCACCTATCAGTAAAAGGTGAGTTATAAATACATGAAGACACACGTTTGCATAAGAGTGCATAGAGCTATACACACACCAAGCACATACACAAATATATCCATCCATCTTCATCCATACACACTTTGGCAACACATTTACACAAACAAACGCATGCACAAAATGGAAACACAAAACACGGTGACAGATGGACATTTGTGGAATTTATTCTCAGGAGCCTGCATGGCCATACAGAGTGTTTTTTAACAGGGTTTCCAATTCTTCTCATTGTAGCATTTGTAGATAACTTTGTATCCTTTTTTGATGGAGTTGTATAAGGAGATCAGTTCACAGGAGAGCTGCTTCTTCCTGTTAGTGTATTTGTCACCCTCAGTTTCTGGTAGGCAATTTTTTAAGGGATTCAGGTTTCCTGAGTTTGAGACCATACCATAGTGTTCCAAGAAAGGAGAATCCTATTTGCAACATGGAGGAGATAGCAGCCAATGAGGAGTAGTGAAGCTCTGGGAAAAAAAGAATGGAGCTAATGGAACATGGACTTGTCCCACACACTCGAGAGCTCTGTCCACATGTGAGGTTGGTGCCTAGACCCAACCCAAACCCACCACCTCATTGGATGCCGCTTTCCTCAAGTGCACGGGTACTTCACTGTGTCACATGGGCAGGAGAGACTAGCATGATCAGTGAGAGTAAGGAGGTGGTGGAGGGTTTTCCCAGTCATGTGAAAACCTCTCCTGGAAATAAATCATAAAGGTGTAAGTAATATGGAAAACCTGATTCAAGTTAATTATAGTGTAATGCTCAAGAAACCTTGTAAAATGAATGAGATTTTACAGAAGGAATAAAAGGATTGTGTTTAATCAATGGCTGATTAAGGAAACATCTAGGTGAGAATTCTGTGGTTGCTCATTAAGCAACAGCATGTGCGTTTTGTACGTAGCATTGATTTTTAAGCCAATAAATAAATTTTTAAAAGAATTTGTTTTATAGGATATTGGAGGCATGGGCAAATTAAAATGTATTTCTATTATTATTATTATTATTATTTTAGATGAAGGCTTGCTGTTGCCCAAGCTGGAGTGCAGTAGCGCAATCTCGGCTCACTGTAACCTCCATCTCCTGGGTTCAAGTGATTTTCCTGCCTCAGCCTCCTGAGTAGCTGGGACTGCAGTCACGTGCCACCATGCCAGACTAATTTTTTGTATTTTTGGTAGGGGCGGGGTTTCACTATATTGGCCAGGCTGGTCTTGAACTCCTGCCCTCGTGATCCACCCGCCTCAGCCTTCCAAACTGCTGTGTTTACAGTCATGAGTCACCACACCTGGCTAAAATGTATTTCTAATATGTACATATGTTTAATTTATATATAATTAATCTCTGATTAACTGACCATTGATAAATGAGTCTCTGTTAATTGTTGGACTTACTGGGCTTATGTGGTAGGATTTGCATACCCTCACTTATTATATATGTATGTATTTCATATTTATGGAAAATCTACTCCTTTTGGTGCAAAAAAATGTATTTGCTAATAGTGTCAAAAAAGAGAAATTCATTATATGTCTATGTACCTTTTTACTCCATCAGCACTGCCTTCAGTGAAATGACAACTGTAACACATGAAAATTTGAGGTTTAAGTAAATAAAAAGCTAGATGTAAACATATATATGTAAATACACACACAGAGACACACACAAAAGTATACATGTAGAAAAGAGAGATTCAGATTTCGGAAGTTCATTGTATGGAGCATCCATAACAATACAGAGTGTTTTAGACACTGTTTTCTAAAGTCTTATTACTGTAGTATCTGCAGATACATTTCTTTCTTCAATCTAGTTGGATAAAAGAGGAATAGGTCTTAAGAGGAATGCTTCTTATTCCTATTCCATTGGTCACCCTTATTTAGCAGCACCCTGAAACCTTAGAAAAATATGAGAACGTGTGTATTGTATGACACTCTACTAGAGTGAGCCAAAAGAGGCAACAATCCTATTTGATGAAAGGAGGAGGTAACAGTGGGCAGGGAGCTGAGGAGCTCTCAACAGAAAAGAGCAAAGCTGATAGACCCCTGGTCTCTTCGTCTGTTACCACATGAGGCTACTGCCCCAAAGGTAAACCCACCCTCAGATTGTATGGTGGCCCTGCCTTGGGTCTGTAGTTACTTAACCCTATCTGAGGGGCAGGAAAGACATCGATGATCGGTGAAGAGTTACTGGTGGTATTTGAACGTGAGAAGGCAGAAAATTACAAGGGCAAGCAAGATGGGTGTTTACAAACTAAAGTTGATTTTATGTAAATTTTGCCAGAAACAGTAACTTGGGGATTAGGTTTAGGAGTAAAGAAATGTATATAAACTTGATTCATTAAGTTTTTTTTACAGGCTGAAAAATTTCATTACAAACATCTAAAACCTCATTTGCAGAGAAAAATTAAATACCATGTTTCAAATAAATAACTGATTAATGTCCATTTTTCAGGGTAACTAGATTATAAATTGTGGAATAGTTATTGCTAATTTGTATCAGAAAATTAAGTCTAGGATAACATGTGGAGTCTTGCTATGTTCATTTTTAATCCTTTAGCTATTACCCCATTGAATTAAAAAGAGTAATGTGTGGTAGAGTCATCAATGATGGGTGAGATTTGAAAATACGGAGAGAAAGAAGAGAGGCGTATATTAAGATTGGTAAAATTCACTCACAAATGAAGTAATAAAGAACTGCACTTAAATTGTGATTCATTAGATTGTTTGTTAAGGCCCAAGAGCATCTTTACATAATGTAAGGTTTTCTTCTAGGAAAAAATGATATATTAATAGTAGATTCCAAATCATTGACATATACATTTTCAGAGTTCAGCCAGTTTATAAATGTAGAGCAATTGTACATAATTTCAACCAGAAAAGTATGTCTCTGAAGTCACTTGACCTGATGTGTACATTTTTAATTGTTAGCACTGGCCCGGATAAAATGACATCAGTAATCTTTCACTACTTTGATATATCTTTGATATAACTCACCTTTCATTGGTGGTGTCATTGAAAACTACTGATGTTATTAATTTGGGTCAGTGCTAAAGGATATATCTACACACACACACACACACACACACAGACAGACAGATATAACACACATGTATATATGTGTGTGTGTATATATACAGATATATCTTTTAGCTATATATGTAGTATATATAGATATATAAAAATGTATTTATGTGTATATAGATATACACATATCTATATACATGTCTACATATGTGCATATTTAAATGTGTGTATATATATCTGTATATACATATCAATATATAGATATATTATTTAGCACTGACCCAAATTAATAACATCAGTAGTCATATATATATCCTTTAATATATATGAGCATGTGTATATATATGTAAACATATATGTATATATCCTTTAGCATATATATGTATATATACATATATATAGTTTATATACACATATATATGTGTGTATATGCAGGTATATCTTGTTTTTATTGTGCTTTACTTTATTGCCCCTCAAATATTACTTTTTTTGTAAACTGAAGGTTTGTAGCAACCCTGCATTGAGCAAGTCTCCTGGTTTTATTTTTCCAACAGCGCGTTCTCACTTTGCGTCTCTGTCACATTGTAATAATTCTTGCAATATTCCAAACTTTTTATTATCATATCTGTTATGGTGATCTGTGATCAGTGATCTTTGATATTACTATTGTAGTTGTTTTGGGGCAACATGAACCATGTCCATATTAAGATGACAAGCCTAATCAATGACATGTTTGTTTTGACTGCTCCACTGACTAGCCATTCCCCCATCTTTCTCCTTCTCCTGGGACCTCCCTATTCCCTGAGACACAACACTATTGAAAGTAGGCCATTTAATAAGCCTATGATGGTCTCTGAGTGTCCTAGTGAAAGGAAGAGTCACATGTCTCTCACTTTAAACCAAAAGCTAGTAATGATTGTGAGGAAGGCTAGACTTCTTGCACCAGTTCAGCCAAGTTGTGAATGTAAAACAAAAACAAAAACAAAACAAAACAGAAAAGCCAAAATACTTCTTAAAGAAAATTAAGACTGCTACTCCAGTGAACATAAAAATGTTGAGAAAGCAAAACAGTCTGATTGCTAATACGGAGAATGTTTTAGTGGTCTGGATAAAGGATCAAACCAGCCACAGCATTCCCTTAAGCCAAAGCCTAATCCAGGACAAGGCCCTCAGTCTCTTTGATTCAATGAAGCCTGGGAGAGGTAAGGAAGCAACAGAAGAAAAGCTTGAAGCTAAAAGATTGGTTCGTGACGTTTAAGGAAAGAAGCCATCTCCATCACATAAAAGTGAAAGGTAAACAGCAAGTGCCGATGCAGAAGCAGCAGCAAGTTATCCAGAAGATCTAGTTGAGATAATTGATGACAGTGGCCAAACTAAAGAACACATTTTCAATGTAGACAAGATAGCCTTTTATTGGAAGAAGATGCCATCTAGGACTTTTATATTTAGAGAGGAGAAGTCAACACATGGTTTCAAATCTTCAAAGCACAGGCCAATTCTCTTTTTAGGGGCTAATGAAGCTGATGACTTTAAGTTGAAGCCAATAATCATTGACTCTTCTGAAAATCCTGGGGCCCTTATGAATTATGCTAAATCAAGCAAGATGGGTGACTAGAGATGCCTGGTGCTCATCTCCCCTACAAGAAAGAACCAAGGCAAGAAATACACATCTAAGATTTGATTAGAGTATTGAAGGGATAGTCCTGGAGTGCAGCAAAGGAGTGGAGACACGTCTGTGGTGATGGGAAGTTGCCACAGCATGGAAGCACTCCGCCTGTGCCGCCCCTTCTGCCCCATCTGGATTGAATTGGCCCAGAGACAGGAGGGACTTCTCATTGCAGGTTGAAGGTAAGCAGAAGATCCCCACCAGCCCCACTGCCATCACAAACACAAAGTCTTTACAACAGGAGAATCTCACAGTCTTTGCAAGCCCTCAGGCCAGTTTGGAGTATTGCCAAAAATTGACACACCTGCATGTCCTGGACTAGGAGTACAAGATGAAGACTTCCCACCCCCAGAGACTTAAGCTGCAGCAACACAGCACCATCATGAGACCAGAGTCATCTCTTGAGTGTGCCCTCCTCTGGGGGCCAGTAGCCAGTCTGCCTCTCCAGCACTGGAGCTTTATCTTCAGTACACCAAGCCCACATGGGTGGGTTAAAGCCACAATCCCGGCTGTGTGGAGGTTGGACCCAGGACTGGCTGTAACTCAAGTAATGCAGAGCAGGGAAATCAACCCCCACCACCACGCTTCCAGACAGAGGAATAATCTGCAGTCCCATCCAGGGTAAATTCACTCTTAAGACAGGCAAACCACTACATGCCCTCTCCCAAGTGGGAGACGCCCCTAAGCCTCTGAGCAGCTGATACACCCCCAGGTCAACAGAGTGACTATGAGCCCATGCAAGGAAACAGCCTTGCAGGCCCCATCCACCACAGACATGCTCCTGGCCTGCCCAGGAGCCCTCTGCCTTTAATAAGGGCCTGAGAAACAGTCCCACAGGCTGCCCCCAGCAGGAACACCACTGAGTGGGCCTTGCACCTGTGTCTCAGACCTGAGAGACAAGCAGTTGTGTATGCCCAAGTCTGAGGGCCGAGAAACAACCCTGGGAGCTTACTCTGGCCAGCAGACTGTCAGGCCAACTAAGCAGCCACATACCTATGTCCCAGCTTGAGGAACAGCCCTTTAGGCCACCCCCCACAGAAACACTCCCAGGCCAACTAAGCAGCTGTGCAACCTTGCATGAGCCTGAGAAATAGTTCTGTATCCATTCCCAGCAGATGCACCTCCAGACCAGCCAATCAGCCATGAATGCCCATGTCCTGGACCTAAGAAAGAGCTCCATGGGCTACTCCCAGAAGACATGCCCTTAGGCCAGCCGAGCAGCCTCGTGTCCACATCCTGGCTCATAGAAGCAGTCCCCTGGGCTTCCCCTGGCAGGCACCACCCAGGCCAGCTGAGCAACAGTGTGCCCACATCCTGAGCTAGAACAGCTCTATGGACTACCCCCAGCAGTCACATCCAGGACAGCTGAGAAGTCATTTGACTGTATCCCAGGCCTGAGAAACACCCCTCTTGGCCAGCCCTGGCCAAGATACCTTCAGTCCAGCTTAGCAGCTTTGCAGCTATATATTTGGCCCATGAGTTTCCCCCAGCAGACTGGCCCCAGCCCAGATGAACAGTTGTGTGCCCACATACCAGGTATGGGAAACAGCCCTTCAGGCCACTCCTGGAGTGCATGCTTCCAGGCCAGGCAAACAGCTGTGTGCCTGCATCCTGGGCCTGAGAAACTGTCCTGCAAAGCGCATCTGGCAGTCATGCCCTGGTTGAGCAACTGCATCCCCATGCTCCTGGCTAGAGTGACAGCATCATGGCCAGCCGCATAAAGCCATACTCCATGTTTTCTGACCCATTGTATGCCTGCACACACCCCTACCCTGAGAAACAGCCCTGTGAGCCCACCCTGGCAAGGCTGCACCACCATCACTACAAACTTCCTTAACCTAGTCCACTGAGTAACTTGCAAATTTTACTAGTGTGGATCACAGCTGAATAAACTACATAGAGACTACACTTACTGCATCCATGTAGAACCAAGGCCAGTATACCCCAATGAACTGACATCCAAGACCCATTCATACAAATAAATTCATACAAGTAAATCTACTCCATAAAATTGGAAAAGGTGACTTTTTCACCAGATGCATAGAAATCAATTTAGAAACACAGCAACCGTGAAAATGCAAGAAAACATGTCACCTACAAAGGGAAATAATAATGATCCAGTAATAGAACCCAATCATAAACATATGAAATGACAGAAAAAAGAATAATCTTAGGGAAACTCAGTGAGATGTAAGTTAATACAGATAGACAAGTCAATGAAATCAGGAAAACATGATTTGAAAGAGAAATTAAGTAAGGATACAGATATAAAAATAACCAAACAGAAGCCCTAAGAGCTAAACAGTTCAGTGGATGAAATGAAAAAATACAATCAATGGCTTTACAGACAAGAACAAGCAGAAGAAATCGTTTCTGAACTTGAAGACAAGTCTTTTGAAATAACACAGACAGGCAAAAAGGGATAAAAAAGAATGAAAAAATCCTACAGGATTTATAGGACACCATTAATTTGATCAAATATTCATATTATGGGCATTCCAGAAGGAAAAGTTTAAAATAGCAAGAGAAAAGTAACACACTTATAATGGAATCCCCATTAGACTAACAGCTGATTTCCCAGCAGAAACCTTAGGCTAGAAGAGAATGGGATGATATATTCAAAGTTCTGGAAGAAAAAAATCTTTCAGCCAAGAATATTATACCCAGCACAGCTATCCTTTACAAATGAAGAAGACATAAAATCTGTCATAGATAAACCAGAACAAAGATAATTCATCACCACTAGACCAGCCTTACAAGAAATGCCCAAGGGAGTCTTACATCTGGAAGTAAAAAGATGATAACCACCATCATGAAAACATGAAAAACTTTAAAAGTCACTGTTAGAGTCAATACATAAAGGAGAAAGAGAAAGGAATGAAACCTTATCACTACAGAAAACTAACCAACTTCAAAAGTAAACTGGAAGAAAGGAATAAAACATATACGAAACAACCAGAAAACAATAAAACGTTGGAAGTAACTCCTCATCTACCAATAATAACTTTGAATGTTAATAGATTAAATACCCCATGAAGGATATAGACTTACTGAGTGGATTAAAAAATAAGACCCAACTATATTTTATCTAAAAGAAACTCACTTTACTTTTAAAGAAACACATAGACTGATAATGAAGGGATGGAAAAAGATATTCTATGCAAATGGAAGCCAAAAGTGAGCAGGAATAGCTATACTGTATCAGACAAAACAGAGTTCAAGTTAAAAACTATAAAAATTGACAAATGAGATTATTATGTAATAATAAAGGGTTCAATTCAGCAAGAAATATAATTGTAATATGTGTATAATTGTAAATATGTATGCACTCAAACACCAGAGCACCTAGATATATAAAGCGAATATTACTAGATTTAAAGAGGGAGATAGACCCCATTACAAAGAGAGTTGGACACTTCCGCATCCCACTCAATCTCAGCATTGGACAAATCGTCTAGACAGAAAATCAACAAAGAAACATCAAACTTAAACTTCACCATAGACCAAATGAACATAAATAACAAACATATACAGAACATCTCACCTAACAGCTGCAGAATACATATTCTTTTCATCAGCACATAGAACATTATCCAAGATAGACCATATGTTAGGCTACAAAACAAGTCTAAACAAATTTTTAAAAATTGAAATTCTATCAGGTATCTTATCTTACCACAATGGAATAAAACAGACATTCATAACAAGAGGAACATTCAAAACTATACAGACATATGGAAATTAAACAACATGCCCTTGAATTACAACAAGTGAAGAAAGAAATTAAGAATGAAATTTAAGAATTCCTTGAAACAAATGTAACTAGAAACACAATATACCAAAACAGGAGACACAGCAAAAGCAGTTATTAAGAAGTATGTTTTTAGCTTCATCTATGTCCCTACAAAGACATGAACTCATCATTTTTTCAGCAAACTATCGCAAGAAGAAAACATCAAACATCACATGTTCTCACTCATAGGTGGGATTTGAACAATGAGAACACTTGGACACAGGAAGGGGGACATCACACACTGGGGCCTGTTGTTTGGTAGGGGGAGGGGGGAGGGATAGCATTAGGAGATATATCTAATGTAAATGACGAGTTAATGGGAACAGCACACCAACATGGCACATTTATACATATGTAACAAACCTGCACATTGTGCACATGTACCCTAGAACTTAAAGTATATAAAAAAAAAAGAAGTATGTTTTTAGCAATAAATGCCTGGATCAAAAAAACTAGAAAACTTTCAAATAAACCACTGAACAATTCTACCTCAAGAAACTAGAATAGTAAGAACAAACCAAACCCCAAATTATTAAAAGGAAATAAATAATGAAGACCAAACAGAAATAAACAAATTTGATGCAAAAATTACAAAAGGTTAACAACAAAAAGCAGGTTTAAAAAATATCAACAAACCATCAGCTAGACTAATTAACAAAAAGGGAAGACCCAAATAAGTAAAATCAGAAACAAAAAAAAGAGACCTCATAACAGATATGACAGAAATAAAAATAATTATTAGAGACTATTATGAGCAACTCCACAATAAATTTGAAAACCTAGAGGAGGTGGACAAAATCCTTGACCTATACGACCTACCAAGACTAAACCAAGAAGAAATAGAAAACCTGAACAGACCAAAAACAAGTAAGGAGATTTAATCCGTAATAAAAAGGCTTTCAACAAAGTCCAGGACCTGACGGCTTCACCACTTAATCCTCACTTGTGAAAGGAAGAGTCATTTTCTACAGCAAACTTCAGTGTTGTCCTATTTTAAGAAATTGCCTCAGCCACTCCAACCATTGGCAACCACCACTCTGATCAGTCAGCAGCCATGAACATGGAGAAAACGCCCTCCGCCAGCAAAATGACTATGACTTGCTAAAGGCTCATGTGATCATTAGCATTTTTTAACCAATAAAGTAGTTTTTAATTAAAGTATGTACATAAGTTTTTTGAACATAATGCCATTGCAAACTTAACAGGCTACAGTGTAGGTTAAACATAACTTTTATATGCACAGGGAACCCAAAACATTTGTGTGAGTTGCTTAATGCAGTTTTTGCTTTATTGCAGTAGTCTGGAATGAAACCCACAATGTCTTTGAGATATGTCTATACACATATTATTTATATATTATATATCCATATACATATTCTTTTATATATCTTTATATACATATATATAGAAAGAGACAGAGAGAGAAGATAAAAAGATGCAAAATTCAGTGTTGGGAGTATCCATGAGGAAAGAGTTTCTGATTAATGATTGTAATTTTCTTTCTTAAATATTAGGTCTTCCAGTGAGCTAAGTCATGTTTACTATATCCTTTAGATTCATGGGATTCTTGTTATTCAAATATATTTTTCATCATTATTTTGTGTAGCAAATATCTAATGATATATTTTTGCATTTTTTTTTGTGGCTAAAGTATGTTAGAACGACTTTCCAAGTTTAAAGTTGAAGGTGCTGAAAATGTTGCTTCATATGAGTAAGTCAGTTTGAAGTTTGAAAGGAGGGAGCCATTGATGGATCTCTTATCTTTAGTTAAACAGGGCTTCCGCTGAGGCAAGAAGGAAAAAGGGAAACTATGGAAAGATATCAAAATGTATGGGTGGGAGGGTACACCGTATTTACTCCAGTTGAATTCTTAGACAAGCATTATTTTGAAAAAAAAAATTCCATCCATTCAGAAATAAATGTTCTTCTAGCTTGAAAATGTAAAAAGTATTCTTAGAGGAAATTAATTCCATTAAAAGTTTTTTTTTAAAAAAGACAGGAATGCAGAATGCTACTTAACTCATCAATAGTGAATGTTTCTCATTTTTACTGGATATGGTGTGATTCCCAATTTTGTAGATTTTTCCTATGAGCAAATAGTATTGATAGCAAAAGCAAACATATTTTGCTGACTAAAGACCTCTTTATGGTCATTGGGATTTTATTCTTATTTGTTTCTAATCTCACTAGAGTACTTCCTGTTGCACTGACCTGAAGGCATTTTATCATGTACTCACTAATGAAACAATACATTCTTAAACTGGCTTGTGTCTGAACTGCAGACATATTCAGGAGATTTTTCTTCTGCTTCTTTCTTGCCCAGTTGTATAACCATTCACTAGCTTGTGTCAATGCTGGAGAGGAAGTACTGCCATCGATGAAGTTAACTCACCATGGTTGTAAGCTGTTGGTGTCTAAACAAAGATTGGAAACAAAGAGGGCAAATACAAATAGTTCTTCAAATTACCCTGAATTTGCCACTGAGTTAAACTGTGTGTCTGCAGATTAGCTATACGTTTTCTGTAATGAAGCTGCCCAGGGCTGAAACAAAATTAGACAGATTAAACAAGGTAAACATTTCCTTCTTTCCCTACTCCAAACAAAATAAAGCAGGTTTTCATTTTATTTTATTTTCAAATTACAAAGTCTCATTACATAGATGTAGGAGGAATTTGCAGTAGTCCCTGTGAGAAATGCTGGTGTTTCATACCAGGGAGATGATACTGGATTTATAGTAAAAGCTGGCTTTGGCCTCATGTATTCATTCACCTGATACTCAGCAAGTCACTAACTCTCTTTGACTTTCAGATTATTCAAATGTAAACTGGCTATAATGCAATCTATGTACTGGATATTGTATTGTAAAAAATTAGTAATAAAATGAAAATAACATGCAAAAATACTTTGAAAACTCTGTAGTTCTGTAAATAGGTTTTATTCTAAAAACTGAAAATAACGTAAGAGTTCATTAAAGGAAAATCAGAAAATACAATCAACAAATCTACCCACATATAGTCATTCTTAAACTTTGGTGCTTGCACTTCTAAGTTCCTTAAGCATATTTTTTTTTGTTTACAGATATGAGACCATACTTATTCTTTTGTAAATAACCTTATTAATGACATCATGGCTATTTTTTTGTTAATATATATTCATGTGCACTTACAGCATTATTTGTAACAGTTGTGTAATATTTCATGGTGTAGATGTGCTATAATTCATTTAATAGTCAGATATTGCTGAACAATTAAGTTTTTTACAAGTTTTTAACTGTTACAAAAATGAATTTATTTGAGGCTAAATCTCTGTATATTGTTGGTTATTTGCTTGTTATAAATTCTCAGAAGTGGAAATTCTGTGTCAAAGGGAATGATTGTGACGCTATTGATATTGATATGTGCTTTAACATCAAGATGCAAAGTGTACATTTCTCCCCTCCCACACTTAACACTAGCCATCATTGATTTCTCTGATATTAGTAAATATATTTGTTCTAATGCACGTTCTTTGACACACCTTCATTTATCCTTTTCTGTCTTTGGACTGAAAAGTTAAATCTATTGATCCTTTTTCTATTTTATGTAATATAAGCAATTTCTCCCAGGTTGTCTTGCTTTTCACTATATAAAAGCATTTAATCCTCATGTAATCAAATGTATCTATACTTTTCTTTGTGATTTTGCCTTTAATGTTATTCTCAGAAAGTCCTTCTTACCCCAAGATTTTAAATATATTCACCAACATTTCTGTTTTGAATTTATTTTCTTCATTTAAATAAAATATCTGCCCTGAATTTACTTTGTCTTAAGGTATAAAATGTAGAAATTTACTTTTCTCCTAAGTGACTCATAGTTTTTTCAGCATGAACATGTCATCCCCATGTATTGTCCTTACCCTGTTTTAGTGATCTAGAGTGAGCAGGAAGACCAGAGTCACTAAAGTGTTTTTCGTGCTTTGCATCATGGCCACCTCCCTACTCCCAGAGTCTGCACAAGAGAAAAATGTGTCTAGTGGGAGAGATAGCACCTGCCTTCAATACAAATCCCATTTCGTTAAACATGGTCTTGTTAGTGTCAGGTAGCTTCCACCTTCTACTGTTGAAAAATGACATCATGTTCATAGTTAATATTTATGCTTTTAATTCAACTTTGATAATAATATTGGAACTTTCAGTGTTATAAGGTTTAGTATCTCATATCTTTCTCTCTCTCTCTTTTTTTTTGAGCCAGAGTCTTGCTCTGTCACCAGGCTGGAGTGCAGTGGTGCCACTCAGCTCACTGCACCCTCCGCTTCCCAGGTTCAAGCGATTCTCCTGCCTCAGCCTCCTGAGTAGCTGGGACTACAGGCACGCACCACCACACCCAGCTAATTTTTTGTATTTTTAGTAGGGATGGAGTTTCACCATGTTGGCCAGGATGGTCTCGATCTCTTGACCTCATGATCCACCCACCTTGGCCGCCCAAAGTGCTGGGATTACAGGTGTGAGCGACAGCGCCTGGCCTCTATCTCTTTATTTTTGAATTGTCATTTAAATTTAGTTTTTGTCTCTCGTGTATAGCATGTAATGCCTTTAATTTCAAAGTTATCTGAGAGTATTTCTCAATATGCAATATGAGAGTAATATGTTTGTATTTATGATTTCTGATATGTTTGGTTTTATTTATCATCTTTTTCTTTATTAAAAATACTTTGATATTTTCTTTGTAAATTTGTCTATATTTTGCTATTAATTGATTTTGTTTTTATCCCTTGCATTTTTTGTTGATATACAAGTCAGAAGCCCATTTCTAGTCTATCAATGTTTATATTTAAATGTTTAGAAAACATAATTATACCATTTTTTCCATCAATATAGAGAATAAAGCTGAACTTGTACCTGTGAAAGATAAGAAATGCAACCTGCCTTTACTTCTATCTTCTTCCACACCTTGAATCCTAGTGTAAGAATGCCTAAAAATTCAAATCAATACTATTATTCATGATTTTTTATTATTCATCTTTACTTTTAGAATCATTTATTTACATTTTCACCTGCTACTTTTTTTTTTATTATTATACTGTAAGTTCTAGGGTACATGTGCACAATGTGCAGGTTTGTTACATATTCATGCATGTGCCATGTTGGTGTGCTGTACCCATTAATTCATCATTTACATTAAGTGTATCTCCTAATGCTATCCCTCCCCCATCTCCCCACCCTATGACAGGCCCTGGTGTGTGATGCTCCCCTTCCTGTGTCCAGGGGTTCTCATTGTTCAATTCCCACCTATGAGTGAGAACATGCAGTGTTTGGTTTTCTGACCTTGCGATAGTTTGCTGAGAATGATGGTTTCCAGCTTCATCCATGTCCCTAAAAAGGACATTAACTCATCCTTTTTTATGGCTGCTTAGTATTCCATGGTGTATATGTGCCACATTTTCTTAATCCAGTCTATCACTGTTGGACATTTGGGTTGGTTCCAAGTCTTTGCTATTGTGAATAGTGCAGCAATAAACATACGTGTGCTTGTGTCTTTATAGCAGCATGATTTATAATCCTTTGGGTATATACCCAGTAATGGGATGGCTGGGTCAAATGGTGTTTCTAGTTTTAGATCCTTGAGGAATTGCCACACTGACTTCCACAATGGTTGAACTAGTTTACAGTCCCACCAACAGTGTAAAAGCATTCAATTTATCCACATCCTCTCCAGCACCTGTTGTTTCCTGACTTTTTAATGATAGCCATTCTAACTGGTGTGAGATGGTATATCATTGTGGTTTTGATTTGCATTTCTCTGATGACCAGTGATGATGAGCATTTTTTCATGTGTCTGTTGGCTGCATAAATGTCTTCTTTTGAGAAGTGTCTGTTCGTATCCTTTGCCCATTTTTTGATGGGGTTGTTTGTTTTTTTCTTGTAAATTTGTTTGAGTTCTTTGTAGATTCTGGATATTAGTGCTTTGTCAGATGAGTAGATTGCAAAAATTTTCTCCAATTCTGTAGGTTGCCTGTTCACTCTGATGGTAGTTTCTTTTGCTGTGCAGAAGCTCTTTAGTTTAATTAGATCCCACTTGTCAATTTTGGCTTTTGTTGTCGTTGCTTTTCTTCACCTGCTACAGTTTTATGCTACATTAACAATTATTATTTAGACTTACCTAATTTTTAGTTTATATTATTTACCATCTTTTCTCTGTTAGTTATCTTCCTTATTTCTGTGTTCTTCATTTTGATTCATTGCTCAGCTCACTCAAGCACTTTGAGTAATTGTTTTTAGGAAAGGTACATGGAGGCTATGCTTCGTGTTGCTTCATGTTGGAGTGTCTGTCTGTTGCTCCCGAGTGTGAACAGTACTTTTCCTGGATATGGATTTACTGAATCATAGTTATTTCCCTGCAAACTCTGCACATGACTGCTTGAAGCTGCATTTACATAGTACACTTTTTTTTAACAAAAAACTCTCAATTGTGTATTTACTTGGTATAGTTTCAGGGGACACCAAAACAGATTAAGGGGCTAAAGCCACCCAAGCCACTTTTTTATGGCTTCATAATCTGTCAGACTTGGTTCTGTATGGTGACATTGTCAAGTGAGTTCAGATTTATGACTTTTCCTTGATACCCAGAGATCCAGTAGACTGTGTGGGATCAGAGGTTCTTGTAGTAAGGGAATGGCAACTGGAGGAGAGAATTCACCTCTTTTGGACAATTGATCCTCCATCTATATCAGCCTTAACTCTCCAAGCCTGGGTGGAGGTGGTGGGTCCAGGTGGAGAGGGGAAGATTAGAAGGATTGGGGATTTCCTTTATCTCAGGGTAACCTAACGTCATTCATCAAAGGCCAATTTTGTTTTTTTTAACTTTCATTTTAGGTTTGGAGGTACACGTGAGGTTTGTTACATAGGTAAACTTGTGTCAGGGAGGTTTTTTTTTTTTACATATTATTTCATCATCCAGTTATTAAGCTCAGTACCCAATTTCTTATCTTTTCTGATCCTCTCTCCTCCTACCCTCCCCACTTAAGAAGACTCCAGTGTCTATTTCCTTCTTTGTGTTCATAAGTCCTTATGATTTAGCTACCACTGATAGGTGAGAACATTCAGTATTTGGTTTTCTGTTTCTGCACTAGGTTGCTAAGGATAAGAGCCTCCAGCTCCATCCATGTTCCCACAAAATACATGATCTCATTCTTTTTTTATGGCTGCATAGTATTCCATGGTATATATGTACCACATTTTCTTTATCCAATCTATCATTAATGGGTACCTAGGTTGATTCCATGTCTTTGCTATTGTAAATAGTGCTGCAGTGAACATTCATATGCATGTATCTTTATAGTAGAATGATTCATATTCCTATGGGTATCTACTCAGTAATGGGATTGCTCAGTCAAATAGTTCTGCTTTTAGCTCTTCAAGGTATTGCCATACTGCTTTTTACAGTGATTGAACTAATTTACACTCCCACCAACAAAGTATAAGTGTTCCCTTTTCTCTGCAACCTTGCCCGCATCTGTTATTTTTTGACGTTTTAGTAATAGCCATTCTGACTGGTGTGAAATGGTATCTCATTGTGGTTTTTATTTGCATTTCTCTAATCTGTGATATTGAGCTTTTCTTCATATGCTTGTTGGCCACATGCATGTCTTCTTTTGAGAAATGTCTGTTCATGTCAAAGGCCAATTGTCAGTGCCCCAGTTCTGCTCAGTATCTGCCCTCTTTGTTCTCCAGTCTTAGGCACAGGCTGTGAGCATTGTCTTAGGATTCATGGCTCTTGGGGTGGAATTTGAGTCCTGTGTTGGAGGCTTCAGTATGACAGAAACTTCCTGAAGACTTCTCCTACTGAAGCCTCCTGTGTTGGAGGCTTCTCCTCCTGAAGAGCCTCCAACACAGGAGGCTTCAGTAGGACAAAAAAAATTGTTCCTCATGAGCTACCTTGTCTCCAGCCATAAGGTAAAATGAGGCATTATTGGAGGCTCCATCAAAGAGGTTCTCCTTCCTTTGATTAATGGAAGGAGCCCAGTCTTTCGCATGTTTCTCCTTTGAAGTATATCTTACTAAAATGTCTTACCTCTGAAGTTCATTTGCAACCTCATATGCGACTCTTGCTAATGTGTATCTGTTCACCAGGTGTCTAGTTTGAGGAGATGACAAGAGCATCATTTACTCCCTGTGCTCTTTCCTGAAACACCTTATTTTATTGCAGTGGAAACTGAGATCTGGCCAAAGTTTGATGATTTGCCCAGGCTGGCATTAAAATACAGTTCTCTTCTACCACCCTTTTCTGTCTTCATGCTATACTCCTTGAGATGATGACTGCAAGTTTAAGTTTAGTATTGCCATAAAGTTGGGGTTGGGGCTTTGCATGCAATGGAAATGTTACTAAACATCCAAAGTTTACTGTCTTCTGGATAGCATAGTAAACAAGTAAAATACTCACGGAGCAGGAAGAATAAAATTTTAGCTATTAGTAAGAAGCATTTTGTTATACAACTTCTGAATAATTTTCTTTCAAAATTATATTTATAAGGCCCTTTGTTTTTTGGTTAAATTTACAATATATGTTAGAGGAAATCTGATTAATTTTATTTTTACTTCTTTTTGCAGCAGCAAGATTAAGAAAATTGTGCATTCAATTGTATCATCCTTTGCATTTGAGTATGTGAGACACAGAAAACACTATATATTAAATATATCTGAGACTTGGCTGGGCGCAGTGGCTCACGCCTGTAATCCCAGCACTCTGGGAGGTGGGTGGATCACATGAAGTCAGGAGTTCAAGACCAGCCTGGCTAACATGGTGAAACCCTATCTCTACTAAAAATACAAAAATTAGCCAAGCATAATGGTGGGTGCCTGTAATCCCAGCTACTCAGGAGGCTGAGGCAGAAGAATCGCTTGAACTGAGGAGGCATAGGTTGCAGTGAGCTGAAACTGCACCATTGCACCACAGCCTTGGCAACACAGCAAGACTCCATGTAAAAAAAAAAGAAAAAAAAAGAGTCTTATATATATCTATACATACATATATATATGAGACTTAATACTTCAACGAGAAACACTGAAATAAAATAACAAAAAAGCGTTTCCACTGTCCATCAGTTGCTAAGTAGCCATGTGCCCCATCTAATGTAATCTAATTTATCATGGAATTGTGGTTTAAGCTGGACATTAAGAATTGCAAATAAATGGCTTTTGCCTAAGATTAATAGTAACATATTAATATTTTTCTTCCATCTGCAAAAGTAACATTAATGAAAATCAAATGTTAAAATTCTATAATTATTAGTAAAGTGTTTTATTAAGTACCTTATACATCTGGAATTACTCCTTAATTCTGGAAATAATTTACGTAGACTCTTCTCTACATAAGATTAAGATTTCATACCATGATATAGATTTATGCAATATAATTGTTGCCTTTTGAATTAATAATATTTGAATTTGAGCTGCAAGTTTTTAAAAAAGTACTTCAAAGACTAATTCACCTTCATAGATAAGGCAAATAGTCTAATCAATTTATGGAGAATGTATTTAGAATATGTAACAGCAAGTGGCAGGAGGTACTTTAGAGTTCAAGACTCATGTGCCCATCACTCTGCTAGAAGCACCCATAAATATGGAATCATGTACTTGTTGAAAATGTCACTGATGAAAAATCTTGGTCTTTTAAGAGCTTATGTTACTCATGCTTTCATTTGGTTTTTATTGATAAATTCTTTAGAATTATCCAGATTAATGAAGGTTTATTTTTTATGAGAAATTGATATAAACTTCTTATGAAATTCTCAAATTTTAAGAAGAGTTTGTAAACAGACACAGGTGATTTTAATTCAGTTTTACTTTTCTCTCTTGAGGTGTTGGTCTGATGTGTCTACTATAAAAGGCCATGATAATATCTTGTGAAGTGGTTTGGTGAGAATTTTGTTTATTAAGAACTGCTTGTTGGGTGAAAACAGTGATTTTTCTGAGATTCTAAGGCATTACAGTTTTTCCTGCCACTTGGCAGCTTAATACTAAATAATAACATTTTGGTACCTGATCAGTGGCTTAAATACAGTATAGCTATAGGGACAAATGCCCCTTTATCTTTGCATTCATTTATTTATTTATTTATTTATTTATTTATTTATTTATTTATTTTAGAATATTTGGAGTTTTCCTGGCCTTACTGGATGTCACTCCCCTCCTTGCCGACTTAATTTTCACTGACAGCAAACTTTATATTCCTTTGGAGTATCATTCTATTTCTCTAGCTATTGCCTTATTTTTTCTCATGGATGTTCTTCTTCGAGTATTTGTAGAAGGGTAAGTTTGATTATTTTTATAATGCATTAAGCTATTTTGTACTTTTATAAGAAGCACTTTGGGAGGCTGAGGTGGGAGGATCCCAAGGTCAGGAGTTCGAGACAATCCTGGCCAACATGGTGAAACCCCATCTCTACTAAAAATACAAAAATTAGCTGGGCATGGTGGTGGTTGCCTGTAATCCCAGCTGCTTGGGAGGCTGAGGCAGGAGAATCGTTTGTACCTGGGAGGCAGAAGTTGCATTGAGCCGAGATCACACCATTGCACTCTATTGCACTCTAGCCTGGGTGACAGGGCAAGACTCCATCCCCCCCCTCCCCCCGCCAAAAAAAAAAAAAAGCATTTTAAAATAACAGGAGCGTTCACTACAAACTGACTTAAGAGCCTTTGGGCCTTATGAGAACATTGGTGGTAGTCTGGCAGTAGCCCCCCATGGCCTGTGTTTGAGTTGGCCATGGATTGATGCTCCTCTGCCTTTGGACAGTGGTGGAAAGAGTGGGAGGGACTGCATCTTGTGGTTTGAGCGACAGCCATAGCACAATAAAACACTAGGTAGACTTTTACACTTTTTGATCTAGCCCTGATTCCCAGACAGCACCTTTGGATCCACCTGGAGGCTAGGAGAACTTGCCATCCTGAAGGGAAGGACACAGACCTGGCTGTTTTTACCATGTGATGACTGTAGAACCCCAGGGCCTTCAGCAAACTCCTGCAATAGCTAAGGAGTGGTTACAGCAGGTCTTGGGCAAGACCCCGTGCTGTGCTGGCCTCAGGTCTGACCCAATGCAGTCATAGTAGTGGTGGCCACAGAGGTGCTTATGTCACTCAACCCCAAGCTTTAGGTGCCTCAGAACAGAGAGACTCTGTTTGTTTGGGAGAAAGTAAGGGAAGAAAACAAGAGTCTCTTTTTGGTAATGCAGAGAATTATCCTGGATCTTGTCCACGACCATTAAGGCAGTACCACTATGAGTCTGCAAGAACCACAGAGTTTAGGAGGCTTGGGGTGCCCCCTAAAGCAGATAGAGATTAGATCACAATATCCAAGTTCTTTCAAATACCTGGAAAGCCTTCCCAAGAAAGATGGGTACAAATAAGCCCTGACAGTGAAAACTACAATAATACCTAACTCTTCAATGCCCAGACACCAAAGAACATCTGCTAGCATCAACACTATCCAGGAAAACATGACCTCACCAAATGAACTAAATAAGACAGCAGGGGCCAATCCTGTAGAAACAGAGATATGTGACCTTTCAGACAAAGAAATCAAAATAGCTGTGTTGAGGAAATTCAAGATAACACAGAGAAGGAATTCATAATTCTATTAGATAAGTTTAATAGAGATTTAATAGAGATTTAAAAGAGATTGACATAATTTAAAAGAAGCAGAAATTCTGGAGCCAAAAAATGTAATTGGCGTGCCAAAGAATGCATTAGAGTCTTTTAATAGCAGAATTGATAAACCAGAAGAAAGAATTAATGAGCTTGAAGACAGGCTATTTCAAAATACATAGTGGAGACAAAGGAAAGAATGAAAAACAATGATGCATGCCTACAGGATCTAGAAAATAGCCTCAAAAGGACAAATCTAAGTGGTATTGGCCTTAAAGAGGAGGTGGAGAGTGTAGAAAGTTTATTCAAAGGGATAGTAACAGAACGTCCCAAACCTACAGAAAGATATCAATATCCAAGTACAAGAAAGTTATAAAACACCGAGCAGATGTAACTCAAAGAAGACTACCTCAAGGAATTTAATAATCACAGTCCCAAAGATCAAGGACAAAGAAAGGATCTTAAAAGCATCAAGAGAAAAGAAACCAGTAATATACAATGGAGCTACAATATATCTGGAAGCAGACTCTTTAGTAGAAACGTTTCAGGCCAGGAGAGAGTGGCATGACATACTGAAATTGCTGAAGGAATAAAACATTTACCCTAGAACAGTGTATCCAGTGAAAATATCCTTCAAAGTGAAGGGGAAATAAAGACTTTTCCACACAAAAGCTGAGGGATTTTGTCAACACCAGTCCTGTCCTAGAAGAAATGCTAGAGGGAATATTTCAATCAGAAAGATAAGGACATTAATGAGCAATAAGTAACAACCTGAAGGTATAAAACTCACCAGTGATAGTAGGTATACAGAAAACTGCAGAATGTTATAACACTGTAACTATGATGAATAAACTACTCTTATTCTAAGTAGAGAGACTAAACTATGAGCCAATCAAAAATATTAACTACAACTTTTCAAGACATAGATGGTATGATAAGATATAAATAGAAATAACAAAAAGTTAAAAAATAGGGAGACAAAGTTAAGTTGTAGAGTTTTTATTAGTTTTCTTTTTACTTGTTTATGAAAACTTATTATAAGATTAAAATAATGGATTATAAGATAGTATTTACAAGCCTCATGGTAACCTCAAACCAAAAAACATAACAATGGATACACGAAAAATAAAAAACAGGAAACTAAGTCATATCACCAGAGAAAATTACCTTCACTAATGGAAGACAGGAAGGAAAGAAGGAAGAGAAGACCCCAAAACAACCAGAAAACAAATAACAAAATGGCAGGAGTAAGTCCTTACTTACCAATAATAACATTGAGTGTCAGTAGACTAAACTTTTCAATCAAAAGATAGAGTGGATGAATGGATGAAAGAACAAGACCCATCCAGGTGTGGTGGCTCACGCCTGTAATCCCAGCAGTTTGGGAGGCCAAGGCAGGCAGATCGCGAGGTCAAGAGCTAGAAACCATGCTGGCAAACATGGTGAAACCCTGTCTCTACTAAAAATACAGAAATTAGCAGGGTGTAGTTGTGCGCACCTGTAGTCCCAGCTACTCAGATGGCTGAGGCAGGAGAATCACTTGAACCCGGGAGGCAGAGGTTGCAGTGAGCCGAGATGATGCCACTGCACTCCAGTCTGGTGACAGAGCAAGACTCCAGCTCAAAAATAAATAAATAAATAAAATAAAAAGACCCATTGCTCTGTTTCCTACAGGAAACACTCTTTTCCCATAAAGACACATGTAGGCTGGAAGTGGTGGCTAACTCCTGTAATCCCAGCACTTTGGGAGGCAGAGGCGGGTGGTTTACTGGAGGTCAGGAGTTCAAGACCAGCCTGGCCAATATGGTGAAACCCCGTCTCTACTAAAAATACAAAAATTAGCTGGGTGTGGTGCCAGTCGCCTGTAATTTCAGCTACTCATGAGGCCGAGGCAGGAGACTCACTTGAACCTGGGAGGCAGAGGTTGCAGTGAGCTGAGATCACACCACTGCACTCCAGCCTGGGTGGCAGAGTGAGATTCTGTCTCAAAAAAAATAAAAATAAAAATAAAACAAAAAAACCCCAAAACCAAAACCAAAAACATGCTAATATATCTGACAAATATTGATGCAGAAATCCTCAACAAGATACTAGAAAACTGAATTCAACAATATATGGGAAAGATCATTCATCATAACAAGTGGGATGTGTCTCTGGGATGCAAGGATGGTTCAACATTTGCAAATCAATCAGTGCGATACATTATATCCACACAATAAAGGATAAAAAACATAAGATCATTTCAGTTGATGCTGAAAAAGCATTTGATAAAATTCAACATCCCTTCATGGTAAACACCCTAAAAAACTGGCTAAAGAAGTAACACACCTCAACATAATAAAAACCATATATGACAGACCCACAGTCAATACCGTACTGAATGGTGAACAAATGAAAAGCTTTTCTCTGCGATCTAGGACACAATGAGGATTTCCACTTTTACCACTGTTGTCCAACATAGTACCGGAAGTCCTAGATAGAGCCATTACAGAAGAGAAAGAAAGGGAATAAAAAAAGAAATCCAAATTGGGATGGAAGAAGTAAAATTATCCTTGTGTTTGCAGATGATACATTTTATTTGGAAAATACTAAAGACTCCACAAAATAAACTATTAGAATTGATAAGTTCAGTAAAGTTTCAGGATACAAAATCAATATACAAAAATCAGTAGCATTTCTATGTGTCAACAGTGAACCATTTGGAAAGGACATTTAAAAAGTCCTGTATACAATAGCCACAAATAAAATTAAATACCTAGAAATTAACCTAACCAAAGAAGTGTAAGGTCTTTATAATGAAAATGATAAAACACTGATAAAAGAAATTGTAGAGGACACTAAAAAATGGAAAGAGATTCCATGTTCATGGATTGGAAGAATCAATATTTTTAAAATGTCCATACTATCCAAAGCAATTTACAGATGCAATGCACTCCCTGTCAAAATATGAATGACATTCTTCACAGAAATAGAAGAAGCAATCTTAAAATTTATATAGAGCCACAAAAGACCCAGGATAGCCAAAGCTATTCTAAGCAAAAAGAACAAAGCTGGAGGAATCACTTTACCTGATTTCAAATTATACTACAGAACTATATAACCAAAACACCATGGCACTGGCATAAAAACACACACATAGACCACTGGAACAGAATAGAGAACCCAGAAACAAATCCACACACACTTACAGTGAACTCATTTTTAATAAATGTGCCAAGAACATACATTTAACAAAAGACATCTCTTCAACAAATGGTTCTGGGAAAACTGGATATACATATACAGAAGAATGCACCTAGACCCCTACCTCTCACCATATACAAAAATCAAATCAACATGAATTAAAGACTTAAATCTAAGACCTCAATGAAACTGTTCTACTACAAGAGAACATTGGGAGGAATCTCCAGGACATTGGTCTGAGCAAAAATTATTTGGGCTATACCTGACAAGCACAGGCAAGCAAAGCAAAAATGGGCAAATGGGATCACATCAAGTTAAAAAAACTGCTTCATAGCAGAGGAAACAATTAGCAAAGTGAAGAGACAGCCCACAGAATGGGAGAAAATATTTGCAAACTACCCATCTGAGAAGGGATTAAAAACCAGAATATGTAAGGAGCTCAAACAACTCTCTAGGAAAAAATCTAATAATTAATTTTTTAAATGAGGATAAGATTTGAATAGGCATTTCTCAAAAGAAAACATACAGATGGTAAACAGGCATATCAAGAGATGCTTAACATCATTGATCATTAGAGAAATTCTCAGTGTAGAAAACTACCATGAGATATCATCTCACCCCAGCTAAAATGGTTTATATCCAAAAGTCAGGCAATAACAAATCCTGACAAAGATGTGAAGATAAGAGAACCCTCATACACTGTTCTTGGAAATGTAAATTAGTAGAACCAATTGGAGAACAGTTTGGAGGTTACTCAAAAAACTAAAAATAGAACTACCATATGATCCAGCAATCCCACTGCTGGGTAGATACCCATAAAAAAGGAAATCAGTATATAGAAGAGATATCTGCATTCCCTGTTTGTTGCAGCACTGTTCATAATGGCTAAGATTTGGGAGCAACCTAAGTGCCCATCAACAGATGAATGGATAAAGAAAATGTAGTACATATACACAAGAGAGTATTATTTAGCCACAAAAAACAATAAGATCCTGGCCAAGTGCACTGGCTCATGCCTATAATCCCAGCACTTTGGGAGGCTGAGGTGGGCAGATCACCTGAAGTCGGGAGTTCGAGACCAGCCTGACCAACATGGAGAAACCCCATCTCTACTAAAAATACAAAGATCAGCTGGATGTGGTGCCGGGCACCTGTAATCCCAGCTACTCGTGAGGCTGAGATAGAAGAATCACTTGAATCCAGGAGGTGGAGGTTGCAGTGAGCCCAGATCACGCCATTGCACTCCAGCCTGGGCAACAAGAGTGAAACTCCATCTCAAAAAAAAAAAAAAAAAAAAAGAGATCTTGTCATTTGGAACAACATGGAACTGGAGATCACTATGTTTGTTAAGTGAAATAAACCAGGCACAGAAGGATAAACATCACATGTTCTCACTTATTATGGGGCTCTAAAAAAAAAAAAACAATTGAACTCATAGACCTAGAGAGCAGACGGATGGTCATCAGAGGCTGGGCATGGTAGTAGGGGCTTCGGGGTGGGGAGGTGGGGATGGTTAATGGGTACAAAAAAAATAGAATGAGTAACCCCTACTATTTGATAGCACAAGAGATTGACCATAGTCAACAATAACTTGATTGTATATTTTTAAATGACTGAAAGAGTGTAATTGGATTGTTTGTAACATGAATGATAAATGCTTGAGGGGATAGATAACCCATTGTCCACAATAAGGGTGATTATTATGCATTTAGTTATATCTGTTATTATGTTTGAATTGCCATGTTGGTATTTTAGTCACATTTAAGTGTCAAATGATGAATATAATTTTATTGTTTGAAAATTTCCCATGAATGTTATATTTTTCCCTTAGTCTACTCTAAAAAATACATTTTAAATAATTCATGATAGAAGAATTCTTAATGGGGATGAGTCAATAGTTTGTGGTCTTTAAATATTCCTATCTCTTCTTGCAGGGGGGAATGAACTTTTTTTTTTGTTTTGTATTACAGGAGACAGCAGTATTTTTATGACTTATTTAACATTTTAGATACTGCCATTATTGTGATTCCTCTGCTGGTTGATGTCATTTACCTTTTTTTTGACATTAAGTTGCTTAGGAATATTCCCAGGTATGAAACTTAAGACTTACCTCTCTTAAAGTTTTTCATTAATTTTAGCATTTTCTGTGGCTTTTATTCTATATAATCTTTTCAACTTCAAATGTTCTCATTCTATACCAAATACATTGCTTTAAAATGAAATGTTTAGGTAAATTCCCACATACTTTGAAACTAAAAGATTGTGATATTTAGGGACCAGTGAAGAGTATTCAGGCTAAGTACCATTAATGGAATAAGGAAGATGCAGTACCCAAAGAAGGACTTTTACTCTTATACTAACTTTAACTTCTCTACATTTTGAAGTTCTCATCAAATTCCCATTTGTATCATTTTTTGGCCTTTTGGCTAAGATCAAGTATAATATTCTTATCAGTTTAATATCTGCTATATCAGAAAAATTTATATTGAAAACAATTCTCCTCTGTGCTTCAGCTACAAATCCCTTACACATAATGTTCTGTCTGGATTTTTCCTACAGCCAAGAGGGAATTTATTTGAGCATATGCAGAATTTGAGTGACTTCAATCATGAGTTTCTAAAAAATAGCAAACAGAACAGAAACTGGGAGATGACACATGTAGCAACACAATAGTAGAGTTTTGCAGTATAGTTGTGGTAGAAACAAAGAAAGCTTAGGCCAAGTTAGAACTGTTAGGGATTAAGAAACTAAAGAGTGTATGAGGCCCTGGTGACTCTTTTCCTTTTTTTACTGTGACAATGAGGAAAACGAAAGAGCAAATGTATACTGGGATGTAGATGGTGGCTTCCTAAGCTTGTTCATGGGTCAAATAGCTGATTTCTTTTTGTACCCTAGCTTCCCTGGACTACAGCTCAGGCCCCAACTAAAAGCATGTTAAGTGATAGGCTTTTGGAGTTACTTGATAATAACCTCATCCAATGTGGTCCTCTGACTAGAAACCTCAGCATCACTTGACAGCTTGCTAGAAATATAAGAAGAAAAATACCTTAGGCCCCACCCTGGACCCACTGAATCAGTATCTCCGGGACCCAGCAATCTGCAGCTTAACAAGCTTTTCCAGGTGGCTCTTATTGATTTGTGCCCAAATCAGAGAAACACTAGTCCAGACCATCAGTTCTCTGCTTCGGTGGTTCTGATGGTAGGAGAGATACCAGCTAGCACACTTTGGAAGTATCTCAATCTGTTGCCTCCCTGATGTGCAGTAGCAGCTGTAGTGAACATCTGTTACTCATGGGAATAACAAAGATGAACAAGAATAATCGATTTGTTTTGATGTGGAAAAATTAAAAAGCTAGTCTTAAATCCCAAAATTAAATTTACAAATGCTAAGAGTCTATTGTATCACTATTTCTCTAGACAAGAATTTCTCAGCCTCAGCATTACTGACATTTTGGGCCAGATCATTGCCATAAGAGGGTGGTGAGCAGTTATATTAATTGTAGGGTGTTTAGCAAAATTCCTGGCCTCTATTCACTAGTTGTAAGTAACACACAGACACGCACACACACGCACGCCAGTTGTGAAAACCTAAATGACTCCAGACATTGCCAAATATCCCCCAGGTAGGTGATTGGGGAGAGGAGGGAAAATTGCCTCTGGTTAACAACTGCTGCTCTAGATATAGTTTATATTGATAAAATTCGTTTCTGAAGCAAAAATTGATCTTTTAAATTTATCGTTAGATGGACACATTTTGATCGACTTCTACGACTTATTATTCTGGTAAGAATTTTTCATCTGTTTCATCAAAAAAGACAACTTGAAAAGCTGATAAGAAGGCTGGTAAGTGGGCAAAACATGCTTATGATTCAGAAAAATATTTTGTGTTTTGGAACCCATTGGCAAGGGTTGATATCTATACTGTGTAATGTTTTCTATTTTTATGTTGATGAATGTTTCACAAACTAATGGTGATTTTAAACTCTCAGGTTTCAGAAAACAAAAGGCGATAAACAAGGGATGGATTTGACCTAGACCTCACTTACATTACAGTTTTGTGACACTTAACTGTTGATTTACTTGTATTACTTCACTTTTTCTTGTAATTGTATTTTTTTTGCCTCATCTAAGACATATTCATTCAAAATTCTTTATTCATGAGGATATATGCTACTGTGATAATGTGACATATTTGTGGTTTAGCCCTGGCAATGGAAGATCTGCATGTCTTCTCAATTCAGGACTACTCATTTGCAGCATAGGAACTTGAATGGATTTTCAGCTGACTCCATTTGAGTTTCAATTTATTAACCTCTAGTAGTTATTTCTGAGTCCCAAGGATCCCACAGAGACCTCTTCTCATCCTAGAACCCCAGAGAATGAGGTCGGTGCTTTGTAGATCTCAGGTTTTCTGAGTCAGAGGGCTGCAAAGCACTTTGGGAGTTCCCACCATCACTGGTGCCCAGAAATCTTGGATTTTCTCTGGTATTTAAGATAAGAAATAAATTCTAAGAATGGGGAACTTCAGACTGAGGCCATCATAAATACAAGGCATACAGTTAGAACCAGTGGAGACTTAAGAACTCCATGCCAGTTTAATGGTCATTGTGTTGGGTAATTTAATATGTTATTTGATTATCCTGAGTATTAGCTGTTTTCTGTCAACCTCAATCTTAAAAGGTTTTTTCCAGTGAAAATGGAGTCTGATAATGTATAAATTAATTTTTTGTATGTTATATGAAATCTATAACAATGTTTGTAATAGTGATGATTTTGACTTTCAGAATGTATTATTGCTATGTCATTTCCATCTTTTGGAAGGCAGTCTTTCTATAGAAATCCAGTCGAGGTAAGGGTCTTTATCTGACAAATACTCATTTCTTAGGGAATGTAGACTGTGTAGTCATAAGTTTAATATTGACCCAGATATGGCAGTATTCTTTTAAAAATGTACTCTTTCAAGTAAAAAAATCATAATGGATTGATACCAGTTACAATTGTGCCAGTGGTTACAAACCACCCCAAAACTTACTGGCTTATAACAGCAACTATTTATTTGGCTCATGATACTGTGATTTGTGAATTTGGTATGGGCTTAACTGTCCAATTTGGGTGCTTGCAGAAAGGATTTCCTGCCTCAACTAAGCTCATTCATGTATCTGTGGGCAGCTACTGGGTCATCTGAGGACTGGCTAGTCTAAAATGACTTGGCTACCCTCAACTGACAGAGCCACTGCATGCTACATGCACCCCCCAAGGCCCAAGGCCCATCCCATCGGGCACCCACTGCTGCCAACAGTCCCACCCCCTTCACCAGCAGAGCTACCATATGCCGCATGCATTTCTAAGGCACTGAGGACTGGCCTGCCTGGTGCCCGCCCTGCTGTTGGCAATACCCCACAACTAGCAAAGCCACTGCAGCTAGCATGTGTATGCCTAAGGCCTGAGAACTAATCTGAATGATAGCTCTCACACCAAGAAAAGCCATACCACTGTCTCCACAAACACTCACCATCAGGCCACTGAGGCACTCACAGACACCACTGAACGCTGATAACAGCCAAAAACGTCACCTGAAGACTGTATTACTGCACCCACCCAGAACCAAAGTCAAAGCACCCTACTCAGTGAACACTATAGGAGACAACTATTGGAAAAAGTATTTCTCTATGAAAGTCCCTAACATTGGAAGAGGCAACTGTTCCCCCAGATGTACAAAAATCAGTTTAGGGCCACAAGAAACATGAAAAGCAAGGAAACATTACACCTCCAAAGAAACACAATAATTCCCCATTAACAGACCCTAAATTTAAAGAGTATATCAAATGGCTAAGAAGGAATTCAAAATAATGATCTTAAGGAAACTATGAGATACAGAGAATACAGATAGACAAATCAATAAAATTAGAAAAACAATTTATGATCTTATGAGAAATTCAACAAGGATATATATGTCAATAAAAGCCAGACAGAGATTGTGGAGCTGAAGAATTTAAGTAATAAAATACAAATACAATCAAGAGTCCAGGTGAAGTGGTTCACACCTGTTATCCCAGCACTTTGGGAGGCCAAGGCAGTGGATCACTTGATGCCAGGTGTTCAAGACAAGCCTGATTAACATGGCAAAATCCTGTCTCTAAAAAATACAAAAATTAATTGGGTTTGGTGGTGCATGCCTTCCATCCAAGCTACTTGGGAGGCTGAGACACAAGAATTTCTTGAATCCAGGAGGTGGAGGTTGCAGTGAGCCAAGATTGTGCCACTGCACTCCAGCCTGGGTGGCAGAGTGATACCCTGTCTCAAAAAAAAAAAAAAAATACAATCAAGAGCTTTAAAAACAGACATGGGAGAGATATGGCCAAAATCTAGGAAGCTCAAAGGTTCTCAAATAGATTCAACCCAAAGAGGTCTTCTCTGAGGTGCATAGTAGTCAAAATGTCAAAAGTCAAAAAGAGGGAATATTCATCAGGTTTGGTGGCTCACACTTGTAATCCCACCACTTTGGGAGGCTGAGGCGGGTGGATCACTTGAGGCCAGGAGTTCAAGGTGAGCATGGCCAACATGAAGAAACCGCATTTCTACTAATAATACAAAAAAATTAGCTGGGTGTGATGGTGTGAACCTGTAGTTCCAGTTACTTGGGAGGCTGAATCACGAGAATTGCTTAAACCCTGGAGGTGGAGTTTGCAGTGGGCCAAGATCACACCACTGCACTACTGCCTGAGTGACAGAGTGAGACTGTATCCAAAAAAATAAAAAAAAAAAAAGGAAATGTTAAAAACAGCAAGAAAAAAGCATCAAGTCACATATAAGGGAAACTCCATTTGATTAGCAGTGGATTTCCCAGTGGAAACTTTACAGGTCAGTAGACAATAAGATGGGATGATATATTCAAAGTACTGAAGGAAAAAAAAACTGTCAGCCAAGAATACTATACCTAGTAGAGCTATCCACTAGATATGAGGGAGAAATAAAGTATTTCCTAGATGAGCAAAAACTGAAGGAATTCATTCCCACTAGACTGACGTTAAAGGGACTGCTTAAGGTGGTTCTACATCTGGAAGCAAGAGGATGATTACCATTGTCAAAACACACAAAAGTGTAAAACTCACTGGTAGTGCAGATATACACAGGAGAAAGAGAAAGGAATCAAACTTTGTCACTACAGAAAATGAGCAAACCACGAAGATTAAAAAAAAAAATAGATGAAGAAAAGAACAAAGGATATACAAAACAACCAGAAAAAAATGAACAAAATGACAGGATAAAGCCTCATATATTAATAGTAACCTTGAATGTAATGTAAACAGATCAAATTCCCAATTAAAAGATATAGAATTGGCAGCCAAGATTTAAAAAAAAAAAAAAAAAAAGACCCAACTGTATGCTGCCTACAAGAAACTAACTTCACCTGTAAAGGTTCATACAGACTGGAAGTGAAGGGATAGAAGAAAATACTCCAGGCAAACAGAAACCAAAAGCAAGCAGAGGTAGCCGTACTTATCAGGTAAAAACAGACTTTAAGTCAAACTGTATGAAGAGACAAAGAAGGTCATTTTATAATAATAAAGAGACCAACTTAGCAATAAGATATAATAATTGTAAATATATATGTACCCAACACTAGAGCACTCAGATTAACAAGGCAAATACTTTTAAGTCTAAAGGGAAAGATAGACTCCAATGCAGTAACAGTTGGGGCCTTTAACACCCCACTCTTACCACTGGACAGATCATCTAGACAGAAAATCAACAAGGAAATATCAGATTTAAGCTTACAGATAGGAATAAGTTCTGGTGTTCTGTAGTGCTGTAGGGTGACTACAGTTAACAATAATTTATTGTATATTTTTAAATAGAGAGGATGTTGAGTGTTCCCAACACAAAGAATGATAAATATTTGAGGTGATAGATATGCTGATTATCCTGATTTGATCATTACACATTGTATACAAGTATTGAGATATCCCTCTCTACCTTATAAATATGAACAAGTATTATGTGTCAATTAAAAATATTTTTAAAGAATGAAGGAAACAGATTTTTTAAATGAAAGGAAAGAAAATTACCTGACTTGGCTGAATGGCCCCATGTGGTCTCTCATTCTCCAGTAGGCTACTTCAGGCCTGTTCACATGATGGCAGAGGCAAGAGTCCCAGGAGCGGCAACAAAACAATGCAAATCCTCTTCAGGCTCAGGCTCAAAATTATATATTAATTCTACCCCATTTTATTGGACAATGCAAATTACACTACCAGTCTGGATTCAAGGAGTAGAAAATAAACTCCAACTCTTGATGGAAGGAATTATAAAGAATTGTGGCCGTTTTTGATAGTCTACCATAGGGGAGAAAGATGGGGATGCTATAACCCAAAATGTGTATTCTTAGGTTGAGATCCTAAATTATAGTCAGGGCATACGAGAGGTGGAAGGAGTACCTCTTTGCAGTGTGTTAGCTCAGTTCTGAACAGGACAGGGCTGCAAGTTCAGCTACTTCCCAGAAAATGTGCTGGTTCCCTGGCCTGAGTCATCATCCCATGACTAGAGAATGTGGATGGATTATTTTATCAAGAAACTGGTGATAAACCAAGGGCTATAGGAATTAAGAACTAGGGCTAAAAAAGAAATGTTTAGAGTGATGCAAGATGACCAATTAGAAGCAGCTGCAGTCTGCAGTGCTCACAAAGAAGAATGAAAAGGGGCAAGGGAATTCAGCACCTTCAACTGAGATAACCAGGTTCTCACATTGGGACTGACTAGATGAACAGGTCGACCAATGGAGAATGAAGACAAGCAGGCAGAGAGTGCGACAGCCCAGCCGGGGGCAGCATGGAGCCAAAGGAACCCCCACTGCCAGCCAAGGGAAGCGGTGAGTGAGTGTGCAGTCCTGCCCGGGAAACCGTGCTTCTCTCATGGATCTTTGCAAGCCATGGATCAAGAGATCCCCTTGTGAACCCATGCCACCAGGGCTGTGGGTCTGATACACAGACCTGTATTGAGTCTGGGCACATCAGCTGCTCAGGCACACACAGAAACCCAGGAGTTTTACACTCTCTAGCCCCGGGGATCTTCAGCACAGTGGGAAATCTGTCCATACGTATCTCTGGGAAGGGGGCTGAATCCAGGGAGCCAGGCAGCATCATTCTGCAGGATCCATTTCCTTGGCACCTCACAAGTTAAGACCCACTGGCTTGGAATCCTAGCCTGCCAACAGCAGCAGGTTGGAATCCACCTCAGATGGGTCTGTGTTCCTGGGGAGGTGGGGAGAGGCAGCCAGCATCACTGTGGTTCATATACTCAGCCACTCCAGCCTGCCAGCTATGGAGAATACAGACAATCTGGACAAGGAAGAGTTCCCCACAACACAGCACAGCTGGCTTGCCAGATCATGACCAGACTGCTTCTTTAAGCAGGACCCCAATCCATTCCTCCTCACTGGGCAGAAATCCCTGCGGGGGCTTTAACCACTCCAGCAACGGTTCTATGGACAGAGCTTTGATCTCGCCCTGAAATGGAGCTCCTGGCGGGAGGGGCAGCTGCCACCTCTGCAGTTTGGGCAACTCAGCCACTCCAACCTGATGGCTTTGGAGAATACAGGTGGTCCAGAGGAGGAAGGATCCCCCACAATGCAGCACACCTGCTCTACCCCAAAGCAGCCAGACTGCTTCTTTGGATGGGTCCGTGATCCCATCCCTCCTGACTGGGTGAGAATGCCCAACAAGGGTCTCTAGCCACCTCCTGCAGGTATGTGCGGGCTGGCTACAGTTCAGTATCCCCCTGGGATGGAGCTTCCAAAGGAAGGAGCTGGCTGCCATCTTTGCTGTTTCTCAGGCTTCACTGGCAATATCTCATTCAGAGTCTATGAGGAACTTAAATTTATAAGAAAAAAAACAACCCCATTAAAAAGTGGGCAAAGGATCTGAACAGACACTTCCCAAAAGAGACATGCATGCAGTCAACAAAAATATGAAATAAAAGCTCAACATTACTGATCATTAAAGAAATGCAAACCACAATGAGATACCATCTCATGCCAGTCAGAATGGCTACTATTAAAAAGCCAAAAAATAACAGATGCTGTGAAGGTTGCAGAGAAAAAGAAATGCTGTTGGTGGGTGTGTAAATTAGTTCAACCCATGTGGAAGACTGTGGCAATTCCTCAAAGACCTAGAGGCAGAAATATCATCAGACCCAGCAATCCCATTATGGGGTATATACCCAAAGGAATATAAATCATTGTCTTATAAAAATACATGCATGCACACATATGTTCATTACAGCAGTATTCACAATAGCAAAGACATGGAATCAACCTAAATGCCAGTCGATGATAGATTGGATAAAGAAAATATGGTACATAGAGTGGGACATCGGGCTTCTGAGCGGGAACCTTTGTAGTGCCAGTGATGAAAGAGAGAATTAAATATGGCTGATTCTGAGAAAGGCAAGAAAATTTTTCTTCAGATGTGTGCCCAGTGCCACACTGTGGAAAAGGGAAGCAAGCACAAGACTGGGCCTAAACTCCATGGTCTCTTCAGGTGGAGGACATGTCAGTCCATTGGATTATCTTAACATAGAGATTGATAAGAACAAAGCCATCACCTGGGGAGAGGATACACTGATAGAGTATTTTGAGAATTCCAGGAAGTACATTCCTGGAACAAAAATGATCTTTGCCAGCATTAAGAACAATGCAGAAAGGGCAGACTTGATAGCTTATCTCAAAAAAGCTACTAGTGAGTAATAATTGGCCACTGCCTTATACCTTATATTACAAAACGGAAATGTCTCATGACTTTTTTATGTGTACCATAATTTAATAGATCTCATACACCAGAATTCAGATTATGAATGACTCTCAGAATATTTTGTTGGGCAGTCCTGATTTAAAACTAATACTAGCTTGTGGTTAAATGAATAAGTTTGGTTTTTGAATATTAATAGTAATTCCAATTCAGTGAATGCTATCACTGTTTACTCCTTCTAAATATATGATTAGACTTTGTTAATAATGTTCAACTTTTCACAAAGATGGTGAGTACCATCTTAAAACTTAATGAAGATTGGTTTTATATTTATATTTATATTGGTTTATATTTGGATTTATGACTGGTTATGTGAATATATTTAAATACTGGGGAAATTCCTTCACTGTCTCAGAACCAAGCAAGATTCACCTGTGTTTTGTGTTTATTTGCCACTTAAAGGCAAGGGTTGAAGATAAGGTAGCAATGTCTACTTTGTATTTTTGGCCTTAACTATGCCATTGTAATTAGAATTCCCTGTATTTAAGATGGTTCCTTTTACTTATTCAAAGGCATTTTGTGTGGTTTATGTGTAATATCAAATAAAGATTACTTAACACTTAAAACAACAACAACAAAAAAAGGAAATGTGGTACATAAATACCACGGAAAACTGTGCAGCCATAAAAAGGAACAGGATTACATCCTTTGCAGGGATATTGATGGAGCTGGAAGCTGATATCCTCAGCAAACTAACACAGGAACAGAAAACCAAACACCGCATGTTCTCACTTATATGTGGGAGCTGACAATGAGAACACATGGGCACATGATGGGGAACAACACACACTGGGGCCTGTTGGGAGGGAGGGGATGGGGAAGGAGAGCATCAGAAAGAATAGCTAATGGATGCTGGGCTTAATACCTAGGGATGGGATGATCTATGCAGCAAACCACTATGGCACACATTTACCTGTGTAACACACCTGCACATCCTCCACATGTACCCCTGAACCTAAAATAAAAGTTGAAGTAAATTATTTGTATATACATGTGCCCCGATGTAGGTAAACATTATATATGCATGCATCTATAACCACATTTTTGCTGAGGTATAACACATATGGTAGGTTGCACTAATCAAGTATATATCTTGATGATATTATACCTAAGTATATATGCATGTAACCAACACCTCTATCAATATATTGGTCTATGACTGACCTCCAATTAATTGTTGTAAAGATATAAAGTATCAAGTTTCATGTTTTTCACATAGCTCTCAATTTCTCCTGTACCATTTATTGTAAAGAGCATGATTTCCCCCAATGAATTGCAGAGGTGGGTTTATTGCAAATAAAGTGAACATATCTGTATAGGTCTGTTTCTGGGCTTTTTGTCCTTTCATTATGACTGCCTATACTTAAGTCCAGGCCATAGTTTTAATTATTATGGCTTTATAGTGACTCTTGAGAACTTGTGTGTAAGTCCTCCAACTTTGTACTTCTTTGTTTAAAAACTATCTTGGCTCTCCTAGATTTTTTGAATTTCCATATAAATTTTAGAATCATCTTGGCAATTTACATACACACACACACACTCAAACCCACACAAACACACCCCCACACCCCGTCAGTATTTTGACTTGGGCATTGACTACATAGCTTAATTTGGAGAGAATTGACATCTAAAAATATTGAGCTTTCCAACTCATGAACATAATAGATCTCTCTACTGATGTCTTCTTTGATTTCTTTTAGCAATGTTTGTAGTGTACAGGTTTTGCACCTTTTGTTAGTTTTATCTCTATGTAGTTGATAAGTTTTTATGCTATTTTAAATGATATTTGAAGATCTTCATTTTCTAAATATTTGCTATTGGTATGTAGGAACATAACTAATTTTTGTATATTGACTTTTGTTTATTTGTTTATCTAAAGACAGGGCCTTGCTCTGTCACCACAGGCTGGAGTGCAGTGGCACCTGAGCTCAAGCATTTCTCCCACCTCAGTCTCCCACATAGCTGGGACTACAAGCAGGCATCACCACACTTGGCTAATTTTTTAAATTAATTTTTGTAGAGAAGGAGTCTCTCTGGTCTCACTGACCCAAGCGGGTCTTGAACTCCTGGATTCAAGCAACCCTCCCACCTCAGCCTCCCAAAGTGCTGTGATTACAGGTGTGAACCACCACACCTGGCCTTGTATGTTGACTTTACATCTAGCATCCTTCATAAATTCACATATTAATTTTAATAATGAATGTGTAGATTCCCTGGGATTTTTTAAATGTATGCAATCATATAAAGTTACTACTTTCTTCCCACTTTTTATACTTTTTTCTTTCTTTATTGAATTATCCAGGACTTTCATGGTAATATTGAATAGAAATGGTAAGAGGAGGCAGTCTTGCCCTGTTCCCAAACTTAGGTGGAAAGAATATCTTGCTTCACTATTTGAAATGATGTTTGCTATAGGCTTTTGTAGTCATTCTTTACTAGATTAAGACAGTCCATTTTATTTCTAGTTTGCTAAAAGTTTTGAACCATGAATTGGTGTTGAATATATCAGATTTTTTTCTGATATCATCTATCAAGATAATCAAAATGTTTTTCTGTCATTCCATTAACGAGATTTTCAAATGTTAAACCAAACTTTTTTATTTTTGGAATAAACTCCTTTTGGTCTTAATGTATTAACTTTTTTATGTATCACTAGATTCTATTTGCTAATATTTTATTTAGAACTTTTCATCTGTGTTCATGAGGGATATGCAGTTTTTTTTTCCTGAAATGTCTTTATCAGCTGGTCTACAATTACCTTAGCTTAGGTGTCTTGGGTAACTCCTATCTGCTTAACTCATCTTCATCCTCCATCTGGATGAATATGATGGGTATGTTTCAAGGTCATGGCAAAAGGAAAGAGCTAGAGTGGAATCTTACAAATGCTTTTGCAAACCTCTCCTTTGTGGCATCCCAGTGACCGAATCAACTCACATAATGGAACACAAAATTAGAGGGAAAGGGCACTACGAGGTGAAATGTGAGGGCTTGAATTCAGGAAAAGTTGAAGAATTGAGACCATTGATGGAATGAGTCTACCTTATTCTCAGGCAGGGAAGCATTTTTGTACATGAGATAGTTCACAAGAAATAACTACTATATAGTCAGAGACTCAAGACTTCAGCAATTGTATAAAAATACATTTGTAAATACCTAAAGACCTTGAAGAGAAGAGTCTGAACCACATCTCACCCAGGTTACGCTATTCACTGCTAAGACATGACTCTACCACTCCCTTGGCCAATTTTGAAAATTGTTTCAAACTATTTATTTGAGGTGGAAGTACTTTCTGTCGCTCCGAATGGGCACAGTCATGGAGTAATGTGACCAGGGTCCACTGGATGGGTCATGACACTCAGGGCAGCCATCCCAAAATTTCCGAATTCCATCTTTATGGGGAAAACATCTCTTGATTGCTAATATTGTTTTCTAAAGCAGGTTAAGTTAATAACTGTGAGTTAATTATAGCATGTCTAAATTGAGCCCATTTTCTTTTAGTAGATTTGGTGTTGACTAATATAAATTTGGCAACACTTACTATTAGCTGGGGTGTTTTTAAAAAGCCAAAAACTTTTAGCATGTAAATCAAAACAAAGACATTACTAATTTTTTCTTGGGTGATCTCTAGACTTTTGGTTTCTATCAGTTATTAAACTGTTATCTCCTTGGGGCATTGACAAAGTACTAATAAGTCATTGGTTCCTTTACCATTTTTAATCAGAGTATCCCAAAAGGAGGTAATTATGTGTTTTAATAAATTCCGCAAATCATAAACCACCCAAAAAGCAAATCTACCATCCATATTAATATTTAGTCTTTCATCTTTGCCAGAGTGAAGCCCCAAATCTAAGCTACTAGTTCAGCTACCTGGGCAGGCTGGGAATCAGGCCATGGAGCCCTTCAGTGATTGCATGTTCAGTGATAACAGCATGTCCTGCACTGGGAGTGTCTCTGTCATATGTGAGAAGCATCTACAAAGTATATTAAATCAAGGTTGACTAAAAGGGAGAAGATTCAAATCCAGGCATCCTTAACTCCCGAGAAGTTGCTAAACAGTCATGTGATTCCCCTTTATTCTTAAAAGGGAATAAAGTTGCAGGGTTACATTTTGAACAACAGCGAATAAGCAAAGCAGACATTACAATTTCATAAGTGGTAAACTTGCTAGTGGAGAAATGTCAGATGCTGCCTTGAAGTAGCAAAAACTTTAGAGATGCAGGACCCATAGTGTTAGTGGAGAAACAAGCACTATGGTGGAAGCATCAACAAGTTTGGCCACTGCTGCCACCTCATGCAAGTACGGAAGGTATACCTTTGCCTCCAAATCAAGGAATGTACTAAGATAGGCAGAGAGAAGAGTATGGTAGATTTAGGAAAACCCAAAGGTGGAGGTTGTTGCAAGAAGCTTTCTAAGAGGAGACAGCATTTTCTACTTTTGCATCACAAGGAAGAGTTTCAGAAATTATAAACTTAGTAAGCCACGCAAAGGCTGAGCTATTGAGAAAAATCAGGTATAAAATTACCTACATTCCTACAATCTTAGCCATCTTTTAATTTCTGTTCTTGGTAGAATTGAATGCACTTTATTCTGGCTGAAAACAGAAACTGTCCATCTGGTGACAGATTGTGACCAGAAAAATGTAGATTCTTGGCAGAGTTGAATTTTGTTCTAGATTATTTATGTCCTTTTTCACCTGATTTGGATAAGAGGTATTTGGAGTCTTCGGTAAATTACTTAGATCGGAAAACACAGCAGTAAATCATCTAAATGTTGAGTTGCTATATATATATATATATATATATATATATATATACACACACACACACACACACACACACATATATATGTATATATACATGATTATAAAAATTATATATATATATCATTTTTCAGACATTGAGAGAACTAGGAAGTGGATTTGGAAAAATCCCTAAAGCTTAACTGTCCAGGTATATTTGTTTTCCCATGAAAAAGCAAATATTGACTCTTTTTCTATATATGTATACTAAGGAAGGCTGCACATAAATTACCAGTGTGAGATATTTACTTATTGAGAGAATGAGGGACAGGGATGGGCACGGTGGCTCACACCTGTAATTCCAGCACTTTGGGAGGCCGAGGAGGGTGGGTCACCTGAGGTCAGGAGTTCAAAACCAGCTTGGCCAGCATGGTGAAACCCCGTCTCTACTAAAAATAAAAAAAATTATCCAGGCTTGGTGGCAGGTGCCTGTAATCCCAGCTAATCAGAAGGCTGAGGCAAGAGGATTGCTTAAACCTGGAAGGCAGAGGTTGCAGTGAACTGATATCGCATCATCGCACTCCAGCCTGGGCAACAAGAGTGAAACTCCATCTCAAAATTAATAAAATAAAATAAAATAAAATAAATAAAATAAAATAAAATAAAATAATAAAATAAATAAAATATAAAAATATAAAATAAAATAAAAATATAAATATAAAGTATAAAATAAAATAAAATAAGGACAGGACAATATTCTAATGGTTGCATGATATTTCATTACTGCTATGATTAACCTCTAATGTTGGACATTTAAGTGTCATTATAATCAATAATACAGCAACAGACATCTTTGCTCATAAGGCCTTTTCTGTATAGATTGCTAGTAGTGAAATTACCTAGCTAAGAGTAATTTTAGGGTTCTTAATATATATTGCCAAATCCAAGAGCAGTTGTATTCTTGTATCAACAATAAATCAAAGTTTTAAATTTCATGCCTTATTTTGCCAGCATTGGATTTTCTCATTAAAAGAGAAAGGGCTAATTTCATGGGTGCAAATGGCATGTCATTGTTGTTTTGACTACGTTATTGGTGACACTGAATGTTTACATAGGTTGTTAACCAGTTAGATTTTCTCTTTTATGGATTGTTATGTCCTTAGCCCATTTATCTATAAGGTGAGTGAGTAATATTTAAGTTGTTGTTAATGAATTATTAATTTATCATACTAGGCATGGTCCCCATTCAGTCAATTTTTCTGAAAAATCGTTTCCCCTGTTATTCATTAATAGCATTTTTAAGCAGAAATTTCAGATTTTTATGAAGTCAAACGTAAGCCTATTGATCTTCCATTGATTCAACACCTTTAGTTCTTCCTCATCCAAAGAATTGATTAAAATTTGCTTCAATTTCTCATAGATATTTATAGTTTTTATATGTGATTTCTAAACCCATATGGATTTCATGTAAGAAATTCCATGAATTCTGAAGTATATAAAATTATTTATCCTTGCCTCCCCTACTATGCAGATTCAGAGTGTTCATCTTTTTGAGTTATTATTTCCTCCTAACAGAGATAGCCAGTTTAATAAATGGATGACTTTGATACCTTCATTTTATTTTTCTCAATATTAAGCCAGTAAACATTGCTCTGAGGGTACCATACTAATCAGTTTTAAAATTTTGTGTCATTTTTGTTGTTGCACAGAGATATATACGTATGTGTGTGTATGTTTCAGAAAGATATATTTACGGAAATTTGGATTCATATAGTGGTATTGATTGTATTTTAAATAATAACTACTATTTGTTTTTCATTTTAAAGGTTATACATATATACATATATGTATATACACACACTTATAGGTACACATATATCTTCATTTAAAAAAATAAAGAGAACAAATGAGCCAAAAAAGTCTCCATATTGTTATCAGTTATTTAAAATTTGATATGTTTATCTTTTTCTATCACACATACACACAATCATACTACATGCTTTTTGCATTTATTTGTTTACATAGTGCTTAGATAGACTGTAATATGCAGATCACTCTCTAAAGATGTGTCTATTCAGAATTAAATTTAAATCAGAACCAATATGAATTAGATTTAAACAAGAACCATATTAACTGTGAATTAATGATTTAGAACAAATTACTTAAAGTTAGTTAACCAGCTAATTTACTTATCTGATAGCTTTAAACAGTGTGTATTTACAATAGAGACTCATCTGAGTAGCCAAACACACTTTGTGGACTATTTGAAAAATCACAGTGGATTAGAACTTGAAATTTGCATACCCTCTTATTCTCTGAATCTCCCCTAGAAGATGCTAGTGAGAGACAAATTAATAAAAGTAATAACCATTTTAGGTGCCCCCTAGGAAATAGCTTATGTTGGTGCCATGTAAATATGTAAGATATGTGTTTGTCTTTTTTAGGAAGTTGTGCGGTTTCTAGATAAGAAACATCCATGCCGCTATCGAGTCTACAATCTATGCAGTATGTACATTACTCTATATTTTGCTACCGTAGATAGAAAACAGATTACTGCATGTAAGAAGATGATTTTGTTTTTTAGATTGCATTTAATCATAAGTATTTGGTAGTGGCAAGGAATGAATTTAAAAATCCCCATCTTGGACTGACCCCATTTAGTAGAAGGAGTTAACCCAGCAGCACAAAGAACCGTATGAAGGATGTGGCTTTGGCAGGACCAATGAGACTGGAGTGGAAGCAAACCATTTTAGGGAAGATCTGTTCTAGTGATATTAGGTTTAGGAAAATCTTTCTGTTTTTCCTGCCAGATTGTGTTATGAGGACATAGACAATTTAACAAATGAGTCTTCTGACCCATCAGCAGTGGCATGTGATGAGAGCAAGCCTCTAGATGGGAAAAAAGCAAAAAACTCTGTAGAAAATAGGTTGTAACCCAGTTTAATACCCTGTCTCTCTTGATTTTTTCCTCTACCTGTATACTCAATAGACATTTTCATGGGGCAAACATTTTGGTCAGCCACATTTGCCTCGTGTGGTTTCTAACTATCCTGAAATAATGTAATGAATAGTCTGCTAGAAAGTTAAAAATTATACCTATTAAACAAAAATAAGTTGAGTTTAGGTTACATGAGATGGATAAACTACTACCATCCTTACATTTTTGAAACACTTGTGTTTGTTTTAGAGTGGCAGGAGCAACTTGGAAAGCTCTTTTTGAAGACAGATAAAGAATTCTAATAAGATATGTTAACTTATTCATAACTTCATCATTTATCATGTTATTCCCTATGGAGATATGACATACCTATTATTTATTTTTGGTGAAAGAGCTTATGATCCTAAGCACTTCTATAATAGGGTTGGTAGAATCATGATTGATGATCATAATGTCCCCACTCTACAGTAAGTTTTATGCTAAGTTGACTATCAGAAGAGGGCTAAATATATTGGGCTTGATTTTTTGAAAATATTTTAACTAAAAATCTTAAACTTGAAATCAGTGAGATGGTGGTTTTCACCAAGGAAGTAAATGAGTGGATGGCTCAAGATCTTGAAAACATGGTAGCAATTCACTGTAAAGGAGGAAAAGGTAATAACATTTTCCTTTTTATTTCTCCCTTTCTAAAGACATGTAAATATAGAGAAAGTACAAGAACAAGATACTTATTTCTATTAATATGTATTAATAATTGTTAGCATTTTTAAATATTAGCTCCAAGACTGAAAGAAGGGAAGGAGAAAGGAAAGAGGAGAGGAGGAAGAGTAGGAGATAGGGAGAGGATAAGGAAGGGAAGAAAGTAGGAAAAAAGAACTAAGGAAGGTTGAGCATATTTTCCCTTGTTTTCCTTGTATTTAGATTTCTTTATTTTTGGTTTGCCAGTTTATATCTCTCAAAATACACACAGTCTTTAATTTTAGAATATCAGACTACTTTTATTTTATTTAAGGCTGATCTTTTTTATTTTCAAATTTACAAATAAAAAATCAATATATTTATGGTGTACAAGATGATGTTTTGATATACGTAAACATTGTGAAATGGCTAAATCAAGCTAATTAGCATATGCATTACTCCACATATTTTTGTGTGAGAACATCTAAAATTTACTGTCTCAGCAATTTTAAAGTATACATTATTATTAACTGTGGTCACTATGTTGTACAATAAATTTCCTGAACTTATTCTTCCTGTCTAACTGAAATTTTGCATCCTTTAATCAACATCTCAGGCTGGGCACAGTGGCTCACACCTGTAATCCCAGCACTTTGGGAGGATTAGGCAGGTGGATCATATGGTGAAGCCCCATCTCTACTAAAAATACAAAACATTAGCTGGGTGTGGTGGCATGCACCTGTAATCCCAGCTACTCAGGAGGCTGAGGCAGAAGAATTGCTTGAACCTGGGAGGCAGAGGTTGCAGTGAGCTGAGATCGCACCATTGCACTCCAGCCTGAGCAACAAGAACAAAACTCCGTCTAAAAAAATAACAATAATAATAAAGTAAAAACCAACATCTGCACAATCCCCCCAGTTTTGTCTCCCCAGCCCCTGGTAACCACCATTCTACTCTCTGCTTCTATGAATTTGACTTTTTTAGATTCCACAAATAAGTGAGACAGGCAGTATTTGTCTTTCTACACCGGGCTTATTTCACTTAGCGTAATGTTCTCCAGTTTCATCCACATTATCTTGAGTGACAGGATCTCCTCTAAGGCTGAATAGTATGCCTTTAATTATATATACCATATATTCTTTATCCATTCATCCACTGATGACATTTAGATTGACTCCATAGCTTGGATATTATGAATAATGCTGCAGTGAACATGGGAGTGCAGATTTCATTTCCTTTGGATATATACCCAGAAGTGGAATCTCCAAATCATATTGTAGTTCTATTTTTGGTTTTTTGAGGAATCTCAGTGCTGTTTTCCACGATAACTACTAATTTACATTCACACCAACAGTGTACAAGGGGGTTCCCTTTTCATCCTCACCAACTCTTCTTTTGTCTTTTTGTTAATGACCATCCTAACAGGTGTGAGGATATCTCTTTGTGGTTTTAATTTGCTTTTCCCTGATGATTAATGATGTTTAGCATTTTCTCCTTATACCTCTTGGCCATTTGTGTGTCTTCTGTTGAGAAATATCTTTTCAGGTTCTTTGCCCATTTTCTAGAGAAGTAACTTGTTCTCTTGCTATTGTGTTGTCTGAGTTCCCTTTTTAAAAAATCTGTTAACCTATTATCGAATGTATGCTTTGTAGATGTTTCTCCCATTCCGTAGGTTGTCTCTTTAGTCTACAAATGGTCTCTTTAGTCTACAAATGTTTCCTTTGCTCTGCAAAAGCGTTTTAGTTTGATACAGTATCATTTGTCTACTGTTTCTTTTGTTGCCTGTGCAACAAAAGAGAGTGTCGACCACTCTCTTTTCTATTTACCATTTAAGGCTACAAGTTTTCCTCTAAATATTGCTTTAGTTTTGTCCCATAAATTTTTATTTGTAGTGTTTTTATTTTACTTAGTTCAAACTATGTTCCAACTTTGTGCTTGTTTTTTTTTTTTTGACCCATGAGTTATGTAGAAGTATACTTCCTTATTTCCAAATATGTGAGAATTTTGTATTTATCTTTAAATTTTTGATTTCTGATTGTATTGTGTTGTGGGCACAGAACATACTATGTATTTTTTTCTTTTTTAGTTCTTTGAAACTTGTTTAGACTTGCTTAATGACCCAGAATTTGGTCGATATTGTCAAATGTTTTCTGTACATTTGAAAAGAACATATATTATGCATTGTTGAGAACAGCGTTCTATGTACATCTATTTTATTTAACTCTTCTATTTTCCTTCTGACATTCTGTTTTCATTCGATTGAATTTTAATAATATAAATCTTTCCTTCTCACCCTCTGTCATTACCTTGGAAGTCATATACTCTTTTTCTATGTTTTTAGTAATTACTGTAAAGATTTAAACCTGCATCCTTGATTTAGCTATTAATTTTTGTTTATGTTGAGCTTGCATCTAGAAATCTTCCTAAATTCTCTCATTAGATTAAGGAGTTATTCTAAGTATTTACTTACTACACTGACTTTCTACACTGGTTAGGCTCTGCAGTATACTGTTAAATGGAAGCAGTGAAGAGAGGGCATTTTTGTTTAATTCCAGGCTTTAAAGAAAATGCTGTCAATATTATGTCATTAATATGATGTTCCCGGTAGGTATTTTGGTAGATTCTCTTTGTTGAGTTAAGGAAGTTTCCTAGTTGTTAGTTTTTAAAGTCACAGGCACAGCCTGAATTTTAGTGAATACTTTTTCTGGCATTAACTGAGATAATTGTAAGGTGTATCTTCTTTAATCAATGAATATGATAAATTGCATTAATATAGATTTCTAATATAGGATGGTTCTTGCATTTTTTATTATTTGTTTTTTAATGGGCAAAAGACTGTTTTTTTTCTTCTTGAGCTTAGATTTTTGGTATAAAGTAACTTTTAGATTTGGAAGTACATATGCAGGTTTATTGGTAATATTATCTGATGCTAAGGTTTCGGGTATGATTGATCGCATCACCCAGGTACTGAGCACAGGACCCAATAGTTAGTTTTTCAACCTGTGCCCTTTTCTGCTGTGCCCCCTCTAGAAATCCCCAGGGTCCATTATTGCCACCTTGATGTCCATGAGCACCCATTGTTTAGCTTTCACTTATGAGTGAGAACATATTGTATTTGGTTTTTGTTCCTGCATTAATTTGCTTAGGATAATGACTTCCAGCTGCATCCATGATGCTGCAAAGGAAATGATTTCTTTTTTTTTTCTTTTGAGAGGTAGTTTTGCTCTTTTTGCCCAGGCTGGAGTGCAGTGGCGCAGTCTTGGCTCACTGCAACCTCCATCTCCCAGGTTCAAGCGATTCTCCTGGCTCAGCCTCCCAAGTAGCTGGGATTACAAGCGCCTGCCACCACACCCAGCTAATTTTTGTATATTTAGTAGAGATAGTGTTTCACCAATTTGGCCAGGCTGCTCTCGAACTCCTGACCTCACGTGATCCACCCACCTCAGCCTCCCAAAGTGCTGAGATTATAGGCATGAGTCACTGCGCCCAGCCTGTTTTTGTTTTTTTTGTTTGTTTGTTTTGTTTTGTTTTGTTTTGTTTTTTGAGATGGAGTCTTGCTCTGTCACCCAGGCTGGAATACAGTGGTGCAATCTCGGTCACTGCAACCTTTGCCTCCTGGGTTCAAGTGATTCTCCTGCCTCAGCCTTCTGAGTGACTGGGATTACAGGTGTGCACCACCGTGCCCAGCTAATTTTTGTATTTTTAGTAAAGACGGAGTTTCACTATGTTGGCCAGGCTGGTCTTGAACTCCTGACCTCAAGTGATCTGCCTGCCTTGGTCTCCCAAAGTGCTGGGATTACAGATGTGAGCCACTGCACCTGGTCCATGGCTCTATTTTGAAGTATGTTCTTTTGATTCCTAGTTTCTTGAGTGTTTTTTTTTAATCAAGAAAGATGTTGAATTTTATCAAAAGCTTTTGTTTTCTGCATCTATTGAGATGATCATGTGGTTTTTGTTTAATTCTGTTTGTGTGGTGAATCACATTTATTGGTTTGCATATGCTGAACCTTGTATCCTTGGAATGAAGCTTACTTGATTGTGAACTTTTTGATGTGCTGTCGGATTTGGCTGTTATCCTGATGGGGCTACCTTTGCGTGTGATCTGGCCTTTTTCTCCGGTGCCTTTAGGGCTTTTTCTTTGACAGTGACCTTGGACAGTCTGGTGAGTATATGCCTTGGTAATGTTCATTTTTTATAGTATCTCACAGGTGCCATCTGGCTTTATTGTACTTAGATGTCTATCTAGCAAGATTCAAGAAATTTTCTTGAATTATTCCATCAAATTTGTTTTCCAGGCAGTTTTCTTTTTCTCTTTCTAGGGCATGCCTGTAATTCGTAGGTTTGGTCACTTTACATAATCTAATATTTCTGACTTTCTTCACTTTTAAAAAATATTTCTTCTTTATTTTTGTCTGATGATTAGTTCAAAAGACCAGTCTTCAAGCTCTGAAATTATGTTGTCTACTTTGTCCAGTCTGTTGATAAAGTTTTCAGTTGTATTTTGAAATTCCTTAAGTGAGTTTTTTTAATTCTAGAAGTTCTGATTGATTTCTTATTAAGATGTTTATCTCTTCCTTCATTTCCCAGATTGATGTAGAAGTTTCTTTTTGTTGATTTCAACCTTGAATCTCATTGAGCTTCCTTGCAACCCAAGCTTTGAATTGTTTATTGTCATCTCTGAGTTTTCAATTTGGTAGGAAGCATTGCCAGAGAGCTCGTGTGATCCTTTGGCAGTGTCACTGCATTCAGATTTCTCATGGTGCCAAAATTCTTGCGTGGGTCCTTCTCATCTGGAGATGCTAGCACTTCTAATTAGTGTAATTATTTTTGTTTTGGTAGGATTTTTCTCTTTTTTTTCCTTTCCTATAATATTATTGTTATTTTTTTCTTCTTTCCCTTTCCCTCCTCCCTAGGGGGTGTGACTGTAGAGCATGCTAGGTAGGGCCTTTTGGCTTTGCTTCTGCCGCCGTATGCACTTCTGCCAGCAGGTTTTATGTTGGGTGTGTGGTATGACCTACAAGCCAGTAGATGGCGCCATGGGTAAGAGCTGGCTGTTGCCAGTGCTGCTGGCTGTGTACTTCATCCTTGTTTATTGGGAGGAGCTCTCTGTTGCCCCAGGCAATGGGCTGAAATCCCGAGTACACATTAATCTGAGCTCCCTCAGCCCTAGGGGTAGGGGGATTGGGGGCACAAGATGGGTGCAGCCAGATAGGGAAGATTCCCCCAGTGTTGTCCTGCTCCCAGTCCAGGTTTGGGAAAATGCTGGCAGCGTTTCCCTGTGTCTTTCCCCCACAAAGTCTCCAAGTCTCTTCTCAAATGAGCTCCAAGGCTTGGGAAAAACAATCTCTTCCTCTGCCCGGGTTGCATGGATCTCCAGTGGAAAGGTGAGACAGAGGGATGCTGTCTGCCTTTCTCACATACTGAGGCTTTACTCACTTTTATCAGTCGAATGCTGTCCTGAGGGCTGCGTGCCTGCATTGTCCTCCCCGGGATCTGGGATGTCCTTCATAATTCTGGGGAATTGCCATTTTCTTTCTTGAATTAAAGCTCACAGAGTTGGTCTTTATGTACTTGCTTGGTATTTCCAAATGACTGAGGCATGCTAAAAGCCTGTAATCTGCCATCTATTAAAAAACATCCTTGAATCCTTAAGAGAAATGGCACTTGGTGTTGATACATGGTGTTTCTACATTGCTGAATTCACTTTGAAAATATATGTATATTTTTAAATCTACATTTATACGTGAGACTGGTGTAAAAATATCTTTTCTTCTACTGTATTTGTGCAATTTTGGAATCAGTTATATTAATGTACTAAATGAGTTGGGAATTTTTCTTTTTTACTGTTATCCAAAAAAATTATAAAAGACATGAATTGTTACTTTCTTATAGATTTAGTAAAAACCTCATCGTGTCCTTTTGTGGAGAGATGGTGAGAGATATTTTTACTGTAGACGTAATTTGACTATTTTTCACCTGTGAGGTGGAGATTGCAGTTAGCCAAGATTGTGCCACTGCACTCCAGCCTGCATGACACAGCAAGACCATGTCTCAAAAAAAAAAAAGAAAGAAAATCAAGTTAAAATGCACTCCTTGAATATTTCTGAGTGTATTTTTATACCATGTAGGTTCTTGAACTAACTTCTTTTCTTTTCTAGGAAGAACCAGAACTATGGTTTGTGCCTTCCTTATTGCCTCTGACATATTTTTAACTGCAGAGTTATGAAAGAGGTTCTACAAACTTTGTCTTAGGATGTTTGAGTTTGCTAGTTCTGAAACATCACTGATAGGACGTAAAGATTATTATTTGAGTCATGGTGCTTAGTAAAATTGTAATTAGAGAAGCAGTCTTTAGAAAGTCTGTTTTTGATACTTTCTTGTTTAACGTGCACTAGTTAGTAGCTGACTTCAGAATCTCTTTGGGCCAGGACTAGAGTTAGGTCAATGAGGTGCAAAATTTAATGGAATGCTAAAAATTGTAATAATTAAAATAAATAATTTTAATGTAACATTTTAATAAAAATTAATGCAAAAAATCTATGATGTATACAATATCAACATGTTAAATAAAGACAAGACCTGATGGGACAGGATTAAGGTGAGGGGAGTAAAGCCATGTTACAGAGAAAAAAACATACAGTAATCAAGATGCTTCCCTCACTTCACCTGGCCCTGCTCTTACTCCTGCCAGTACCATGACTTCTTCCTTCCTTGTGAGAATAGTAACAAGTTCAATTAGATAAATTCTCCAAAGAGCGTTGCCCATCCTCACAACTCTTAGGTAGATAAAAAGCAACATTTCACAACTCAAAACAAAGCCTCTCCTCAATGTAAATATCTTCGCTTAGTCAGTACATGTAGAGTCTGTGACCTCTAAAAATTTCTGATAAGACCAGATGGGCTGTTTCCACTTAAAGCAGAATTCTCTGTCATTTTCCTTTCTGCCATTTTCCTGCTGAGATGCTACCATTTCCAGCAGCTCTGCTCGAGTTGTTTGGCCTCAGTCTAGGGAAGAGGTGGTGGTTGTGCACAATGCCCAGACTCCAATTCCACCACCTTTGGTTTCTCTAATTTGAGATGCACAGATTTTGAAAATGGTTGTTCTAAGATAGTGTTTTTCAAGCTATGGATCATGATTTATCAGTAAGTTTTAAAATAAAGTTACTGTATTGTAACTGACATCTTTTGAAAATAAAATGAATAGAGCAGAATAGAAAATATCAAAAGGTTTAAATATTGGTGTGTGTGTGTGTGTGTGTGTGTGTGTGTGTGTGTGTGTGTCTCCTAGATTTATTAATGTGGATTGCAACTTAAAAAACAAAAGGTTTGAAAGTCATTGACAGCCATTGATCCAGAGCCCTAGACTGAGACCCAGGGACCTGTATGCAAGGCCTGTGCTGCTTCTAACTGACTGCAGCATCTCCTTGGCAGTTTGCTTGGTTTTGTTTTGGTCTCGGTGTTGTCATTTGTAATATGGAAAGAAGGGTTGGACCAGATGCTTTCTAAGGTGTTTCCAGCTCTAAAATTTTATGAATGTATGAATCCTTGAATGAAAGAAGTCCTAATTTTGTTATTTTTGGTAGCTTCTGCCCAAAGATCACTGCAGCTGGGCACGGGTGGCTCATGCCTGTAATCCCAGCACTTTGCGGGGCTGAGGCAGGTGGATCTCTTGAGGTCAGGAGTTTGAGAGCAGCTTGGCCAACATGGTGAAGCCCCTATCGCTACTAAAAATACAAAAAATTTGCTGGGCGTGGTGGTACACACCTGTAGTCCCAGCTACTCAGAAGGCTGAGGTGGTAGAATCACTTGAACCCAGGAGGCAGAGGTTGCAGTCAGCTTAGATCCTGCCACTGTACTCCAGTCTGGGTTGCAGAGCGACTCTACCAAAAAACAAACAAACAAACAAACAAAATCACTGACTTTAGGAAAGAAGGTGGGCATAGAAACACTAAGGGTACCTAATACAGGAAAGGAAAGAGTGCAGATGAACCATGGTTGGATTGTACCCTTTTTTGTAGGAAAGCTGGTATTATTTTGGAGAAAGGCAAAGAGATAAAACCCACAGCAAAAAAATTTCAGGGAGTAGAAACTCCTTCTCAGGTAAGTTTTCTTTTTAAAAATGGGAGTTTTTTTTAGGGGAGTGGGTTCAGATTGCCACCTGTTATTTGGTTTCATTTTAGACTCTTCTCCTTTGGTGATCAGGCAGCAGCAGTTGGGTGCCCTGCAACAGGCCTTGGTCCCTCCCTGAGTCTGAGGGTCACGCTTCAGGTGCTGCCCACATGCTGGGGACTCTGGCTTCTCTTCAGAGAATCCTGCTTTCTATTCTATACTGGTTATTGTTTACGGAGCTCAGGAGTTGATTATTTTCCCAAAGTAGGAAAGGTCCAGTACGCATGGCTCCAGGACTCTGAAGTGTGTCTAAAATCACCAGCCTTTGATTTCAATGTAAAAAAGATCCAAGTCTTTCACAAACCATTACTAGGGCAATTCAACCCTTGCAGAACATCACAAAGACTGTTTTTGGATGACTCCTGGTGTGTATGTGTGTGTGTGTGTGTCTTTTCTGTGTGTTGTGGGGGAGGTGTATTTTAAAAAAGAAAAGGGGAAATAAACTTTTCAAAACCCCTTCTGTATCCCAGACAGTATTGCACTTTTACATATCTCACTTAATATCCATAACACCTATATGAAATATACACTGTTACTCTGTTTTTCTTTTAGAAACATTTTGTTATGGAAAATTTTAATCATATACAAAAGTCCAGAGAATCATACACTATATCCTCATGTAGTCATCACATTGCTGCAGCAGTCATTTCAGGCAGCTCCAGCCACGTTTCATCCATTCTTCCCCACTCCACTCACACCCCCCAACCCCACTCTCCACTCTTGCTTTCCCTAAATCTGAGTTATTGTAAAGGAAATTTCAGTCATCAGATCATTTTATCCCACAGCATTTTAGTATGACATTTAAGTACTCTTAAAACAACAACAACAAACCTTAACACTTTTTATTGTATCTAAAAATATTATACCTTAAAAATCCTTCATATCAAATTTGTAGTCCATGTTTGTTTCCAAAATTGTCTTAAAATCTTTGAAAATTTAGTTTGTTTAATCAGAATTCAAACAAAGTCCACACATTTCATGTGGTTGCTGTGTCTCCTAAGTTTCTTTTAAGAATCTAAGTTCATAGATTTCTCACCATTTTTTATTACTTGAAATTTGTTTATTGCAGAAACCAGGATGTTTATCCTATAGCATTTACAACATTCTAGACTTTGGTGAACTATCCTAAGGGTCTCTATTCACTATCTCATTTAATATTCTCAGTAACTCTATGAGTAGGCACTACTATGATTCTCATCTTATAAATTAGAAAATTGAGGCTCAGAGAAAGTAACCTTTGAACAAAGGACTGAAATCTAGATGTCAGTCTCTGAAGCCCTTGCTGTGCACAGCTTCTCATTTATATTGCCTTTTCTATATTGCCCCTGAAACCGAAGTGAGAGCGGGTTGGGAATTCCTAAATGGATTTGGATGTGGCTGTAAATGAGTTTTTCTTTAAGTGATGGGAGCTGAGTAGAAGAACACTCTAACTACTGGCCCTAAACCTTTAGTTTGGGCCAGAAGAACTCAGCCTTATCCACTGTTACTTTTCTCCCACACCCAAGCCCCAAACAAAACAAAACAAAGACAGTCATAGACTCTAAGCTAAAAGTGATAGGTGAATTTACTGAAGTGCAGCCCTAATCATGCCATTTCCATGCTCAAAATCCATACTATGTCCCCACTGCCAATGGCAATAACATAAACGTTTCAACCTGGCACTCAAGAGCCACACTTTGACTTTTCCAGCCTTCTCTTCCACTATGTGCATCACACATCCCATACTCCAACACATTTAGACTGTGTGCTCTTTCCTAGCCTATGGACATTTGATACCCTCATGCCATTGCTCATGCCCCTTTTCCTAGAGTCCCTTTCCCTTCTCAGCCTGAAGTAGTCTCTTGCTTTTTCAATTCTTAGAGCCCTTTGTGTTTCTCTTAGGGACTATGTTACTTTGCATCATTCTCTAGTTATTTGAAGTGGTGACTTCTGTATCCCCTTTAAAGGCAAAGCCCATGGCTTACGCATCTTTCCACCCTTTTCTCATAATATTTTCTTTGTTTGTAGTGAGGGCCTCCTATGTGTTGGCTGTATTAATTTCTACTACAAGTCCATGTTCTTTTAAGTTGTAGGAGAAGGAAGCATGGGAGCACAAGAAGCTTGAGGGCCCTGGTGGTTTACATCCCTTAGGGAAAGGTGGAGAATCTAGCGGCAGAAACTAAGGGGATGCTCGATGGAGCTCTTTCAACAACTCTCCCTACACATCTCCCCATCCCCATTTCTTCTGCAGTCATGCATAGTTTCCCTAACTTTAGTCCAGAACTAGAACACCAAAGGCTGCAATTGAATCTCTTCTGATTCACTGAAAAAGCAACACAGGGACTCAGCTGCAAGTTTGAGAGCTGTGTTGGCAAGACCTCAGGACAGAGTGCCCTCTGTGTCTGGTGGTGATTCTCAGACACCATCACATTCTTATACTGCATTGTGGGCCATTCTACTGACTAAATCTGCTTCTGTGTTAAGGACTTTCATGAACCTGTCTCATGACTGGCCCTTTCTAAAGGGAAGTATGGGAGTTAGTTACTTTAATGCACATTTCCCAATGGGTAAGGAACAGTCTGTGAACTTGTGAGTTTTGTTTTGTTTTGTTTTGTTTTTAATTTTTGAGACAGAGTCTCGCTCTGTTGCCCAGACTAGAGCTCAGTGGTGCAATCTCAGCTCACCACAACGTCGACCTCTTGGGTTCAAGCAATCCTCCTGCCTCAGCCTCCCAAGTGGCTGGGATTATAGGTGCCCATCACCACTCATGGCCTATTTTTGTACTTTTAGTAGAGACAGGGTTTCACCCTGTTGGCGAGGCTGGTCTCAAACTCCTGATGCCATGTGATCTGCCCACTTCGGCCTCCCGAAGTGCTGGGATTACTGGCGGGAGCCACCATGATGGCCAACTTTTGAATTCTGAACCAGTTGATTGAGTACCAGAGCTCTTCAATTACCTTGAAGAAGGATTCGGGGGAGAGCTGTTGTGAACAGCTTGCCCCAGGGAAAGGACAAGGCTAAGAGAATTTCAGGGCTTCCTTGAGAAAACAGAATTGAGGAAATGCAAAGTGAAGAAATTCTAGCTGTCAGGAACAACAGAAGAATGACGGGAAACCTGCTATTGAGGTTTGGAGGTATTCCTCTGGAGTTTTCACTTATACCATTCTCTCATGCCCAGGAAGCTGCTCTTCATGAAACCACAAGGCTTCCTCTAACTCAGTCACAACTAAGCTTCTCTCTGGACACTGATGATGCTGTAACTGTTTTGTTGTGCTTCTGATTAGTTGCCCTCTAAACCATAAGCAGCCTATAAACAGGGCCTGGCTCCATCCTTGTTACTTCCCCATTGCACTGAATTCAGTATTTTTCCCTCAAGGTAGATAGTTGTGGGGCAGCATCCCTAAAAATGTCTAGTTATATAATGTCATCCAGTAAATGTTTTCTTAATTACTTACCTCCATTACCAAGCTTTATGCAAAAAAAAAATAAAAAAGGAATCCTGACTTTAGACTTATCATCTCCACTTAAAGGAAGATTTCTGTTGCTTTTCAGAATAGATATGTCGGATATTTTGCACAAGTGAAACATCTCTACAACTGGAATCTCTCTCCAAGACGGATACTCTTTATAAAAAGATTCATTATTTATTCGATTCGTGGTAAATGCTTTACGTATAATTGAAGAATTGGGCGGGAGGGCCAATGTTCCCACTCTAGGAAGGTTTTGCTCATAGTTGTATTTACAGATGATCCTAACTCATACCTGTCTTTTTACATATCCTCACACAGGAACTCCTCCTTATTTATGCCGCTCCTCCTGCAATTGCCCATTGATTGCCAGCCCTTAGATGTTCTTCACTTTTTCTTTTCCATCACCAATTTGGGGGACTTCATCCCCTTCCCATCTCTCCTGTTCTCATTGCTCCTCTGGTCTCAACCCAGGATGGACTTTTCCAGGCAGGGGGAGCCTCTGATGAGGGAGGAGGAGGACCCATGTGCCCTCAAGCCTGCTTATTTCTCAGAACCACCTCTAGTTCAGAGTTTACCTTGGTGGAGGTGTCTTCGTATCGTATCATTTTCTCACCTTCTTTTAGAGGCATATTTTTTTCTCATCACCCTGGGCTCTCCCTTTCCCCTCTCTCCTCCATCTGTAACCCTCTCACTCCCAGCTTACACTCAGGGGAGGCGGGAAAGCAGGTTGTGTCTGTGTGGAAGGGATGGGGCCTCACCACTCCCAATGCCGGAGAGGTAGCAGGGAGGTGATGCTTCGGAACCCCTAAAGCAAACCTATTCTATCAGCCAGCTTGTGGACCTGAGATGGTGTCAGTGCTGGATGCTATAGGTGCCATGGGGTCAGGATGCTGGTGTCCACACAGACAGCCTAGTATTTTTAGCGTTCTGAGTTTAGTTCTACATTTCACTGATTTCTGGTAGACATCAATAGAAAGAAGTTCTGCACCTGGAATGGGAAAGAGGGAACTGAGGCAAGAAACTGTGATTTCTAATGACAAATGAATATCATGGTGTTAGTGAAAACAAAATTACATGAAAGCAAACAGCATATGAGATGAACAAAGATAATTAATACACTAGTTTATTAAAATATTTGTTTTAATTCTCTACCTTTAGTTTTGTGAATATTTAAATTAAAATTAATATAGAGTTGAGAGGAAAGCAATAAAAAATTAATTGAGAAACCAAGTCTTTGAGGAAATGCTAAGGGAAGTGGTTCATTTGAATTGGAAAAAAAGGAACAAAAAAGCCTTTGTCTGTAAATATATACTGAACACCACTGGAATTTTTGGATATAACTATCCTATATTTTTATAGAGATTTCTTCAGGAACTGGCCTTAAAGTAGGGCCAAAGTAGTTAAATGACAGTATTTATTATTAAGAATCATTATGATTAGAAATCTCAAGAAAGCAACATATTAGCAAGAAAGGTTGCAAGTCACCTTTCCTGAATTTTCTTTTTCTTTTTCTTTTTCTTATTTTGGAAACAGAGTCTTGTTCTGTCACCCAGGCTGGAGTGCAGTGTTGTGATCTCGGCTCACTGCAGCCTCTGCCTCCCGGGTTCAAGCAATTCTCCTGTCTCAGCCTCCCAAGTAGCTGGGATTACAGGCATGTGCCACCACGCCTGGCTAATTTTTGTTTTTTTAGTAGAGATGGGGTTTCACCATCTTGGCCACGCTGGTTTAGATTTCCTGACCTCAAGTAATCCACCCACCTCACCCTCCCAAAGTGCTAGGATTACAGGTGTGAGCCACCATGCCTGGCCTAGCTTCCCTAAATATTTTTTCTGGAAAGATAAAGTGATGGGATTCTAAGTCTTCAAAGCTGAATTATATGTATTTTTTTTTCTTCTCTCACCTTATAAAATCTGCTTTAGGAGACAGAACTGGGCTTGAAGCCTTATCTTTCAAAGACAAAATCCATGCAGGACTAAATAAGTAACTATTGATACATTGTTAGCTTGGATAATTTTTTCTCTTTTTAATCCATGATGTTAATTTGTGAGACATATTGATGTTCACGCTAGCCAACCTAACTTTTTAATTTCATTTTGTTGGAACAGGTTATGTACATGATCTAAAAGTCCAAATAGTAATGGAGAAAAAGGTTGTCTTTTCCGGTACTTCATTAGGAAATTGTTCAGTAAGAGAAAACATGTGAATTGAAAAAATCTGATGTTTGTTTTAAGGCTGAATGTCAAACCAGCAATGTTCACCTCCCTAAACTATCACTCACTATAAAGAGATTTTGTAACACTTTCTGGTTACCATCCAACTTGGTGTCACTGGGTTTGGATGCAAACCAGAGGTAAATTAACCTGTTTGTTCAAAACAGTTTTTTCAGGGTGCTTTCCAGAATTTATTTCTGGTCAGTGTTGCTTTGCCTTTCACACTTCCACAAATGCTGAGCATGTTCCCAGGAATGTATTAAGGATTTTAATTTACATATCTGGTCATTTTTAGCCATATTCTCTTCTTCTCAGTCATTTGATCTTTTGTTATATAGCACTGATTCTAAAAGTTTAGTGTGCGTGAGAACTACTGAGGAGCTTGTAAAGATTTACATTCCTAGGTTGTACCCCCAAAATATGATTCGGGAAATCTGGAATGGGGCCCAGTAATCTATAGACTTAGTAATGTCCCAAGTGATTCTACGTCAGAGGTTCTGTGGGATGACCCTGTGAGAAACAATCCAAGAGTGAATGAACTGGGGAGGAACCTCTTTATCCAAAGCAAAAGGGACCTGGTAGTCAATGTTTTGCTGCAGTGAAGAAATGCCTAAAACTATATACCTTTTCTGAAACAGTAGGAAAGCATCCTTCATGTTCTAATAACCATAAACTTTTAGAATTCCTACCCAGGCCTTTGTCTCAAATTCTCCTATTACTAACCCTATTCCCTGCCATGCCGTCCCCACTCTGCCCTGGCTTTTTTGGCCTCTCCCAACTGAGAGCATTCACGCAGGCCTGACCCTTGGCTTTCTGTTCTTAGCAAATGCTTTATTCTTAAAGGATGACCCATTCCCCTTACTTCAACTATTATTTGTTCACTTACTCATAACAACTCATAACAGCTATTTATGAGCACCCACTGAGTTGTAGATGCAGGAGCTACAACATGAACAGTTTCCACTCCAACTCAAATGCATTAGCCAGTCTGAATTATCAAGGAGCTTTCTTTCTGCTTCTGCAAATGGCACCAGCATTCTTCCACTCATGCCTTGGGCTTTGATTCTCTTTGCCTCAGCCCCCTAAATCTAGTTAGTCATCAATCTATGTTGATTATGCCTTTCATAGTTTTCTATGTTCTCCTTCCTTTCTGTTCTCACTGCCACTAATTGTCCAGAATCTCCTTTTCTCATGCCTAGATTTCTGCAGTGGTCTCCTTACCTTTTCTTTCTCCTTCTATAATGCATTGTATAGAATCCTGAAATATGCATCCTGATATATTGCTCTCTTTGTGAAAAATTGTAGGTAGAGCAGAAGACACACTGTGTGCCTGTAATCAGAGCCAGTTAACACCTTTGGCTCAACATCCTTATCTGTAAAATAAATATCACATCTCAAGTGTAATGGGAATTAAATTAGATAATATATATAAAGGTTCTTTGTAAACTGTAAATCACTAAGTGTTATACGTGATAATTATCAGGCTTCTTTGTCACATAGGAAATGCTCCACCATATTTTTCAACAACTTCACTCTTATTTCCTTGGCTCTTGAGCTCTGAAGATATAGTAACCCTAACATAATACCTGAGCTTTTTTCCATCAGTAGCTTGGCCAGCAGACTTCATTCCAAATAAACTGGGTCATCCCTTTTGGCTCTTGGAACACAACTCTAGTTAGTTAGTTGGTTCTTTCTTTCTTTCATTCCTTTCTTCCTTTCCTTTTTTTTTTCTTGAGCCAGGGTCTCATTCTGTTACCCAGGCTGTAGTGCAGTGGCATGATCATGGCTACTGCAGCCTCAACCTCCTGAGCTCAAGCAATCCCCCAATTTCTTTTTATTTTTTGTAGAGGCTGGGACTTGCTATGTTGCCCAGGCTGGTCTCAGACTCCTCGGCACAAGCAGCCTGTCCACCTCAGCCTCGCAAGATGCTGGGATTATAAACATGAGTCACACTGCCCAACATTGTTTGTTGTTATTTTTCAAATTTTTTTCTTTTTCTTTTTTTTTTTTTTTTTTTTTTTTGAGAAGGAGTTTTGCTCTTGTTACCCAGGCTGGAGTGCACTGTCACAATCTCAGCTCACCACAATCTCTGCCTCCTGGGTTCAAGTGATTCTCCTGCCTCAGCCTCCCAAGTAGCTGGGATTACAGGCATGTGCTGCCACACCTGGCTAATTTTGTATTATCAGTAGAGACAGGGTTTCTCCGTGTTGGTCAGGCTGGTCTCAAACTCCCGACCTCAGGTGATCTGCCCACTTCAGCCTCCCAAAGTGCTAGGATTACAGGCTTGAGCCACCATGCCTGGCCCATTTTTCTAATTTCTACTTTGTGTTATTGCTGCTCTTTTTCCCTCCGTTTGGAGTAGAATCTGTTTTCAGAGCTGTTCTTCCTTTATCTAAACTGCTTCATGCCCAATTCAATTTCTACCTCCTTAATGAAATTTTTGCATTCTGCACCTTCTGTTAACTAGCCCCCAGTAGTGCATAACAGCACACCCAGTCTTTATCATACAGATTGAGTTATGTACCATTCTTCTATTGTTTCTTAAGTGTACAGCTCCTTGAAGGGGCCAACTGAGTCTGCACCTTCTTTTGTGTTTTTCACAGGGCCTAGCATAAACCTACCTTTCTTATTGTGGGTGCCATTATTTCTATGAGAATGATTCAAAGAACTAGTACAGCTTCAAAGTCATTCATTCCAAAACTTGAGCTATCTTTGGTCACTCCATCCAGCAGCCTGCACTGGTCAAGTTCAAAGATCCCACTGACAAACACAAGAATTCTGATAAAACATGATGAGCAGGGGGACCCCACTGTCCCCCTCCCTTGGGAGGAGCATGCAGGCCCAACCCCCAAGTGTTACAGACCCCCGTTGTTATTTTTTAAATTTAGAAAATAAAAAACCATGATAAGTTATGCATTGCTATTTGAATGTCAATGCTAGCGTTAAAATTGAGCTTCTTAATGTATTCTCAGAAAAGGCCCTAACACGTGAAAATCAAATGACACACATTAAATAATAATATTTAATTGATTACACTCTAATGGAAAATTCAATACTTTTTAGAAGTGCGGCACTTTTGAAAAGTGACTCATGGCTGGGCACGGTGGCCCATGCCTGTAATCCCAGCACTTTGGGAGGCCAGGGCAGGTGGATCACGAGGTCAAGAGATCGAGACCATCCTGGCCAACATGGTGAAACCCTGTCTCTACTAAAAATACAAAAATTAGCTGGGCATGGTGGCAAGTGCCTAGAGTCCCAACTACTTGGGAGGCTAGGCTGAAGAATCAGCTGAACCTGGGAGGCAGAAGTTGCAGTGAGCTGAGATCATGCCACTGTAGCCTGGCAATAGATTGAGACTCTGTCTCAAAAAAAAAAAAAAAAAAGAAAAGAAAAGAAAAGTGGTTCATGATAACCCTCAAACATGTTGGCCTTTAAAAGACATAAACAACAGGCCAGGTGCAGTGGCTCATGCCTGTAATCCAACACTTTGGGAGGCCCTGGTGGGCAGATCACTTGAAGCCAGGAGTTTGAGACCAGCCTGGCTAATATAGTGAAACCGCATCTCTACTAAAAATTCAAAAATTAGCTGGGTATGATGGCATGTTCCTATCGTCCCAGCTACTTGGGAGGCTGAGGCATAAGAATCACTTGACCCTGGGAGGCAGAGGTTGCAGTGAGCCGAGATCACGCCACTGCACTTCAGCCTGGGTGACAGTGAGACTGTCTCAGAAAACAAAAAACAAATGAAACCACACAGACACATAAACAACAGTATTGCAACTAGAAAAGTTTATTAATAATTATTTATGTATGTAGTGATGGGGCTGTGAGACTAAAAGTACTTGATAAGTACAGGAAGTCATGATAAGTGAAAAGGAACTTCATTGTTATCATTATCTAGGTTTATAGTTCTCAATTCCATGTGTTCATTCATAGATATTGCATGACATTACAAGGCAAAGTATTAATTGATGTATTCGACAGTCCACCTCTGTATGATGATGTAAAAGTGCATTTTTTCTCTTCGGTGAGTAATCACAAAATAGCCTCTGCCATTGTTCTTGTCTGGTCTAATGATTTTATTTAAGATTGCTTTACTACATTTCCCAACAAGGGAGGGGTAGGGGGAAGACAATAATAAATTAGATCTATAACAAACTTTTAAAAAAGAGCATATGTAACTTAAATAATTTTTGTTCATTTTTTCTAAATTGTAAATTTTCTAATTTTTTCTAAATTTACATGTATTCTCAAATACAAAAAAATACAAAATAAACACAAAGAAGTAAAAGTCAAGATGCTAAAAAAAAAAAAACCCAAAGGTATGTTTTACTGCATAGCAATGATTACATTTTGCTTTGCATCTTTTTTAAAAAATTAAGAAATTGAGACAGGGTCTCACTCTGTCACCCAGGCTGGAGTGCAGTGGCGTGATCATAGCTAACTGTAGCTTCAACCTCCTGGGCTCAAGCAATCCTCCCACCTCAGCCTCCTGAGTAGCTGGGAGCACTGACTGGAAAGAGAGTTAGGTTTGGGTGACTCAGTTGGATGAAACAGAGAAGGCAGCACAATACAACACATGAAATAACCAAAGCAGTTTTTTATTAATTCCAGAGAGAGGAGGGCAGCACAGTTTGCAGGGCCAACTAGAAGGGGGAGCCATCCAGGAGACCTGTGCTCGACTGATGGGTGGGAGCAATAGTGAGAGAGAGGGAGGGACCTGAGGGTGGAAGACTTTACTGGGATGTAAGGTGCTACCTGAGCAGACTTCCTGCGGGGAGGTCTAATTTGGTTTAATGCAGGCAGCTATGAGTCTCTGCTGTGGCTGAGAGGTGGTCACTGATATATCCACATGGTCCCTGCACAGTATGGGGGTCTGTGGGGTGAGTCAAGTAGGTTATATCTCGCTGTCCCATAGTGAAGTGGTCATCAGGAGAAGGCTGTGCAAGACAGATATCAGGATCAGTCACATGGAGTAACTGGGAGGAGGTGAACTGGAAACTGCTGAGGGTGACTGAACCCCACTTCTGATATCAGAAAATCCAATTTATAATTAAAAGGTATGCTGAGGCAACTAAAAAATTATAAGAATTCACTACAATGTAGTTGGGTATATATAGGCGTAGGTCCTTAGTAGAGTCTGTTTGGCACTATCTAAACCAGATTCAAATAGCAGCATTTAAATTAAATACCTATCATGGGAAAAATATTATTCCTTGAAAATTTTGATAGAAACAGCAAGAGAATGCAATAGCATTTTCTTAAAGCCTCCTCCTTTGTGTCTTGAGTGTATTGTTACAGATTGCAGAGTGCCACATATTTAATGGTTATAATTGTTTGATAAATATAAAAAGGAATAAAGAAAGAAACTTTAATTTCTTTGGAATGATTAGTTCTTGGTATCAGTTTTACTTTGAATTTTTTTTTTCTTTTTAGAATCTTCCTAAATACTATGACAATTGTTCATTTTTCTTCTGGTGCCACACATCTTTTATTCAGAATAACAGGTATGAATATAATAGAAATACATAGAAACAGCCTAATCTTCAATGTCTATGTATAAGGTGTAATGGCAAGTCTTTTGCTGGTTGTCATACACTTAATTTATAGAAAGCAAAAAATTCTTGAACCACCATTGTTCCTTGCCTTACTCCTCTTACTTTGGTTATTTTACAAATATATTTGTTCTTGAGACCCACTGTTGCAGTATCCTCAGGGTCCATGCCATAGGACTGTGTTATGAGTTCAAAAGTATTATCATCAGATCTTAAGTGTGGTAGTAAATTCCTCCCAGAGAAGATCAATATGAGCCTGCTCAGCACCTTCAATATGTCAGGTCCCTGTCAGTAGGTGCTGATTTACCAATGATGAACCACCATCAACTTTTGTGCTAAAGTAAGGCAGGACCTAGGGAGGCTTCAGCTAGCTGAAAAGCTGACTGACACCCTTATATCTAGGAGAAGTTACAAGACACAGTATTAAGGAAATACAGCTAAGAAATATCATTATGTAATAGTCTGTTTAAATAGCCATTCAAATATTTTTTTTTTTTTTTTTTTTGAGACGGAGTCTCGCTCTGTCGCCCAGGCTGGAGTGCAGTGGCGGGATCTCGGCTCACTGCAAGCTCCGCCTCCCGGGTTCACGCCATTCTCCTGCCTCAGCCTCCCAAGTAGCTGGGACTACAGGCGCCCGCCACTACGCCCGGCTAATTTTTTGTATTTTTAGTAGAGACGGGGTTTCACCGTTTTAGCCGGGATGGTCTCGATCTCCTGACCTCGTGATCCGCCCGCCTCGGCCTCCCAAAGTGCTGGGATTACAGGCGTGAGCCACCGCGCCCGGCCTCAAATATGTTTCTAATAACCGAACTGGGAAACCTTTCTGAAAAATTATTAATTGGATTTGGAGATTATTGTTCCAAAAAAACCTTCTGCCATATTTGGAAACCCATTTCTCAGCCTAGAAGTTCTCCACTGTAAGTACCATTTGTTTTGTGATGGTGAAAAAATTGAGACTTTTTTTGTATCAACCATACTCTTCAATACAAAAGGACAAAATATTTTTTAAATGATTTAGGTCAGAGTTGAAGAAGTGGCTGTGATTTTATGTGGCATGAATTGATAGTTATTATTACATCCAGTTCTAATCTTTCCTTCAAATGTGAACTGGATCGAATAATTCCTTAAGTCCAGCAAGGCAACAGGAAATTAAACCTCTGGTCTACAGACTTGCAATGCAAAATATTTAATGGATTTTGATAGAGTCAACTTTGGATTTGATGGAAATTTTTTACAAGTTTTTTTTTGGATGAATACAAACAATAAGCTTTTTCTTCTAACATGAGCAAAGTCCCTCAAAAAGTGAGACATCAGTGGAGCTTCATTTGATGCTGCTCCTCAAAAGTGGTTCTTGCTAAAGGATACCGTTTTTTTTCCTTTAAAACACTATGTTCATTTTGGAGAAGTGATAAGCTGGATCACTTTTATTCTTACTTTTATATAAATTTCTAAAGATTTCTGTAACATTTAAATTTACATACTACTTGGTAAAGCTGTTTTTGTTAGTTATGAGATTGTTGTTTAGCCAAAAATGCTAACTTCTATCATTGAGAACACTAGGCATAAATAGGTTAACCAATTTATGCCTACTGTTCCATTATTGGAACACTCAGCATGTGGGAGTTATATCCTACTGCTCAAGGTAACTTCCAATGTCTCATTGTAAAAATTCAAAAAATTTCAACCTCACACATAAATTAAAAGAGATATAGTATTTTATTACCGGGTTTTCATTCATGTCTATCCTGACTGATTTCTGTCACAGAGAGAAATTTAGATATTTTATTAAACTTGGATGTCATTAATTCCATATAAAGCAATGCTAAGAGAGTCAGAATGTGTTACTGATGTGTTGCTGAAGATTAAAGTATTTTTATGTCTCACTAAAAAGGTGGAAGGAGCCAACTGAGACACAAAAAAGGGGCTGAGGTTCTATTCATGGTGAAGTTCTTTTTTTGTTTCTTCTAGCTCTAACATGGGTACCCAACTGCGTGGCTTTTCGGTGAGCCCCAATATAAAATGTAATAATTGTTTTCTATTCTTAAGCTTTATCTACCAAGAAATGAATTGGATAATCCACATAAACAAAAAGCTTGGACAATTTATCCACCAGAATTTGCCGTGGAGATACTTTTTGGCAAGAAATGACTTCCAATGACATTGTAGCTGGATCCGATTAAGTATAGCTCCCCCTTCCCCTTCTGGGAAAGAATTATGTTCTTTCCAACCCTGCCACATATTCATATATCCTAAATCTTCCTTGATGAAGTATCTATATATCTTTTTATATGTTCTTCATAAATCTATTAAATATATATAGATAAAATGTCAGTGTTTTCCTTCTTTTTTGAAGGTACATACTTCACAGTTTCCATCTTGTATTTACATAAATTTGGAACACGTATGCAGGAACATCAGGCATCATTTTGAAGAACTTTGAAATAGAACTTCCGTAGCAAAAACTTGAGATATTTAAAAATTGTGATTTCCCAACACCCACTTACTTACATATTTTTGGTCAAGTATTTATTCCCTGCTTTTGTTCACATTTGTAATTTCAGATTTATTAAAAAGCTAATTTATATATTTTTCTTCCCCTTCATTTACAAACTGTCTGTTAACAGATTGGCAACCAAGACTAAGTTTTAATTCCAGAAGAGAGAAATGTTTCATGCAAGCAGTCCCCCAACTTCCAACACACACTCTCTTTCATTGCGAGCATTAAATAGGTAGCTTACTTGAAAAGCTTCCTTTAATTACACACAGACATGGGGGTTGGGGTAAGAAGATGGTGGTAAATATGAAGATAAGTAATCTTTGGTAACTTCTGCTTTTGTATAAAATTGTAAGTGAAGTCAAAAGAAATATTCTTAGCGTAATCTAGGTGTATTATTTTGAAATTCACTACTCCTGCTCACAACCAACTTCACCTAAGCTTGGGGGGACTCTGAAGGGAGGTTATCTTTGCGTTATAAACAATGGTTAGCCTTATGTCTACAGGAAATAATCATTATTTCCTCTTTGGTGCTGGGTGCTACTTTTTTTTAACAAATATTTTATTTGCATTTTTTATTTTTTGAGACAGCATCTCACTCTGGTTGTAGAGACTGGAGTGCAGTGGTGTGATCTTGGTTCACTGCAGCCCCAACCTCCCAGGCTCAGGTGATTCTCCCACCTCAGCCTCCTGAGTAGCTGGGACTATAGGCGCATGCCAGCACACCCGGCTAATTTTTTGTATTTTTAGTAGAGACGAGGTTTTGCCGTTGTTGCCCAGGCTGAGCTCAAATTCCTGAACTCAAGCAATCTGCCTGCCTCAGCCTCCCAAAGTGCTGGTATTAAGGCATGAGCCACCAGGCCCAATCCGTGGCTGTTACTTCATTCAAAATACCTTTATTGCCACTGTATCTTCCAGCCATGATTGTCCTTGAAAACCTTCTATCTTGGCTTTATTGAAATTATTCTTATTTGAATGATTTTCCTTTTATTGGCAAGGCCCTCAACAATCTAGACCAAGATGAGTTCATCAGGAAATGAAAGGTAACAACTAATAAGACAAGTGTCACTTCTAAAACACGATAAACTCATTCCTGAAAAACCTGGCACTCTACAGAAAGGACTGAAAAAGGAAGCAGTTCATGAAAATACAGGGTTTGAGAGTCCAGGGCAAACCTGTCTGGCATAGCAACTTTCTAACCAACACACTAACCGCTGGGACCACCCACATCAGCAGTTCAATGTCAGGAGTTTGCCATAGAGCTTTTTAATTTTTGAGTGGAAATAGAAAAATACTTGCTGTAAGGGCTGTGGGTACCAGAGTGGCACAGATGAGAGTAGAGCTCTGAGCCATGGTGGAAAATAGAAAAATACTTGCTATAAGGGCTGTGGGTACCAGAGTGGCACAGATGAGAGTAGAGCTCTGAGCCATGGTGGGCACGGAAGGCAGCAACCTTCCAGGAGCCAAGAGCCCCACTAGGCTGGTGAGCCGCCTCGCTGCAGGTGACTTTTTCTCCTCTAAATAAATAGTCCAAAAAAGGTTCCAACTGCCCGTGCAGCAGCCCAACTAAAGGCCTTTTTCCTTTACTCCCCCTGATCTGGCTCCTTCTTTGAGGAAAAGATCATAGAACATGCTTTCAAATTACTTTCATGTTAATATTATACCCTGCCATTCATATGACAGAAACGTGTAGGCACAACATAGGTTATGCTATTTCCTTTAAAATTCACACAACGATAATCTACAGAGGGCAGATTATGTCCTGGGTTTAGGTGAATAGGGAGGAAAATACTTAGCTGGCTCAGTGAAGATTAAGATCTGTCTTTTTCAGTACTGGAAACAGGAAGGAAGGAAACCCCCTTTTTTATTTTAAGAATTTCCCTTTTTGAAATGAGATTACCATTAAAGTTTCTTTTCCCCAGACCTCCAAGACCTATCAAAATTTCTGGAAATTATGAGTTGTCACACTATTCTACTTTTGCTTATTGAAAGAAAACTCATTTAAGGCCTCTTTGGGTATTGCTTTCTTAGAATGCAAAATGAATGATTCTTTGAACAACTCAAGAAACTTAGATCAGAATGGTACGTCTTAAAATTTTAGCTTTAATTTTAAATATGGGGGTATGTGTGCAAGTTTGTTACATCAGTATATTTCACCCCAGTAGAGAGCATAGTACCCAATAGGTAGTTTTTCAACCCGCACCCCTCTCTCTCCATCCCCCTCTAGTAGTCCACAGTGTCTATTGTTCCCAACCTTATGTCCAAGGGTACCTATTGTTTAGTTCTCATAGGTGAGAATATGTGGTATTTGGTTTTCTGGTCCTGCATTAATTTGCTTAGGATAATGGCCTTCGGCTCCATCTATGTTGCTGCAAAAGACCCGATTTCACTCATATTTATGGCTGTGTAGAATTCCATTGTGTATATGTACCACATTTTCTTTATCCAATCCACCACTGATGGACACCTAGGTTGATTCCATATCTTACTATTGTGAATAGCACAGCGATAAACATATCAGTTTGTGTGTCTTTTGGTAGAATGATCTTTTTCCCATTGGGTATATATCCAATAATGGGATTACTGAGTCGAATGGTAGCTCATTTTAAGTTCTTTGAGAAATCTCCAGACTGCTTTCCACAGTGGCTGAACTAATTTACACTCCCACCAACAATGTATAAACGTTCGTTTTTCTCTGCAGCCTTGCCAGCATCTGTTGTTTTTGACTTTTTATTAATCACCATTCTGACTAGTGTGAGGAGGTATCTCACTGTGGTTTTGATTTGCACTTCTCTGACAATTCGTGAAGTGAAGAATTTTTCCAGATGCTCATGGGTCACTTGTATGTCTTCTTTTCAGAAGTATGTGTCATGTTCTTTCTACATTTTTAATGGGGTTATTTGGTTTCTGCATGTGGATTTGTGTATTCCTTATAGATTCTGGATATTAGACCTTTGTTGGATGCATAGTTTGCAAATGTTTCCTCCTGTTCTGTGGGTTATCTGTTTGCTCTGTCGATCATTTCTTTTGCTGTGCCAAAGCGCTTTAGCTTTATTAGGTCCCACTTGTCAATCTTTGTTGTTATTGCAATTGCTTTTGGGGACTTAGTTAAAAATTATTTCCCAAGGCCAATGTCAAGAAGGGTATTTCTGAGGTTTTCTTCTAGGATTTTTATCACTTGAGGTCTTACATTTAAATCTTTAATCTATCCCCAGTTAATTTTTGTATATGATGAAAGGTATGGGTCGAGTATCATTATTCTGCATATTGCTAGCCACTTACCCCAACACCATTTATTGAATAGGGAGTCCTTCCCCCTTTGCTTGTTTTTGTCAGCCTTGCAATATCAGGTGGTTGTAAGTGTAAGGCTTTATTCTGGGTTTTCTAATCTCTTCCATTGGTCTATATGTCTGCTTTTGTACCAGTACCATGCCGTTTTGGATACTATAGCCTTATAGTTTGAAGCCTCTGACTTTGCCCTTTTGCTTCTATTTGTTTAGGCTATTGAGGCCCTCTTTTGCTTTCATATGACTTCTAGAATACTTTTTTCTAATTCTGTGAAGAATGACATTGGTAATTTGATAGAAATAGCACTGAATCTGTCAATTGCTTTGGGCAGTGTGGCCATTTGAATGATACTGATTCTTCCAATCCATGAGCATGGAATGTTTTTCCATTTAATTGTGTTATCTCTGATTTCTTTCCGCAGTGTTTTACAGTTCTTGTAGAGATCTTTCACATCCTTTGTTAGCTGTATTCCTAGTTATTTCATTTTCCTTGTTGCTACCGTAAATGGGATTCTGTTCTTGATTTAACTATCAGCCTGGACATTATTGGTGTATAGAAATGCTGTTGATTTTTATATGTTGATTTTTTATCCTGAAACTTTGCTAAAGTTGTTTATCAGTTCTAGTAGCCTTTTGGCAGAGTCTTTGCTTTTCTGGATATAGAATCATATCATCAGTGAAGAGAGATAGTTTGACCTCTTCTTTTGCTATTTGGATGCCTATTCTTTCTTTCTCCTGCCTGAATTCTCTAGGTAGGACTTCCAGTGCTATGTTGAATACGAGTGATGAGAGTTGGCATCATTGTCTTGCTCCATTTCTCATGGGGATTGGTTCCAACTTTTGCCCATTCAGTAGGTTGGTGGCTGTGAGTTTGTCATAGATGGCTCTTATTATTTTGAGGTATGTTCCCTTGATGCCGAGTCTGTTGAGGTTTTTAATGTGAAGCGATGTTGGATTTTATCAAAAGTTGTTTCTGTATCTATTGAGATGATGATGTGGTTTTTCTTTTAGTTCTGTTTATGTGGTGAATCACATTTAGTGATTTGCGTATGTTGAACCAGACTTGCATCCCTGTACTGAAGCCTTCTTGATTGTGGTGGATTAACTTACTGATGTGCTGCTGGATTCTGTTTCCTAGCATTTGGTTAAGAATTTTTGTGTCTATATTAATCAGAGTAATTGGCCTGAAGTTTTCTTTTTGTGTGTTTCTCTGCCAGATTTTGGTATTAGGCTGATGCTGGCTTCATAGACTGAGTTAGGGAGGAGCCCCTCATCCTGTTCTTTGGAATAGTTTCAATAGAACTAGTACCAGTTCTTTGTACATCTGGTAGAATTCAGCTGTTGCTTCATCTGGTCCAGGGCTTTTCCTTGCTGGTAGATTTTATATTAATGATTTGATTTTGGAATTCGGTATTTGTCTATTTAAGGTTTCAATCTCTTTCTAATTCAATCTTGGGGGATTGTATGTTTCCAGGAATTTATCCATTTCCTCTAGATTATCTAATTTGTGTGCATAGAGTTGTTTATAGTATTCTCTGAGGATCTTTTGTATTTCTGTTGGATTGTTTGTAGTGTCATCTTTGTCATTTATGATTGTGCTTATTTGGCTCTTCTCTTTTTTTCTTTGTTTAGCTATCAGGCTATCCATCTAGTTTATTTTTTGAAAAACTAATTATTGGTTTCATTGATCTTTTGTGTGGATCTTTGCATCTAGTCTAAAAAAAACAGCACTTCAAAAAGCACTTCATTCAGTGCTTCTCTAATTTTAGTTATTTCTCTTCTGCCAGCTTTGGAGTTAGTCTATTCTTTTTTTTCTAGTTCCCTTAAGTGCAAAGTAGGAAAGTTAATTTGAGATACTTCTAACTTCTTGATGAAGGCATTTAGTGCTGTAAACTTTCCTCTTAACACTGCCTTAGCTGCATCCCAGAGATTCAGGTGTGTTGTGTCCCTATTTTCATTAATTGCAAAGAATATTTTTATTTCTGCCTTAATTTAGATTTTCACCCAGGAGTTATTCAGGAGCAAATTATGTAATTACCATGTATTTATGTAGTTTTGAGAGATCTTCTTGATACTGATTTCTAATTTGTCTCACTGTGGTCAGAGTGTGTGCTTGGTATGATTTCAAACTTTATGAATTTATTGAGGCTTGCTTTCTGGCCAAGCATGTGGTTGATCTTAGAATATGTTCTGTGTGCACATGAGAATGTATCTTCTGTGTTTGTTTGGCAAAGCGTTCTGTAGATGTCTGTCAGGTCCAATTGGTCAACTGTCAAGTGCAAGTACAGAGTTTGTTAGTTTTCTGCCTCCATGATCTGTCTATTGCTGTCAGTAGGTTGTTGAAGTCTCCTGCTGTTATTGTGTGTCTAAATCTTTTTGTAGGCCAAGAAAAACTTGTTTTATGAATTTGGGTGCTCCAATGTTGTGTGTGTAGATATTTAGCCTACGTCTTCTGGTTGAATTGTGCCCTTTATCATAAGGAATGCTCTTCTTTGTCCTTAATTTTTATTGGTTAAAAATATGTCTTATTTGGCCAGGTGCAGTGGCTCATGCCTGTAATCCCAGCACTTTGGGAGGCCGAGGCGGGTGGATCACGAAGTCAGGAGTTCGAGGCCAGCCTGACCAACATGGTGAAATCCTGTCTGTACTAAAAATACAAAAAATAGCCAGGTGTGGTAGTGCACCCCTGTAATCCCACTTACTCAGGAGGCTGAGGCAGGAGAATTGCTTGAACCCAGGAAGCAGAGGTTGCAGTGAGCCGAGACTGCACCACTGTACTCCAGACTGACTAGAGAGTGAGATTCCATATTTTAAAAAAAATGTCAACCACTTAGAATAGTACACACATTAAGCAGATCCTACATCTAGAATGTGTTAAGCAACCATTTGTAAGCATCTTCATGAGAAACGATCACCTCTGGGTTTTTCTGGTAATATCTGAAATAAACATGGAACCAAACTGTATTTCCCTCAGCACATAACTGTCCAAATTGCATGTGCAAGTAGAGGTTTATGTAAAAGCCCTGACAGAACTGTACTCAGTCTTTTGAATTAGGTGCATAAGTCTACTGACCACTCTCTATTTTACCAAGGGAAAGAGCAGTGACTTCTCTATTTCAGTACAATTATGGGCAGAAATGACATGATGCAAAATAGAGGTTCTTCCATACAATTTGAGATGTAGGGTATAAGGGAAGACAAAAAAGCAAAATTCCCAAGAAATCAGAATAACTTCACACTGGTCTTGTACTACAAGAAACCATGAGATGAACTGTAGTCCTCAAACACCTGTGCTTGGCTCAGGCCCTCCAAGACACTTCAGTATGCTTCCAACTGGCTCATCATCAACTTCCTGGTATATTCGTAGGCCAAAAAGAGTGCTCCATTGTCAGGGAATGCTCGAATCATAGTAGGTTTCAGTCCAGAATATAAGGCCATTATTCCTAGAAGACAAAAGGGCAAGCGAAGACTGCAACAATCCCTCCTTTGGGGACACCCACACAGCTGCATAGCACAGGTATATTTACACATGTAAATCCAGACAAGAGTGCTAAAAACCAAGTCATGGAAGGACGCATTCCCAGCTTTCCCTAAATAGACCAACAGAAACAAGGACAAGTATCAGGTCTCGTGGTGAAAGTGATGGATGTTCAGGTAACACACCCCAATTCCATGCTTGGTTAACTCAGTATATGGATGGGGCAGCATTGAGGCCTGAGATGGCCAGATAGATGCAACCGTGGAGATAGAGGTGGCCACAGCTTTGCAGCTTCACCTGGGCAGTGGCAAGAGCACCAACCTTGAGGTTGGAGACTGGTTTATAATATTAGTACTGCACAGGGTGGTTATGAAGATTGAATTAGATAAGGGAGGCATAAGTACTTTGTAAAACTTCACATGTTACACAAATTTAAGGGAGGATTACTATGAGTAATAGACAAGTTATCTGTGCTCTATTTGGGACACAAAGTTTCTGTGTTACTGTTTTCTTTCCTTTTACAATCAAAACAGAGAAGTTCACATCTCAGATTTTAAGATGTGTACTAGATGCTGGAAAAACAGGTGTTTATTCACCTTCATTTTTCACAACATTTATAAAGGTTCTGATAAATCCTGCCTGTTTTCCAGATATGGAAAGAACTTGAATTCTGGATTTGTTACAATCCACTGGATATACCGCAAGCCAGAGGCAAATCCCGCCAACTCCCTCCACCACTTAACATCAAAGGGACAGGGCCTAGAGGAAAAAAAAAATAGTAAATGGTATTTTATCTCAAGAACACCTGATGTGACGTTTCCAGAGGCCAATGTAGTAATGGCTGCAGGTAGGTGAAAATAGAAATGCTAATGCTGTAGAAGAGTTATTTGTGGAAACTGTCAAAGCTCTTGTTCCCAGGCTCTAAAAACACAAGGTTTTGTTTGGTAGCCCAGGTCTACGCCTGGGTCTTGCCAAGTACAAGAAGCTCTAGTGAGGGTTGTATTTCGTTTGGTCACTGAGGTGTTGAGGGCTGGCCCACACAAACCAGCAGGCCTCCAGCTGGGTGGCAACCCCTTATGGTGGGGAGAAGTCAGGCCAAACACAATCTTCATCTTTTTTTCTTTTTTCAACTTTCTCATTCTTAAATATTTTAATAGCCCCGATTCTTCCTTTACCATGTTTTTATTAAACATAGCAGTTAAGTTGGAAGTTTGTCTAATCCCAGAATAGATTCAAAATGCTGAGGGAGATGGTAATAACAGGTAAATGCATTTGCATTCACGGCAGTGGGGTGTGATGGTGTTTGGTCCCTGCAGGTATGGTTTCTGTGGATTCTCTGCTCTTTGTGCTCTCCTCCCCACATTGGTGGCTCCATCTGGCACAGGGAAGCTTCTGGATGCCAGAAGGTAACATGTTGGCAGGCAGTTGATAGCACCCCACCCTCCAGGCTGGATAATTTCCTTAGGACAGGGGTTGAAGCAGTACATCCCAAATTTTCTTACTGGAATAAAGTTTGTTAATTTTTGTAGATCTATTTTAGGAGAGAAGAAATTCAGAAATGAGTTTCCCAATTGGGGAATCACCTATAAATAATCTTGAAATAAGCTTAAAACTTGGTAATCTCAGTAGCGTTTTGAGAGCAGTGAATACCATAGTTCTTTGTAGCTTATCATGTTTAGTTGGTTAGTATGACTGCATGTGATGTTTGCCTCACATAAGTGAATGAGTTTTTCTTCCCTGATTCCCTGTCTTCTCTCCCCATTTTGTCCTTTGCTAAGGAAACTGAGCTGAACTGAAGTCCAGGTCTTCTGTAATAGAGTGTCTCTCCTTCAACAGGGAACAACACTACAGTTGCCCGTGGTTTTGCTTCTGTTCAGTCTCCATGGTGTCATGCCACACTCTCCTGGTTTGTGCCCTGCTCGTTTCTTTACTGCCTTTCTGCCTGCCCTTTTTGTGCTGGTAGGTCATCCCATTCATGCTCAGCCTTCCTCACTGTCTACACGGTCTTCTGGGGCAATCGTATCCAGTCCCAAGCCTTTTAAAAAAACAAGCTATACCCATCCTGGTGGAATTCCTGCCTATAAAAGGGCACACCTTCAGACCTCCAGGCATCTCCAGCCAACACTGCTATGCACACGGAACCGAATTCAGTTGTGTGGGACCTGCAGCTGCGATTGGGTTTCAAACTCCTATTGCTGATGATCAAGTAAAAATATGAATGTGCTGGATTAAATGCTTTATTCAGCTTATCTGCATCTAGGTTATCTAAATTACACACCCACTTAAAACATTCTGTCACCTCTTCTCTTGGAATAATTAATTATTTTAATGTAATTCAGATCTCATTTTATCCTAGCCCAGCAGTACCTGGGAGAGAATGACTCAATCATAGTAAAATCATATTAAATTATATTCCACTGATTCAGAATTGGAGATAATCTGGCAATTAAAGTGAGAAGTGTGTCATTCCTCTCCTGGAAGAAATGAACAGTAATGATGGTATCACAGAGATCATACATATAAGGGCCCAATACATGTTCAAAACATGCCCACCAGCAACTGCCTTACATACCTTGCTCCCAAACATACTGTTACAATTTCTATCTTTCAAACTAACTGTAAATTACAAATGTGGTACCCAAATACCTGTATGCACATAAATAGGAAAAGGTAAACTCTTTTTTTTTTTTAGGTGGATTCTCACTCTGTCACCCAGGCTGGAGTGTAATGGCACAATCTTCACTCACTTCAACCTCTGCCTTCTGGGTTCGAGCAATTCTCCTGCCTCAGCCTCCCAAGTAACTGGGATTACAGGCGTGTACCACCACATCTGGCTAATTTTTGTATTTTTAGTGGAGACAGGATTTTCCCATATTGGCCAGGCTGGTCTTGAACTCCTGACCTCAAGTGATCCACCCGCCTCGGCCTCCCTAAGTGCTGAGATTACAGGCTTGAGCAACCTTGCCAAGCCAAAAGTAAACTTTTTAATTCCTTCACAATATGTTCTAGATCTTTGACAGACTGAAAGACATAAAATGTCAAAATGTGAGACTCTCTCATGTGGCTAAACACCCTCCTACTGAAGAGACAGAACTGAGCCCAAGAGCATTCACGTGCTGGTGAGAGGTGGTGGCCAGGGGCAGGCAGATGGTTGCACCACTCTCAGGGTCAGCATCCTCCCCAGTGTGGCACGGGGTAGGGGAGGGGGTAAGGGGCCTGGGCGGCTGTAGCCTAAAGGCACGCAGAGGGCAAGAGACTACTTGGTGGGCCCCTGCCAACCTTCAGTTCACTGAGCGTCTGGTGCCAGGACACTCCATGTGGACTCTGCCCTGGGAGAAGTGCCCTTGCCCAGTGCTCTTTATCAGTGTCTGTGACACGCTGTCTCCAGTCCTCCTCAATAGCATACCTTGGCCAACATTTGGCTCATGGAAAAACACTTTGCTCTTCACTGAACAGTTTCTTTTTCACAACTGAGCAAATGACTGATGAGGTGACCACACTCATGACCATACTCATCTGTTGTTGGTGGGTGGGGGGTGGACTGGATGAGGACAGCATTCGGCAACACTCCTTCTAGCCTCCCCACTGTAAAGTGCCGCAATTACTATGAGAGTCCTGTGGGAGGCCAGGGTAGTCCAGGGTTTCCCTTTGGGCCATCAGCATTCCAACCACTCCTCCTACTTCTGGCCCCTGGAGAACTAAATCACCACCATGCACTTCCCATTCCACCTGTGCCTCAGCCCGAGGGTCCTGCTCTTCCTGCATATTCAAGCTGATCTTTCTAGGGAGTAGCCTGCACTGTGCCAACACTACCCCCTTTTCACAGGCAGCACCTCCCTGTGCTGGGGAGCCTCAGTCTGCTCTTGGGCTCAGGCCCCTAGGCTCAGGTTAGCTGACATTCCCAGGAAATCCTACAACTTCTTTCCTTTCATGGCTCTAAGACACAGTCCATTATCAGTCTCATTGTAAAAGACGTTTCTAAAGAGTGTCCTCCTTTCTTTCCCAACACTAGCGGGGACAGTAAGTGATGTTTCCTGGGAGATGCTATGGTGTTATTTTTGCACTACAAGGGCTCTGAAGACTGCCAGGCTTGAAGTGAAGAACAATATCACCTGCCTATCCCAGCCAGGTGACAACAGACAAGGGGCTTCATCTCTGATCTGTTTTCCAGCTGTACTGGGCACATTCCTCCCCTCACCCTGACTCAGAAGGTGTTAGCAATAATGGACACTCCTCTACCTTCTGCCACCCTCTGAACAATACCACACTTCCATCAAATGGATTCATCCCACATGTAAAGCTCATCACTTCTAGAGGGAGAAAGGTAATGTTTTCATAACACTTTCATTTGATCTCATTTAGAAGGTACTTGAGGAATAGAGAAGACTGGGTTTTCTCTGGGATTATTCTTAGGCGTTTCTTAATGACTGGGACATGTTCTGAAGAATGTGTCGTTACACAATTTCATCATTGTGCTATCATAGAACATACACACCTGACCCTAGATGGCATAGCCTACTCCACACCCAGGCTGTACAGTATGGCCTGTTGCTCAAGGCTACACACGTGTACAGCATGTTACTGTACTGGATACTGTAGGCAACTGTAACACAGTGGTATTTGTGTATCTAAATGTATATAAACACAGAAAAGTTATAGTAAAAGATGGTATAATCTCATGGGACCACCATCAGATACACCATCCATCACCAACAGAAACATGCTTATGAGGCACAGGACTGTAACTGCAGCCCCTGCCATGAGGTCAATGGCAGCCTGGATAGGGGGATTGGACTTCATGTTTGCCCACTCTTCTGCTGGTCTTATGGAAGGCAGCTCTCTGGAGCTTATGACAGGCGCCACATATCCCTGGGGGGAGGCAAGATTTCACCATTAGTCCAAGTCTGCAGCCTCCCATTCTCTAGGCCTGCAGCCACATTACTGGACCTAAACTTCTGGGAGCCATGAACTGGGCTCTACATTGTTCCAAAGGAAAGGGGCTCAAGGTATCAGTGCAGCTTAGCAATTGTCCCTTAGAAAGCTCACAGATCAAAAACCTCCCTGTGTATCAATTCTACAGCCACCAGCAGCATTTCAACTGACCTTTCTGAAAACTGAAAAAATGAACACCAAATAAGTAAGCCAACCATTGATGTACTAACCAACAGCAGGATGTTTTTTAAAGGCCTGCACTGAGCCATCAACTGAACAGGCTCAGTTCTAAATCAGACAGCAGCCTGTGCTGGGTGCCTAAGGGGATGTCACAAGACAGTAGGTCTGGAAAGAAGCAGCCAGGCAGCCAAGAATGGGAGCTGCACCCCAGGATCACAAACACCTTGGTGAATGCCTGCTCTACCTGCAGTGTGGTCACTTTGGCCTCTACAGGTGGAAGTCTTCATCTGTACAAGGTGAATAATAAAAATATTATAAAACAAAGGCAGTCACAAATAGCCACATTGGTGTTGAGGTGATCAAACTGAACACCAGACCATGGGGGCTACAAAGTCTGGTGGAGTCAAAGGAATGAGACAAGACAAGCTAATAGTACATAAAGTAGGTCCAGGGGGCCAACACTAGTATAGAGGCTGTGAAGGCCGTGAACTCTGGGAGCCACACCATTTATTGGTGATTAAACAAAGAAGCAGATGATGAGGACATGCTGGTCGAAAGGAAGCAGTCACATCAAGTGTTTAGTTTATAGCTGTGTCAGTCTAGCATTTTCTTTGAAGCATAAGGAACATGTTCTGCCACTCGAGATAATGTTGAACATTTCCTTCTACCTCAAGATACAATTAATTTGTGATCCTGGGAGAGCAAGAAGCAAGGAGCCAGCAAGTCTGGACACATTCCAGAGGCCACGAGGGGTTTTATGTCCTGATTCCTGGATTCCATCCAAGCCACGAGGGGTTTTATGCCCTGGGCTTAGGTTGTAGTGTGGTGGGGCAGCCTTCCACCCTTAAGCACAGAACCTGGTGTTCCACAGGCCACAAGAAGTTTTAAACTCTGTAGTGAGGATATGTTCCAAGGCTCTTTTCATATTATGTCAGACTAGCAAGTCTTGCCTCAGCTTTTCTCCCAACAATTGGACTGATGAGTTGCTCTACTGGGCACAAGCATCATGGGTTCTTAAAACAAGGCCCTGGACAAGCACCAAATATGTTCCTATCACCACATTCCACTAGCCCTTCAACTATAAACATGCACAGGAGTCACCTGGGGGCCTTGCTAAATAAAATGCAGCTTCTGATTCAATAGTCTCAAACAGGATCAGAGATTCTGCCTCTCTTGTTGAGTTCCCAAGTAAGGCAGACCATGCCAGTCCACAGACTCACACTTTGAGATACAGCACCTGGGCCATTGTGTTCTAATGTGCTTGATAACCTGGAGCACCTATTAAATATCCAAGTTGCCAGGACTTTCTTCTGGAAATCTTAATTCAGTATGTTTTGTTTGGAGCCTTGGACATTTGGGAAAATTAGAATTTCTTTCTCTCCCTTTAGACAAAAGTCAACTACTGCTGAGGCATGTGCTTAATGTTGACTAAAACATCCAACTCAACAACCAATCCTGTATAATTTTCAAACTCTGTCAATAACTTGCTGGGTCTAACCTGCATAACCTGGCTGCATGACGGGTGAAGAAATGCACTCAGACACAGGTATCCCATGAAAGAGTGGGGTAGGGGACTGGGCAGCTCCCAGACACTGAGGAGGGTGCTGTAAAGAGTCAGCAGTCACAGCCCTGTCAGGCTGGGGCTCCAGGCATTTATTCAGCACAGTTTTAATGACAAAGGTCTCAAGTAAACACCACACCTCTAGAGGGAAATTAACATTGCTGACCTCCTGAGTAGAGAGCAGTCATGCACCTGCAAATGATCAAAGGTCTGTTTTAGGACCACATGAGAAAACAAGCTATTTAGATAAACTCCTCTACATTCCTATGTATCTACGCCCTAAGCTTTTAAGAGAATTCAGCTGCCTTCACCCAAATCTTTTACTGAAGCTATGTAAACCTGCCAGCCTTCCAAGAAGTTTTGTGTCTATTTCCTACAACTTAATTTTTATAATTTCTCCCACCATCCTGACAGATCCCCTACAAAAGGCCATATTTCTTCTGAGCTTGCTCAGTCCAGCTGAGCCAGCTTTCCACTTGACTCCTGAATGTGCGAAGGACGCAGGTTCCCAGGACCATCCAGAAGCATCTCTCATCACCTTAAAGCTCTGAAACACTGGCTGGGTGCAGAGGATCACGCAAGTAATTCCAACACATTCAGAGGCTGAGGTGGGAGGATTGCTTGAGGCCAAGAATTCAAGACCAGCCTAGGCAGCATAGCAAGACCCCATCTCTACAAAAAGTACACCCCAAAATTAGCTGGATGTGGTGGCACTTGCCTATAGTCTCAATTAATTAGGAGGCTGAGGCAGGATTATTATTTGAGCCCAGGAGTTTGAGGCTGCAGTGGGGTATGATCGCACCACCACACTCCAGCCTGGGAGACAGATTGAGACCATCTCTAAAACAACAACAACAGGCCAGGTGCAGTGGCTTATGCCTGTAATCCCAGCAATTTGGGAGGCCGAGGCGGGTGGATCACCTGAGATCAGGAGTTCGAGACCAGCCTGGGCAACCTGGTGAAATCCTGTCTCTACTAAACATACAAAAAATTAGCAGGGCATGGTGGCACACACCTGTAATCCCAGCTACTCTGGAGGCTGAGGCAGGAGCATTGCTTGTACCCAGGAGGCAGAAATTGCAGTGAGCTGAGATCACGCCATTGCACTCCAGTCTGAGCAACAAGAGCAAAACTTTGTCTCAAAAAATATATATAAAAAATAAAATAACAAAAAATGAGACAGAAAACTGAAATATTTTAAGTTTCACTATTGCTTGTTAGTTGATTAAAGTAGTTCTGCTTCCACTTTATTTTTAAAGACACTAATTGCTACACTGAATAAAACCTTAATGGAGTTTCATTATAAGTATCTATTATCATTTGATAATTTTCTACATAGAAGCATGCAAAAAGTTTAAAATTCAGTTTCATTTGACTTAGCCTTGACTGTAATGAAGGACTCTATGAAGAGGGGACACAGTGTTTATGGGCTGGAGTCCCTGTAACTGCTTGGTGGCCGAGTCCCAGTCATTCCCCAGTTCAAGCCATGGGCAGATAGATGGGTACTGTCCTTCAGTTCTTCTTACCCATTCACTTGCTTTCTTTATTGCTTCAAAAGCCCAGGGAATATTCTTAGATTAAAAAAAATAAATGTTTCAGATTTCAGAACATAACATGTGAAATGTAATGTGGTACTAAACCCATCACATTATATCAGACAAAATGATTCTGCCAAAAATTAAGATATTTAATAAAAGCAGTTTTCCTTGACATCTTACAGAAGTTCTTCTACTTGTCTGATGTTGAGCTTATGCACTGCATTGTCAAATGTCCTGTGCCCTCCATTCGTGGTTTCCACATGCCTCCAGGCATCCCTGCTGCCTACAGGACAGCTAAGGTTCCAGCCTCTCTATAGTTGTTTATGGTTGTCCCCTTGCCACTCTTCTCAGTTTAAATCCTATCCATTCTTCACGCACAAACTCAAGTAGTATTTCACAAACGAGACTTCTGTTTCTCTCTCCTTCCTACTGTACTGACTTGATTAGGTACCTTCAGAATATCTGACAGTCCCCCATGAAACTGGCATATGTTCAGCTGTGTCTCATAAGCCAGGAAAAACTTGGTAGACTAAGCATATCGAGTCAAGTCTGTGTCCACTAAATGTTGTCAAATATTTGAGACTGTTGAATATTCAAGTCTATTCAACACTCAGAAAAATTCTGGGGTTGTTCATTAATATTAATTAGCTACTTCCTCATTTGTTCTGTCATCTGCTAGAACTTGTCAGTGAACAAGTGGCAACATACACCAGAGTTCTTCAGAAAATTCTATGGGGAAACTTAATATTTTGAAAATTCTCTCCCTGTTCCTGATTTTTCCCTGTGAACTGGGAAAGGGCTATCAGTATAGCATGATGGTGAAGAGCTGGGTTTGATCCTGACTCTGCAATCACATGATATTGGCCATGTGATACTGTGTGGCTTTCATTCAACACTGGGAATCTCAGTTTCCTCAATTATGAGAATAACATGAGGTCTTATGGGTTTGTGGTGGAAATCAACAAAGCTTATAAATTTAATGTGCTTACTAATCCGTGGTACACAGTAGGCACTCAATAAATGTTTGGTGAATGTCATGATAGAATGAACATACTAAATAAGAAGCATGTCCAAAGTGTTTAAAAGACCGACATTTCCTGGTAAATGTTCGTCTACTGACTGTTACTGACTGCTGAAAACAACAAAACTGGCTTTGAATATTTTCACTAATTCAGCTGGCCTCCTTTAGTCCAGTGGCCTCTACACTTTTTGGTTCACATTCCACTAGTAAGAAAATCTTGTGCCTACACCTCCAGGTAATGTACTCCTGCATCAATATTACGTACATCCCAAAATAGAAAATACAGAAAAAAGTTTCAAACATGCAATAAACAGGAAATAAAAAATATTTAATTTTTTTTTTTTTTGACACGGAATCTCACTTTGTTTCCAGGCTGGAGTGCTGTAGCACAATCTCAGCTCACTGCAACCTTGTGATCCCCCCGCCTCAGCCTTCAAAAGTGCTGGGATTATAGGCGTGAGCCACCACGCCTGGCCTAACATCGTATTGTCTTACGTACTCAAGTGCCAGCAAACCATTTTGCTAGCACCATAGTAATAATGTAGTAAGAGCTATATGCTTGAATATACTTGATCAATTTTGAAAATCTTGCTTTAATGCTTTGTGGTATTACAGTTCAAAAACAGGTTCAAAGATTATACTTGTTCTAACAGCTATAATATTACTAATCAGGAATAATATAAATAGAATAAATACCTCTTTGGATGTGCCTATTAAGTCAAATACTAATTTTTTAGTCCCATCTCCTAGCTGTTCAAAGTGTTTTTTCTTTGATATTTATTTAATTAATTCTCTTGGCAAGTGGCACTGGTTTATTTTCACTTGAGGCCAGGAGTTTGAGATCAGCCTGGCCACCATGGCGAAACATCGTCTCTACTAAAAATACAAAAATTAGCTGGGCACAGTGGTGTGCACCTGTAATCCCAGCTACTCGGAAGGCTGAGGCACGAGAATTGCTGGTCTTAAACTCCTGGACTTGGTCTTGCTGGGCTGAAGTGATCAACCTGGGAGGCAGAGGTTGCAGTGAGCTGAGATCATGCCACTGCGCTCCAGCCTGGGCAACAGAAGGAGACCCTGCCTCAATAAATAAATAAATAAATAAATCCAAAAAGAAAACTCCCTAAATAGAAAAAAGAATAAATTCTCATCTTTCTTGGCAAACTAATGAGAAGGTATTGCTTTTTAAAAAACAGAAGTATAAATTACATATAGTAAATTATGATTCTCCTTTTTTTTTTTTCAGACAGCATCTTTCTTTGTTGCCCCAGCTGGAATGCAGTGGCACAATCACAACTCACTGCAGCTTCGGCCTCCTGGGCTCAAGCAATACCCCCCCCGCCCAACTCAGCTTCCTGAGTAGTCACACACTACCACACTCGGGTAATTTTTACATTTTTTTGTAGACACAGGGTCTTGCTATGTGGTCAAGGCTGGTCTTTGAACTCCTGGAAGCAAGCAAGCCTCCTGCCTTGGCCTCCCAAAGTGCTGGGATTCCAGGTGTGAGCCACTGTGCCCAGCAATGCCTGGGTAATTAAAAAAGTTTTTTTGTAGAGACGGGGGTCTCATTGGTTACTTAGGCTGACCTTAAACTCCTGGGCTTGATCTTGCTGGGCTCAAGTGCTCCTCCTGTCTCAGCCTCCCAAAGTGCGTGGATTACAGGCATGAGCCAATGTGCCTAGCCCAGGACTTCCTGAACACCTGTTTTGTGTTCAAGAACTTTTTCTTAGTCATTACACTTAAAAAATATTTATCAGGCCGGGCACAGTGGCTCACGCCTGTAATCCCAGCACTTTGGGAGGCCGAGGTGAGTGGATCACGAGGTCGGGCAATCGAGACCATCCTAGCTAACACGGTGAAACCTCGTCTCTACTAAAAATACAAACAAATTAGTCAGGCATGGTGGCGGATGCCTGTAGTCCCAGCTACTTGGGAGGCTGAGGAAGGAGAATGGTGTGAACCCAGGAGGCAGAGCTTGCAGTGAGCCAAAATTGCACCACTGCACTCCAGCCTGGGTGACAGAGCAAGACTCTGTCTCAAAAAAAAAAAATTGTTATCAATATTTCTTTAAATATCAAAAAATATCCAGGTAGTGTTTAATTTTCCCTGTCTCGTTTTTTTAAATGCAGTGGGTTTTGTTCAAACCAGGATCTAAACAAGGTCTACCCTTGCTTTTGGTTGACATGTCTCTAAAGGATTATTTATAGGTTCTGCTCCTCAACCTTTTTTTTATCTTGCCATTTATTTCCCCACATTCCAGACTTTGCTGACTGCATTTGCATGGAGTCACATAACATGTTCCTCTATTCTCTGATCTAATTCAAGTTTAGAAATCAAGGGGTTTCATTTAACTTATTTGATTTTATACATATTAGTTTCTATCAATATTAGTATCTACCTTCCAAAATAACAAATCAAAAGTGTTATTAACACCATGGCTACTCCCAGTGAGATTTCTTTGTAATATTTTTTAATCCTTAGGCACTATCCCACTAGGGGATTTGACATAATTTGATACAGTCAAATTATTAACTATGTTTTAAAGTCATCTTAAATTAATTTCCAGGCTGGGCATGGTGGCTCAGGTCTGTAATCCTAGCAGTTCAGGAGGCTGAGGCAGGAGGATTGCTTGAGTTCAGGAGTTCGAGACCAGCCTGGGTAACATGGTGAAGCCCTGTCTTTCCAAAAAATATAAAAATCAGCAGGGCATGGTGGTGCATGCCTGTATTCTGAGTTACTTAGGAGGCTGAGATGGGAGTATGGCTTGAGCCCAGGAGGTGGAGGTTGCAGTGAGCTGAGATTGCACCACTGCACTCCAGCCTGGGTGATAGAGCCAGACTTTGTCTCAACAAACAAATAAATAAATATCAATCTTATCCATTATTACATAAAATATTTACATAGTCCCAAAGTCAAAACTGCAAAACGAAGCACACTAGGAGAAACCTAGCTTCCATCCTTGTCCTCTCTACCAAACCTCCCTTGCAACGGTATTTTTATTAGTTTGATTAGTTTTCCCCTTATCTTGCCTTTAAAAGAACATAAGCCAATTACATTGTATGTATATGTGTATATGTGTATGTATGTGTATATGTGTATGTATATATTTATATATATGTGTATGTATGTATGTACATATGTGTATGTATGTGCATATTTGTATGTATATGTATACATGTGTATATGTGTATGTATGTACATATGTGTATGTATGTGCATATTTGTATGTATATGTATACATGTGTATATGTATGTATGTGCATATGTGTATGTGTATGTGTATGTATGTATATGTGTATGTATGTGCATATTTGTATGTATATGTGTATATTTGTATGTATATAATTATATATACATGTGTATATGTGTATGTATGTGCATATGTGTATGTATATGTGTATATGTGTGTGTGCATATGTGTATGTATATACGTATATATACAGGTGTATGTGTGTATGTATGTGCATATGTGTATGTATATATTTATATATATACATGTGTATGTGTGTATGTATGTGCATATGTGTATGTATATGTGTATGTATGTGCATATTTGTATGTATATAATTATACATGTGTATATGTGTATGTATGTGCATATGTGTATGTATATGTGTGTATGTGTAGGTATGTGCATATATGTATGTATATGTGTATGCATGTGCATATTTGTATGTGTATTGTATATTTGTATGTGTATAATTATATATACATGTGTATAGGTGTATGTATGTGCATATGTGTATGTATATGTGTATATGTGTATGTGTGTGCATATGCATATGTATATACTTATATATACAGTGTATGTGTGTATGTATGTGCATATGTGTATGTATATATTTATATATACATGTGTAAGTGTGTATGTGCATATGTGTATGTATATACTTATATATATACATGTGTTTATGTGTATGCATGTGCATATGTGTATGTATATGTGTATATGTGTATGTATGTGCATATGTGTATGTGTATACATATATATGTATGTCAGAGGGATCATACTCTGGTCATGCCCCTCTTGCCATGGGGTAGAGGGTCTGTATGGACCAGAGAATGTGCCCACCCTGGAGCCCACATCCTCCTTTTTAGACCTGCAACTCCAGCGTTCCTGACCACATGGCCCTGAGTCCACTTCCAGGGTCTTCCCTGGTCTGTCATCCTGAGTTTGAACAGTGCTGCCATCTCACTGGTGCTGCAAGGTGGCTGGGGTGAGGGGGCAATCGCATGGGGTCTGGACGGCATTTTGATGGGTGGGGTGGGGTATTCATGTGTGCTGGCAAGGCCTCTTAGGGTGCTAAGGGTCAGCCAAGGGCTGAATTTGAACCTGGTCTTCCAGGTGGTTATAAAGTTGTATTTGCCAAGGGAGGAGATTAGGACACACTTCTTAATCTAATAGTTTGCTAGATTGATTTATAACTTTTTAAATACTTGTATTTTACAAACTATAAAGTTATAAACTTTAAATACTTGTATTGTATTCTTGTCCCAGGCCCTGCCATTGTTGGGAAAAGGGCGGGGCACAACAGTCACATTATGGGTTTTCTGGAGGCACCCAGGATCAGCACACTGCAGTGAAGAGTACCATATCCAGAGCCAGAAGGGCCGGGGTCCAGGGGAGCTACACTGAAACTCTTTGAGCCCATTTCCTTTGCAGCCTAAGGCACAAATACCACATCAGCCCTGCCCACCACAGGAGACTTGGGCAAGCTGTCACCTGAAAAAAATTACCTTCCTACATACTTATAAAGTAGTCTACACATGTAAGATAATTCCCTATAGCTTGTTTGTAAGGTTTATTAAATAAATAGTTGAAAATATAAATAAGTTGCATAATACTATAGTTAAAGCCACCTGGAAATAGAAGCATATTCCAGTTCCATCAGTGATTTGAACACTATTCCCTTTTTTTCCAACCTGGTGCAAATAAACTGTAATATTGCTTTGTGGCAATTAGGTCCAGGAGATGTTCTCTTCTTTTTATACCTAAAGGGGAAAAAACTGCGTTAAGTCTGTTGGAAACTCTGCATCTCAAACTGCCTTCTTATAAAATTCCCATTAAAGAATTATAATACAGCTAAATCACAGGACATGAGCAGATGGTGAAACTCTCTAATACTCTTCAAGGCCCTTAATTAGCTTGCTATTTAAATAAATGAGGATGGTTGGAACCGTGTCCCTATCATAGTATCCTGATGATTGTCAGGAAACTGACCTGTATCCAGAGGGCCCCTCGCTTGCCATCTTCAATAACCAGAGAGGTATGAAGTTCAATGAAAGAAATCCAGTTTTTAGGCTCTTGTTACAAATAGCTTAGAAAGGTAAACCTAAATATTCAACAGACAAACAAGAGTTATGACCAGTTACACTGGTGTATCAAGTTATTTCTAGTGGTTAGTACCTACAGGTATCCTAATCAAGATCTTTTACTATATTATGAAATATCAAAATTGAAAAATGAATGTTTACATATGTTGAACTCAGAATTAACAACCATTTTTATTTTAAAAAGGCAAGCTTCATTTTTTTTTTTTTTTTTTTTTTTTTTTGAGAGAGAGGGGCTCACTCTGTCACGTTGGAGTGCAGTGGGTGTGATCAGAGCTTACTGTAGCCTCCAACTCCTGGACTCAAGTGATCCTCCTACTTTGGCCTCACAAAGTGCTGAGATTATAGGCATGAGCCACAGCATACAGACAAAAAGTGGTTTTAGGGAAGGAAAAAAAACCTTTGTCTTATAATTAAGAATATACGGGGGGAGGAGGCAAGATGGCCAAATAGGAAAAGCTCCAGTCTACAGCTCCCAGCGTAAGCAATACAGAAGATGGGTGATTTCTGCATTTCCATCTGAGGTACCAGGTTCATCTCCCTAGGGAGTGCCAGACAGTGGGTGCAGGACAGTGGGTGCATGAGCCAAAGCAGGGTGAGGCATTGCCTCACTCTGGAATTGCAAGGGGTCAGGGAAAGGGCTGGTCAAGTACTGGTGAAGGAAAGGGCTGACAGAAGGCACCTGGAAAATCGGGTCACTCCCACGCAAATACTTTGCTTTTCCGATGGGCTTAGGAAACGGAGCACCAGGAGGTTATATCCGGCACCTGGCTTGGAGGGTCCTATGCCCACGGAGTCTCACTGATTGCTAGCATAGCAGTCTGAGATCAAACTGTATGGTGGCTGCAAGGCCGGGGGAGGGGCCAGGCTCACTTAGGTAAACAAAGCAGCCGGGAAGCTCGAACTGGGTGGAGCCCACCACAGCTCAAGGAGGCCTGCCTGCCTGCCTCTGTAGGCTTCACCTCTGGGGGCAGGGCACAGACAAACAAAAGACAGCAGTAACCTCTGCAGACATAAATGTCTCTTTCTGACAGCTTTGAAGAGAGCGGTGGTTCTCCCAGCACGCAGCTGGAGATCTGAGAATGGGCAGACTGCCTACTCATGTGGGTCACTGACCCCTGACCCCCGAGTAGTCTAACTGGGAAGCACCCCCCAGTAGGAGCAGAATGACACCTCAAATGGCTGTGTACTCCTCTGAGACAAAATTTCCAGAGGAATGATCAGACAGCAGCATTTGCAGTTCATGAAAATCCGTGGTTCTGCAGACACCGCTGCTGATACCAGGAATACAGGGTCTGGAGTGGACTTCTAGCAAACTCCAACAGACCTGCAGCTGAGGGTTCTGTCTGTCAGAAGGAAAACTAACAAACAGAATGGACATCCACAACAAAATCCCATCTGTACGTCACCATCATGAAAGACCAAAAGTAGTTAAAACCACAAAGATGGGGAAAAAACAGAGCAGAAAAACTGGAAACTCTAAAAAGTAGAGGGCCTCTCCTCCTCCAAAGGAACACAGTTCCTCACCAGCAATGGAACAAAGCTGCACGGAGAATGACTTTGAGGAGATGAGAAAAGAAGTCTTCAGACGGTCAAACTACTTCTAGTTACAGGAGGAAATTCAAACCAAAGGTGAAGAAGATGAAAACTTTGAAAAAATTTTAGACGAATGTGTAACTAGAATAACCAATACAGAGAAGTGCTTAAAGGAGCTGATGGAGCTAAAAGCCAAGGCTCAAGAACTACGTGAAGAATGCAGAAGCCTCAGGAGCCAATGCGATCAACTGGAAGAAAGGGTATCAGTAATGGAAGATGAAATGAATGAAATGAAGCGAGAAGGGAAGTTTAGAGAAAAAAGAATAAAAAGAAACGAACAAAGCCTCCAAGTAATATGGGACTATGTGAAAAACCAAATCTGCGTCTGATTGGTGTAACTGAAAGTGATGGGGAGAATGGAACCAAGTTGGAAAACACTCTGCAGGATATTTTCCAGGAGAACTTCCCCAATCTAGCAAGGCAGGCCAACATTCAGATTCATGAAATACAGAGAACACCACAAAGATACTCCTCGAGAAGAGCAACTCCAAGACACATAATTGTCAGATTCACCAAAGTTGAAATGAAGGAAAAAATGTTAAGGGCAGCCAGAGAGAAAGGTCGGGTTACCCACAAAGGGAAGCCCATCAGACTAACAGCAGATCTCTTGGAAGAAACTCTACAAGCCAGAAGAGAGTGGGGACCAATATTCAACATTCTTAAAGAAAAGAATTTTCAACTCAGAATTTCATATCCAGCCAAACTAAGCTTCATAGGTGAAGGAAAAATAAAATACTTTACAGACAAGCAAATGCTGAGAGATTTTGTCACCACCAGGCCTGCCCTAAAAGAGCTCCTGAAGGAAGCACTAAACATGGAAAGGAACAACCAGTACCAGCCACTGCAAAATCATGCCAAAATGTAAAGACCGTCGAGATTAGGAAGAAACTGCATCAACTAACGAGCAAAATAACCAGCTAACATCATAATGACAGGATCAAATTCACACATAACAATATTAACTTTAAATGTAAATGGACTAAATGCTCCAATTAAAAGACACAGACCGGCAAATTGGATAAGGAGTCAAGACCCATCAGTGTGCTGTATTCAGGAAACCCATCTCACATGCAGAGACACACATAGACTCAAAATAAAAGGATGGAAGAAGACCTACCAAGCAAATGGAAAACAAAAAAGGCAGGGGTTGCAATCCTAGTCTCTGATAAAACAGACTTTAAGTGAACAAAGATCAAAAGAGACAAAGAAGGCCATTACATAATGGTAAAGGGATCAATTCAACAAGAAGAGCTAACTATGTTAAATATATATGCACCCAATACAGGAGCACCTAGATTCATAAAGCAAGTCCTGAGCGACCTACAAAGAGACTTAGACTCCCACACAATAATAATGGGAGACTTTAACACCCCACTGTCAACATTAGACAGATCAATCAGACAGAAAGTTAACAGGGATACCCAGGAATTGAACTCAGCTCTGCACCAAGCGGACCTAATTGACATCTACACAACTCTCCACTCCAAATCAACAGAATATATATATTTTTTTCAGCACCACACCACACCTATTCCAAAATTGACCACATACTTGGAAGTAAAGCTATCCTCAGCAAATGCAAAAGAACAGAAATTATAACCAACTGTCTCTCAGACCACAGTGCAATGAAACTAGAACTCAGGATTAAGAAACTCACTAAAAACCGCTCAACTACATGGAAACTGAACAATCTGCTCCTGAATAACTACTTGGTACATAATGAAATGAAGGCAGAAGTAAAGATGTTCGTTGAAACCAACGAGAACAAAGACAAAACATACCAGAAGCTCTGGGACACATTCAAAGCAGTGTGTAGAGGGAAATTTATAGCACTAAATGCCCACAAGAGAAAGCAGGAAAGATCCAGAATTGACATCCTAACATCACAATTAAAAGAACTAGAAAAGCAAGAGCAAACACATTCTAATCTAGCAGAAGGCAAGAAATAACTAAAACCAGAGCAGAACTGAAGGAAATAGAGACACAAAAAACCCTTCAAAAAATTATTGAATCCAGGAGCTGGTTTTTTGAAAGGATCAACAAAACTGATAGACCTCTAGCAAGACTAATAAAGAAGAAAAGAGAGAAGAATCAAATAGATGCGATAAAAAATGATAAAGGGGATATCAGCACCAGTCCCACAGAAATACAAACTACCATCAGAGAATACTACAAACACCTCTGTGCAAATAAACTAGAAAATCTAGAAGAAATGGATAAATTCCTGGGCACATACACTCTCTGCAGACTAAACCAGGAAGAAGTTGAATCTCTGAATAGACCAATAACAGGATTTGAAATTGTGGCAATAATCAATAACTTACCAACCAAAAAGAGTCCAGGACCAGATGTATTCACAGCCGAATTGTACCAGAGGTAAAAGGAGGAACTGGTACCATTCTTTCTGAAACTATTCCAATCAATAGAAAAAGAGGGAATCCTTTCTAACTCATTTTATGAGGCCAGCATCATCCTGATACCAAAGCCGGGCAGAGACACAACCAAAAAAGAGAATTTTAGACCAATATCCTTGATGAACATTGACACGGAAATCCTCAGTAAAATACTGGCAAACCGAATCCATCAGCACATGAAAAAGTTTATCCACCATGATCAAGTGGGCTTCTTCCCTGGGATGGAAGGCTGGTTCAATATATGCAAATCAATAAATGTAATCCAGCATATAAACAGAACCAAAGACAAACACCACATGATTATATCAATAGATGCAGAAAAGACCTTTGAAAAAATTCAACAACCCTTCATGCTAAAAACTCTCAATAAATTAGGTATTGATGGGACATATCTCAAAATAATAAGAGCTATCTAAGACAAACCCACAGCCAATATCATACTGAATGGACAAAACCTGGAAGCATTGCCTTTGAAAACTGGCAGAAGACAGGGATACCCTCTCTCACCACTCCTATTCAGCATAATGTTGGAAGTTCTGGCCAGGGCAATTAGGCAGGAGAAGGAAATAAAGCGTATTGAATTAAGAAAAGAGGAAGTCAAATTGTCCCTGTTTGCAGACGACATGATTGTATATCTAGAAAACCCCATTGTCTCAGCCCAAAATCTCCTTAAGCTGATAAGCAACTTCAGCAAATCTCAGGATAGAAAATCAATGTACAAAAATCAAGCATTCTTATACACCAATAACAGACAGAGAGCCAAATCATGAGTGAACTCCCATTCACAATTGCTTCAAAGAGAATAAAATACTTAGGAATCCAACTTACAAGGGACATGAAGGACCTCTTCAAGGAGAACTACAAACTACTGCTTGATGAAATAAAAGAGGATACAAACAAATGGAAGAACATTCCATGCTCATGGGTAGGAAGAATCAATATCATAAAAATGGCAATACTGCCCAAGGTAATTTATAGATTCAATGCCATCCCCATCAAGCTACCAATGACTTTCTTCATAGAATTGGAAAAAACTACTTTAAAGTTCATATGGAGCCAAAAAAGAGCCCTCATGCCAAGTCAATCCTAAGCCAAAAGAACAAAGCTGGAGGCATCACACCACCTGAATTAAAACTATATTACAAGCCTACAGTAACCAAAACAGGATGGTACTGGTACCAAAACAGAGATATAGATCAATCGAACAGAATGGAGCCCTCAGAAATAATGCCACATTTCTACAACTATCTGATCTTTGACAAACCTGAGAAAAACAAGCAATGGGGAAAGGATTCCCTATTTAACAAATGATGCTGGGAAAACTGACTAGCCATATGTAGAAAACTGAAACTGGATCCCTTCCTTACACCTTATACAAAAATTAATTCAAGATGGATTAAAGACTTAAAACTATAAAAACCCTAGAAGAAAACGTAGGCATTACCATTCTGGACATAGGCATGGGCAAGATCTTCATGTCTAAAACACCAAAAGCAATGGCAACAAAAGACAAAATTGACAAATAGTATCTAATTAAGCTAAAGAGCTTCTGCACAGCAAAAGAAACTACCATCAGAGTGAACAGGCAACTTACAGAATGGGAGAAAATTTTCGCAACCGACTCATCTGACAAAGGGCTAATATGCAGAATCTATAATGATCTCAAACAAATTTACAAGAAAAAAACAAACAACCCCATCAAAAAGTGGGCAAAAGATATGAACAGACACTTCTCAAAAGAAGAAATTTAGGCAGCCAACAGACACATGAAAAAATGCTCACCATCACTGGCCATCAGAGAAATGCAAATCAAAACCAAAATGAGATACCATCTCACACCAGTTAGAATGGCAATCATTAAAAAGTCAGGAAACAACAGGTGCTGGAGAGGATGTGGAGAAATAGGAACACTTTTACACGGTTGATGGGACTGTAAACTAGTTCAATCATTGTGGAAGTCAGTGTGGCGATTCCTCAGGAATCTAGAACTAGAAATACCATTTGACCCAGCCATCCCATTACTGGGTATATACCCAAAGGACTATAAATCATGCTGCTATAAAGACACATGCACACGTATGTTTATTGTGGCACTGTTCACAATAGCAAAGACTTGCAACCAACCAAAATGTCCAACAATGATAGACTGGATTAAGAAAATGTGGCACATATACACCATGGAATACTATGCAGCCTTAAAAATGATGAGTTCATGTCCTTTGTAGGGACATGGATGAAATTGGAAATCATCATTCTCAGTACACTACTGCAAGGACAAAAAACCAAACACCTCATGTTCTCACTCATAGATGAGAATTGAACAATGAGAACACATGGACACAGGAAGGGGAACATCACACTCTGGGGACTGTTGTGGGGTGGGAGCAGGGGGGAGGGATAGCATTAGGATATATACCTAATGCTAAATGACGAGTTAATGGTTCAGCACACCAGCATGGCACATGTATACATATATAACTAACCTGCACATTGTGCACATGTACCCTAAAACTTAAAGTATAATAAAAAATGTAAAAAAAAAAAAGAATATACAATTACCTTTTTTGAGTAAAGACAAAAGGACCTGGCAGAGTATGCACATATCTGCATATACACCATTAATTTTACATCACTGAGGTAGCCAAAACTGCTCATAAGAGGGCTTTTATTAAATAATATAGTGTTCTTAATGGAGGAAAAAGAACTTAATAAATTTTTAAAAACAAAATAAGAAACTAATCCATTGTCCCACAAAAGAAAATCAATGGAGACAAAAGCAGTTTAATTTGCTGAATTCTTTTGTGGCTTATTTTTGGGGTATTATTTACAAAACGTTAGACTGATTTTTAAGCAATATTAATAATAGCAGCATACAACTCCAAGACTAATATAATAAATAATAAACTGATGAAGTGCCTAATGTGTATCAGTGTTATTTAAAAAACAAATGCAGAAGGAGAAGGGATGATAAAAGAGAAATGAAGAAGAGGATAAAAGACAAAGTTGGGTACAGAGATAAAAAAACTAGTCAGAGAAAAAAATCAGACAGCTTGAGACTCTACGTAGAGGAAGAAAGACAGAAAAGCACACACTTACAGAAAAATAACATGGATAATAGGGAGCAATACAGTGAAGCACAGGAAAAGCCCGTGGAAAAGGTACATTCATGAAATCTGATCCCCTTGCATCTGTGACTCAATTTTCTCCAGTTTTCCTCTTGTTTCTCAGGCTGCTTCTTCTCTGCGTCTTTGATGTTTCTTGTCCAGTCTGAACACTAAACCCTGCTGTGCAGCAGACTGGTCCTAGCACCTGCTCTGCTCAGACCACCTTCTTTCTTTGGGTGACCTCATCCTGAGCCAGGCTTTAAATACTACTGACATTGAGAATTCTTCCAGGCTTTTCCAATTCTGACCTCTTCCCTGAGCTCTAGCCTCACATGACAATATATTTATCTTGAATTTTTATCTCACTCTGTCACCTAGGCTGGAGTGCAGTGGCACAATCATGGCTCAGTGCAGCCACAACATCCCAGGGCTCAGGTGATTATCCCACCTCAGCCTCCCAAGTAGCTGGGACCATAGGTGCATGTCACCATGCCTGGCTAATTTTTATATTTTTATAGAGATGGGGTTTCACCATGTTGGCCAGGCTGGTCTTGAAATCCTGATATAAAGTGATCTGCCCCCTTTGGCCTCCCACAGTGCAGGCATTACAGGTGTGAACCACTGTTCCCAGTTTATCTTTGGTTTTCAACAGTTTGACTCTGGCCTATCTAAATATGGTCATTTTTTTAATTTATCCTGCTTGGAGTTCTGTTGAGTTTCTTGGATCTGGAAGGTGCTGTCTTTGATCAATTTTACAAAAATATTCAAATATTTTTCTGTCTACCCTTTCATTTTCTGAAACCCTAGTTACACAAATGTTAAACCTTTTGATATCATTCCACAGTCTTGGCTCTTCTCTTTTTTCATTCTATTTTTTTTCTTTCTGTATTGCAGTTTAGATAAGTTTATTGAGTACATTGTAAATTGAATTAAATGATTTCTTTCCTGTTGTGTCCATTCTGTTGTTAAGCTCATTCAATGACCTTTTCATTGCAGATACTATATTTTCCAATTCTAGGATTTTCATTTGGTTCTCCTTTATAGTTTCCATCTATTTGCTGAGATTCTGCCATTTATTCACCCATTCCATCCTTTTCTGGTAAATCAATCCTTCACTATATTTTTAAAAACAGCTTTAAAGTCTGTGTCTGCTAATTCTAATATCTGGGTCATCTGTGGGTCAGCATTTATAGCCCATTTTCCCTTTGATCACAAATCATATTGTCTTGCTTCTTCTTATGTTATCAAATTTTCATTCCATACTGACCATTAAAAATGACACCTTGTAGAGACTCCCAGCTACGCTCTCTTACTCTAAAGAGTGTTCAGTTTTGTTCTGGTGGGTCCTGTGTATGCTTTGTTTTAGGCTTTATTAGGATGGGTCTATTTTGGTTTATCCCTTTGTCCTGGGATATAGTCCTTGATCATGAGATATGATCCTTATGACCCTTTTATGGTTTCAATGGAAAGATATTCATAAAGTCTCTCTAATTTGGTGCCACTTGAACTGTAAACTCTGGCCAGTACTAGGCAGCAGCTGAAATCTCTGCTTAGCTCTGTAGCTTCCCAGCTGTGACTTTTTTCTGGATTCCTTGAGGTTGCACCCCATATAGGTAGAGGTTAGGAGACAGCCAAGGATCTGAGGGATATTTGGATGCAGATTTCAGAGCTCCCTGCTCTGTGGTTCCCTCCTTTATAGGATTTTAATCCTTAACTTCCAGCCACTTTGGCAACCTCAAACTCCAACCCCGTGTCCTCATCCCATTAAGACTTTCTGTTGTAGTTCAAACCTCCCACTGTGTCTCATGAGCTGAGAAATGCCTTTCGGTGACAAGCTGGATTAATGTGGAGCCCACCTAGTTGGCTTCCTTTCTTTCAAAGATTATTTTCACTCTAGTTTCTGCCTGTTTTTGATTATTCTCCTGGCTTTCAAAGAATGGTTTTAAATATTTTATTCAAAGTTAATAACTGTTATTGGCAGGAGAGTTAGTCCGATAGCGGCTCTTCTATTATTCCGGGATCAAGCACTCACTCTTCATGTAAATTGTCATCACCCTTTTTTGGCCTAGTGCAGGTCAAACAGGCTATGCATTTGCCCACCCACCCAGCCTGGAATACAAAAATTCTAGCATTTTAGAAGTGATGGTGGCCAGTGAGACACTGCTGTTCTATCTTTTCATGAATATTGGCTAGTTGTTTAATAATGTGTATTTTATTTTAAAAAATCCCCAGGCTGAGTATGGTGGCTTATGCCTGTAATCCCAACAGTTTGGGAGGCCAAGGTGGGCACATTGCTTGAGCTCACAATTTCGGGACCACACTGGGCAACATGGCGAAACCCCATCTCTACCAAAAAATACAAAAATTAGTCAGGCATGGTGGCAGGTGCCTGTAGTCCCAGCTACTCAGGAGGCTTAGGTGGGAGGATCCCTTGAGCCTGGGAAGTGGAGGTTACAGTGAGCTGAGATAGTACCACTGCATTCCAGCCTAGGCAAGGGATCCAGACCTAGTCTCAAAACAAACAAACAAACAAACAGCTCCTGTCCCAGGGCTAGCATTTGACCTTCAAACCACTTGCCGGGTCAAGGATGCTCAGGATTTCCTTACCTATCTCCTTGTTGTCATGAAAGGAAACAGGTCCAGAGGTTGAAAAACTGCCTCTGGCAGAGGCTGGCTAGGTGCTCACCAGAGCTGTTTTCTCCTCCTGGACACTCAGCTTAACAGTACATTTCTCAGGCCTTCGTATATGGATGGGGCTATGTGACTAGTGTTCTTCCTCTTGTCTAGCAGGGGGATGATGCCAGGGTAATCTTTGTTCTTCTCTCTTACCAGGATAATTTTAAAGACATTTATTGAAGATGGTGGAGCCACAATATGGAAGGAGTCAAGGTCTCTAAATGACCACATAAGTGGAACTTTCTTCCTGACCAATATTTGACTGGGATATGGACAAGAAAGTAATCTTTGATTATGTTAAGCTACTGAGATTTCTTTTTTACAGCAATTGGTGCTATTTATGCTAATAAATGTGCACAAACAATACCCTAGTTAGCGGCAAAAATATTACTAGAACCAGATCTCCCATTTCCTTTAATGGTTAAATATAATTCCATTCAAATATAACTTTCATAATTATTACATTAGTAAACTCATTTACATAATAGTTTATAACGATTAGGAGCATGCTTATGAATGAATGAAAATCATGACTTAATAAATGGAAACATAGTGACTTACCTACAATTTCAATGCCTTTTTGTTTAAGCTGTGCAAAGCATTTGTATTAAGATTTAATATAAATTGCAGTTCTGGTGTAAGTTTTCAGAAGCCATCATACAAAATTAAGAAAACAAAGGTAAGTTATGTTATTGACATTTTATGACATAAGAAGTTAGGTAGTGGGGGAGGGAGAGGGGCAAGGTTTGAAAAACATATTTTCACTACTTGGGCAACAAGACAATTAGAAGCCCAAACCTCAGCAACACACAGTATGCCCATGTAATAAACCTGTACATGTACCTCTGCATCTAAAATAAAATTTTAACAAATTAAATGAAAAAAGAAGCTATGAGATAAATATGTTTCCATGTATTGAATTTCAGTTAATTACAGCATTTCTAACATTTTTATTACTGTAAAATAAGGTTCTTCATACACTAGTGACATAGTATTGTTTGGAACCTCATAAACGCTATGAAGACTACATATGTGGTGGCATTTATAAAAAGTGTGGAAAGAGACTCATGTGTAGAGATTTTTTTAAATCGTACTTTTTTTCTTCTAGCAATGCTTTATTTCATTTTTTATTGGTACGTATTTTGGGGTTCACATGATATTTTGATACATGCATAGAATGTGAAATAATCAGGTCAGGGTATTTAGGATCTCCATCAGCTTGAACATTTATCATGTATTTGTGTTGGCAATATTTCGAATATTTTCTTCTAGCCATTTTGACGTATACAATGTCTTGTTAACTATAGTCACCCTACTGCATTATCAACTAGCAATGAGCATTGAACCGGTATTTCTCAAACTTTTAAATAGCATGATTCCCTCTTTAAAAAAAACCCACTTTACTGAAATATGACTGGCATACAAAAAGTCACCAATATTTTATGTATACAACTTGATGTGCTTGGAGTTAAGTATACACCTGTGAAAACATCAAACCATCAATCATCAATGCCATGAACTTAGCCACCACTCCCAGAACTTTTCTTCCACCCCTTTTGTTTTGTTTTGTTCCCTTTTGTGGAAAAAGTGCTTAACATAAGATAGACCTCTTAGCAAATGCTTAAGTATACCATATTGGATTGTCAATCATAGGCCCTGTATTGTACAGTAGATCTCCAGCATGATTCCTTTTGTTTAACATAAAAATGTACCCTGATGTAGTCTGAAACATGAAAATGACAGTTTTTTCTAAGTATAAAATTGTTATATTAAACACGGACTTTAAAACTAACTTCCCTGCACCCCCCCAACATCTGCCTGCTTCATCACATGCAGAGGAGAGTGTGCTAAGCCTGAGCTTGGGGATATTAACCTCAACGGAGACAGAATCCAGGGAAACCAACACAGGGAGCAGAAAGCAGGGTGTGGCCCTAGGCAGGTGCACAGGTTTAAGGGCCTATGGCAATAATTTGAAAAATTACAGCAGTGATAATATGTGCCATCCCATAGAGAAATGGTACCAGGTGCTGTTCTTTTATATGTTTAGCCACTTCCTGTGGAGCACTATTATCACACCCACATTGCAGATGAGAACACGGAGGCAGAGAAAGGTGAAGTAATTGTCTAAAGTCTCACAGCTAACAAGCAGCAGAGCCAGGAGTGGCTGTGGGATCCACACTCTTGACCATCTGCAGTATGCTCCCAGCAGGCTTTTGGGTGCACTGTCTCAAGTAGGGAAACTGGGCAGCTGTGATTATCCTGTTTAAACCCCAAACCCACTCTGTGAAGTAGACACTATCATTATCTCCACTATATGGATGAGGAAACTGAGGCTCAGAAAGGTTACCTGACTTGCCCCAATCACAAAGTTGGCTGGGACTCAGGCTTACTTTTATGCTGCATCAAGCCCTTTCCGTTTCACTAAACTACTTTACACCAAACCAAGTAATCACAGATGCAGGACTGGGTCTTAGTACCAGTGCAGGGGCCAAATCTACAGGGTGTTTATTAGCTTAACAAATGGAGTGATAAGCTCTAACACAATATACACGTTGAATAATATCTGTATTCCCATGACCTTATGTGAAAATATTTAGAGTACAAGTACAAGTGCTTGTGCTCTACTTCACAGTGTGAAATTTATGTGGATTACAATCCATTAGTTCTAGAATCTAGGAAATTAAGATCTCACCCCATCATCTGTTCAGAGATCTTCATTTTCATGTGAGGAATAGAAACATTCACCAGCATGAGGTTCTGGTCTAATGTTGGTAGAGAAACACCAGCCAGCATCAAGCACACTGTTTCATCCAGCTGTCTGTTTTGTTTTGTAGCAAGAGTTCCTCAATGAGTGAAGCAGTATGATTTACACCCCAGTGCACAAGCCCCTTCCTTCACTACAGACTGACGATAGACAGTTCCTTGACCAGCTGCTTTGAGGAGCCCCATTCTAAACTATGAAGCCAGCTAACCACAGATTTAAGGAGAAATAAAACACATACCTCTCTCTGTAGACTGAAGAGTGCAGTCCAAGGCACAGCATCCTGCCAGTGCTGTGTGCACACTGTTTCATCCTCCTCTATTACCTCCAGAAAGCACGGGATACTGTTGTCTGTTGTATCACATTTTATTTGTAAAAAGCAGTACTTCTCATAGCTCATGACTTTCTGTTTCAGAACAACTTTGAAAACCATAGTCAGGACATTGACTTCCTTCAAGACTGCCTACTGATTCGTCCAGAAGACAGAGATCTACTGGGGTAGTCCAGGACTGACTGTAAAGAGGCTCAGGTAAGGCAGAGGTTATTGGCAGTCAAAGGGGCTGCGGAAAGCTGAAAATGAAAAGGAGAGGAAGCAGAGGGATGATAAGACCCAAAACCTCTGATGGGATCAGGGTCTGTAGGAAGAGAGAAATGAAGCTGGGGAGAATCCAGCTCAGGGTAGGTGCCAGTAGAAGGCCTGGTCGTACGGCCTCCAACAGGTTGCAGTGGAGCAGACTGTGTGGAGCTCAATGAGCTCCCTGAAAGAGCAATGCCACAGTAGGGTGCAGAAGAGGGGTTCTGGGGAGGTCCTGTGGGACAAGACGCCAACTGTGGGATACAGTCAGCACAACTGCCAGGCACAGGGCCTTGGCTGAATTGAGATGCATCAAACTGTCTGGGAGGAGCAGCAAAACCAAAACTAGCTATCTGACAATATGAGGCAAAAGGCAAGGAAGCAGGACTGTGAGAGCGGGCAGCCGGGGGAAGAGAGGAACCAAAGGCTGGAGCAGAAACACAAAAAAAGTTAGAAGTAGATGTTTCCGGTCAGGCGCGGTGGCTGACGCCTGTAATCCCAGCACTTTGGGAGGCCGAGGCGGGCGGATCACGAGGTCAGGAGATCGAGACCATCCTGGCTAACACGGTGAAACCCCATCTCTACAAAAAATACAAAAAATTAGCCGGGCGTGGTGGCGGGTGCCTGCAGTCCCAGCTACTCAGGAGGCTGAGGCAGGAGAATGGCATGAACCCGGGAGGCGGAGCTTGCAGTGAGCCGAGATCGCACCACTGTACTGAAGCATGGGTGACAGAGTGAGACTCCGTCTCAAAAAAAAAAAAAAAAAAAAAAAAAAAAAAAGAAGTAGATGTTTCCAGTGGACTTTCTTAACTTTCTTATATAGTGGTTCAGTTGCTGTTGGTTTACATGACTCTGTCCAATTTAAATCCAATAGCTTTTCCACACCTCCACGTTCCAAAGTTGATGTGAAAGCTGGTAGTACACCTAAGCCATCCTCTTCAAAATCTTCAGAAATTTCTGTCTTAGATAATTTCATTTTTCTTTTAGCCCTAAGTTTTGGTTTGGATGAAGGTAATTCTTGCCACTCAGAGGACACTAAAAGAGGCTGCCCAGAAGAGAGAATTATTAACATAAGAGGAAAACACAGAATAAAAAGAACAATCAAGCAAACATTCTTCCTAGCACTTGACTTCCCACCCATCAGGCAGTTGCTCATCCAGAATCATAATCATCAATGTGAGCTGGGATGTTGAAAATAACACCAGTGCTGGGTGCGGCAACTCACGCCTATAATCCCAGCACTTTGGGAGGCCAAAGAGGAAGGATCGCTTGAGGCTAGGAGTTTGAGAGCAGCTTGGGCGACACACTGAGACTCCATCTCTACAAAAAATAAAAAATTAGCCAGGTGTAGTGGCTCACGCCTATAGTCCCAGCCACCTGGCAGGCTGAGGCAGGAGGAGTGCTTGAGTCTGGGAAGCTGAGGCAGCTATGAGTGCAGATTTGCACTACTGCTCTCCAGCCTGGGCGAGAGGGCAATACTCTGTCTAAAAAAAGAAAAAAAGGAAAGAAAATAACGCCACCAGAGACATTCAAGATCATTTCAGTACAAGGCCCTTTTTTTCTAGACATGGAAACTGAGACCTGGAGAGAATATCAGCAATCAATAGATTGAAAGAACTTCTCTCTTAGTTCTTAGAATTGTGGAAATTTAAACACCCCTCATTTTACACATGAGGGAACTGAGGAGCACAGAAGTGACTTGCCCAAGATTTTACAATGAGCAGTATCACTGGGTGTATGTTAGGCCTAACATTAGATAGTCATTTGAAGTAAATTATTCTACTCTTTTATATTGCTTTAAGCAATATTAAGAAAATGGAAAAACAGTCTCAAAAGCTTTATTTAGTTTTTTACTTATTTATTTTTTGAGACAGGGTCTTGCTCTGTTGTCTGAGGCTGGAGTACCATGGTACAATCACAACTCACTATAGCCTCAAACTCCTGGGCTCAAGCGATCCTCTCACCTCAGCCTCCCCAGTAGCTGGGACTATGAGCATGTGCCACCACACCCAGCTTATTTTTAAATTATTCTTTTGTAGAGATATGATCTCGCTGTGTTGACCAGGCTGATTTTGAACTCCTGGGCTCAAGTGATCCTCTCAGCTCGGCCTCTCAAAGTGCTAGGATTACATGTGTGAGACTCTGTCCAGCCAAAAGCTTTAAGGTAATTAAATGAACATATAGTTATAGAAGAATATGAATAATATGCATGCAAAACAAATTTTGAGGGATGCTATATTACTATTACTGTTTCAATCTAAATGGAAATAGTGTTCCTCAAAAAGTTGGCTGTATCAAATCCAGTTTTAGATGGATGACAAGTCCTTGATATTTTTGAAATAGTTAGCCTGTAATTTTACCTGTGAATATGAACTATTTAAAAGAGGAGTAGTCCATTCCCAACTCAGTCAAATTTTAAGTATATTCCTGAATAATTAATATTATACAATATATGAAAAGACAGATTTAAAAATAATGCTTACTTATCTGGTTAAATTTTTAAAAATCAGAGAAGCAAACTGGAAAAGACTAATAGTGATGGACTAGACCTATCAGATATTAAAGTCTTTTATAAAATTACAATAATTATAGTAGATGAATCAAGGAACAGAGTAGATTAAGTCCAGCAATAGCTCCTAAAACGTGAGAACTACTAGATTATGAAGGTGGCATTTCAAGTCAATAGGAGGAAAAGGAATAGCCATCTGGAAAAGAAAAATATTGGTTCCATATCTCTCATCTTGTGCCAGGATAAATTTCAATCAGATGAAAAATTGATGTAAACATGAAAACATAAAACTATTTAAAGTAATAAAGGGAAAAATTTTTAAGTGTAATCTCTGACTAGGAAAGGTATTTCTAAGCATGATGAAAAACAAAACAACACTAAACAAAAAAAAAGAAACACAAAGATTAAAAATTTGACTGCATTAAAAAATCTGCATTACAAAAAGATAATAAACAACATCAAAATAACACGTGGAATACTGGTAAATAAATTTTCACAACTCATATCACAAAGGGCCAATTTCCCTAACATAAAAAGTTTTCATAAGATAAACAAGAAAACGACTAAAATCTCAATAAAAAAGATAAAAGACATGAACAGATAACACACAGGAAGTGATGCATAGGGCTGTAAGAATATAAAACGTGCTCCTCTTCATTCATAAAGAAACAAAAATATAAATGTCACCAATATATTTTTCACCTGTAAGATTTGCAAAGATCAAAAATTTGATTAAGTCAGGTATTGTGGAGCATCCCAGCTACTCAAGAGGCTGAGGTGAGAGGATCACTGGAGGCCAGGAGTTCAAAGCTGTAGTGTTCTGTGATAGAGCCTGTGAATAGTCAGTGCACCCCAGCCTGGGTGGCAGAGTGAGATTCCATCTCAAAAAAAAAATTAAAAAAAAGAATCATACTGAGAAATATGGGTTATTTTATGAAATTTCTTCTTGGATAGTATTTTTGTATTTTTTAGTAGAGACAGGGTTTTGCCATGTTGGCCAGGCTGGTCTTGAACTCCTGACCTCAGGTGATCCACCCACCTTGGCTTCCCAAAGTGTGGGGATTACAGGTGTGAGCCACCATGCCTGACCTCATTATGATTCTTCTATTTGCCAAAATCACCCATTTGCTTCCTCTTTCCCTTGAAATTCACAATTGCTTATTTTGCTTAACCACACACTCACACCTTGATCATCTAAGGTGTGGCCCCCAATCTTTTTGGCAGCAGGGACTGGTTTCATGGAAGGCAATTTTTCCATGGACGGGGTGGGGCAGATGGTTTTGGGATGAAACTATTCCACCTCAGATCATCAGGCATTAGATTCTCAGAAAGGGCACCTAGATCCCTCCATGGGCTGTTCACAACAGGGTTCGGGGCTCCCATGAGAATCTACTGCCACTGCTGATGTGACAGGAGGTGAGCTCAGGCAGTAATGCTCGCTCACTGCCCCCCCACCTTCTGTTGCGCAGCCTGGTTCCTGACAGGTCAGGGACTGCAGGTTGGGGACCCCTGATTTAAGGAACAGCATGGGCTCTGGACCCCTAGCTTCAGTGCCCTCAATTTCTTGCTAAGAGTTATAGCATTGAATTTTTCAAATGATTTACTTTAAAAACTTGGATTAGGAGGTATGTTTTAAAAATGTCTCCCTCTGGCTTGTTCTCAGTGTGCTTTCATGAGCGGGAGGGAACGAAGTGGACTTGGGGTTGGTGCAGAAGACACTGCGCCTAAGCCCTGGTGTGGCTTTAGGGGGGCGAGAGCACCCAGCACTGAGCGCTGTCCTTCCTGAGCGCGTCCCAGCAGAAAAGGTGTTGCACTCCCTGGACGGTCTCATTTCACAATGAAGATGTATCAAATAAGGAAATGCCTCAAGCTTCAGTGAGTCGGGAAGGACCAAACAGATCCAGATGTCTGGGCTCTATTGCAGCTGGCTTGTTACTGAATTCAGTGGAATAACTCCATGCAGAATGTGGCAGGTGCCACATTTTGGTAAAACAGATACCGAGGGAGAGTAACAGAGGCTTGACATTTTTGATAAATTACATGGCCCATTAAAAAAATTTATTGCAGCTAACATAAATATAAACTTTCAAGTCATCAAACTAATGGATAATATTTTTCATCTGATATTTTTGGATCTGGAAGTATTCAGATCCAAAGTATTTGCAAATTTAGTATGAAATAATTCATCACCACGCTGTATTAAAACCTAAATTAATTTATAACTAATTTTGAAAATAACTTCAAACATCTCTATAAACAGGCCAGGCATGGTGGCTCACTCCTGTAATCCCAGCTACTAGAGAGTCCAAGGTAGGAGGATCTGTAGCGCCCAGGAGGTCGAGGCTGCAGTGAACTGTGATGGTGCCACTGCACTCCAGCCTGGGCAACAGAGCGAGACCCTGTCTCAAAAAAAAAAAACCAAAAATCTAAAAACAATACATGTGTACTATGAGAAAATTAGAAAATACAAGTAGACACAAGTAGACAGCCACAAAGAAGAACATAAAAGCCATACAGAATGTTTTATCTGATCTCTGGCATATATCCCTCCAGAGCTTTTCTCTGAACAAAGTACTTACGTGTGTGGCAGAGTGTAGGGGCGTATCTCTTATTTTGTTAATTTAATTTTCATTGTGGGAATAATGTATACAACAATGTTTGCTATTGTAGTCATTTCAGAGGTTAGTGGCATGAAGCACACTCACACTGTTGTGCAACCATGACCATCTCCAGTTTCAGAGCTTCTTCTGGGTGTGCGTTTTTGAAACACATAAAAGATAAGTATACATTTTCCAGGGCCCATTTTAACAGTGAGTCTCTCTTGTTTCAAGGACAGTCGATTCTTAATTGTACATCAGAATTTTTTTTTTCCAAAACAATGAACTTCCTACTCCTCCTGACTCCCCAAACTATTTGTTTGTGTTTGCTTAAAGTATTATTTTTCTTTCATGGGCAATCCATGCCAATGGTTCAAAATTCAAAATATACAAAAGGGTGCACTGTAAGAAAGTAAGGCCAGGGGCGGTGGCTCATGCCTGAAATCTGAGCACTTTGGAAGGCCAAGGCAGGTGGATCACTTGAGGTCAGGAGTTCGAGACTAGCCTGGCCAACATGGTGAAACCCTGTCTCTACTAAAAATACAAAAATTAGCTGGGTGTGGTGGCACACAAGTGTAATCTCAGCTAATCAGGAGACAGAGGCATGAGAATCACTTGAACCCAGGAGGCAGAGGTGGCAGTGAGTCGACATCATGCCACTGCCCTCCAGCCTGGGTGACAGAGTGAGACTCCATCTCAAAAAAAAAAAAAAAAAGTTAAGATTTAAAAAAAAGAAGAAAAAGCAAGTATCCCTCCAAACCCAAGACCACTTGTCAGCTTTCTGCCCCATCTGTTTGGGCAACAGTGTCTGTTTCAGACACCTTTGTGAATTAATAACTACAGCTAATATTTATCAAATATCCACAAGCTAGACATGTTATAATGGTCTCAGAACTCTTTACAATCACCTGAGGTGGATTTTTCTGCTCTCCCCACTCGGGCATTAGGACTGGGGCACTGGGAAGGTCAAGTCCAACAGAGCGAAGTGCGGGCTGGGGTTCAGACCTGAGCACTCAGCCACAGCACCTGTGATCTTAACCACTGTATTTACTGACTTTCAGTCATCTACCTTTTATGATATTTGCCAACCTGACAGAGTTAAATAATAAAAAGGAATCTCATGACAGTTTTTATATTTTAAATTCTTTTAGTAACAAGGTTGCACATCTTTCGTATGTTATTTTCTTATTTATGATCAAATCCTCACTCTGTTACCCAGGCTGGAGTGTAGGGGTGCCATTTTGGCTCACTGCAACCTCTGCCTCCTGGGTTCAAGCATCTTCCTGCCACAGCCTCTTGAGTAGCTGGGATTGCAGGCATGCACCACCATGCCCAGCTAATTTTTGTACTTTTTTTTGGAGAGATGGGGTTTCAGCATTTTCCCCAGGCTGGTCTTGAACTTCTGGGCTCAAGCAATCTGCTTCTTCGGCCTCCCAAAGTGCTGGGATTACAAGCATGAGCCACTGCACCCAGCCTAAAAAACTTTTTGTAGAGATGAGTTCTCACTTTGTTGCCCAGGCTGGTCTCAAACTCCTGGGTTGAGGTGATTTTTCCCACCTCAGCTTCCCAAAGTGCTTCGATTACAGTAATGAACCATGGTGCCCAGTTAGATTTTAAATTCTTACATTTTGGAAATTTTAGTTTTTTAACCTAGAGACCTAAGAGTGTTATCGGCACTGTTAACAAAACAGTTTCTTTGCTTTTCAATTTGTTTCCAATTTTTATTTAAGCCACATTTTTCCATTTCTATTGTATTTCTGGTCATAAGGGCCACAGTCTAAAGCACTATAAACTTTAAGAAATATTGGTGGTGAATTTAGATTATTAGCAGTTCTATTGATCTATTAGATATAGCACTTCTATTGATAATTTTATGACAAACCTATTACACTACCTAGATGACTTTAGCTTCCTGTATGAAAATCTATTTGCCCATGATAGAAGCACAGCCACAGGTGTTCTCTTTTTGTACTATACAGCTCCGTTCATACATTGTGAAGTCTCTGTAATGCAACATGATGTAATTCAACATTTTATAAATGCATGAATATTTTCCATCATCAGGGATACAACAACTTCTTCATATACAGGTAAGAAGGGAGCTATTTTAGCAAAGGGTTCCCTTCATCTTCATGAACAAACAAAGCTCAATATCAACTTATTTGGTAATCAGCATTTACTTGGTTCCTGATGGCTCCTTGGTGCTCCCCCTGCCAGCTCATGTAGGGCAGGAAGTCTACATCTTCTTTGGTAATAAGTTCAGAAACTTTTGGAATATCAGGAAAAGGTGACTCATTCTCATCCTATATCGAATCACAAATAGATTAAATCAAACAGACATTATCCAATTAAATGATAATCACACATTCTAAAGCCTATGGGTGTTGGCTTTTATGCTGGTGTGTGGGACTGGAGCTTGGGCCTTGGGCCACAAGCGTGAGGGAAAGTGGGGAGGTGGAGTGACTTTCCTCTTTACAGAGCACTGGCAGGTGCTGGCCACTGTGCTGGGCATATTATGTGAATTTTCCCCTTAAACTTATGAAGGGGGAAGGGGCTCTCAGAGAACCCAGGCCTTTTCTATTTTTTGACGATCTTGGATTAATAAAAGACAATAAATGCCAAAACTGTAACAAAATTATAGGGTATCTGAAAAATACACATTAGCTAATTATTAATAATAACTATAACATTAAAAATGATAACATACCCAACTCATTTAGAAAGATCACCATAAGTCCCAACACTGAAACTGCCCATGAATGGGAGGTTGGGACTCATGGGGCCTACTGGCCTGTCAGCAACCCACGCTTCACAGGCCCAGGGTGTGGGTGTTGTCATTAACCGTCAAAGCAAGAGTGACTTTCTTAATGTGGAAATATAAATAAAATAATATAACCTTGAATTAACAATAATACATACCCTTTTCTCAACTGCCACAAAGCTTGTAAATTGTATTATGAGAGAGTTTTCTTTACTGGGTTTAATAATCAGAGATTTCAAGGTTTGTTTCTTCATCCAGGATAGAATAAAATATAAGTCATGTCCTGTTTTGTTTATTTCTATTTAGATACTTCAGTAAATCATTTTAAGATTTGTATTTCAGACTAAATATTGAATTGTAGGTCCCATCTAAATAGGTGGCTCAATATTCCCTTTAAAATGAGATCAACTGACTTAGCCATAGAAAATGTCACTCTTCATTATTCAGCTCCCTGTAGTTCACAGAGAGCTCTCCTGGGCAGTGGGCTTTCTCATTCTTTCACAGTCTGTGGCTCCCAATTTAAAGCTGAAGAATTGGAAAGACAGAATGACTTGTTCAGGACAAAAGGGTCTTAAACAAAACATCACAGAGAAGCTGCCAACCCAGGGGCATCTGAGTAGAATAGGGAGACCACCAGGTGACCATCTGTCACTAGAACTGTCTGTGGGGGTCTCCAGGGCCTGCTGTCACGCTGGCACCTTCTTGTGGGGATGGCATTGAGGACTAACACTCACAGCGTTGTTGAAGATCTCATCCCTGAGAGAACAGCTGGGCAGTCCCTGTGGCCTGGGTGAGGGGATCCTCTGCGGAGGCCGTGGTCTGCACAGCATCGGGGAGTCAGGTGGGCTTTGGCAGGTCACTCAGCATTTCGCACTCAGGACTCTCATCAGTAAGATGGGAATACTAATGCTACCACATGAGAGATCTGAGGTGACGTCCACTACAGGCACTCACTGAGTGCTCTCTGAGCCCTCCTTGGTTTTTTTCTGATAAACAAAACATTACAGAATTTTCCAGAAACCACTGACATCCACTCTTTTGTTAATTCATTCAACAAACATTTACCACACACCACACATCCCAGGCACAGTGTCACAGATACAGTGATGAATGCCCTGACACCACAGTCTCCTTCTCCATGCAGCTGACCTCACTTTCTATTTCCACAGATAAATCAATGTAAGAATGCTTAAGAACAATGTCTAATAGTTTTTACAATGAAAAGAACAAACCTCACGACTGGTTTCATTTTCATGAAGAATGCCATCTTTGTAATCTCTGATTAGAGCTCGGGTTGCCAGCTTGTCAATCATCTGTGTTTAAGTAGCAAAGGAAAAAAAAAGATCCACTTGGCTTCTAATAAAAGACTTGCAAAGAAAATCATTTTAAAAATGAAGGTATAACCTACATACAGTAAAATGCACTCCTCTTAAATATATAGTTTGATGATCTTAAGGGATGTATACAGTTGCATGACCACTGTTGAAGTGAAGACAGAATATTCTCTTTACCTTGAAAGGTTCCTCTGTGTCCCTGTGTAGCTTCCTCCAGCTCTGGCAGCTCCTCATCTGCTTTCTGTCCCTAGAGTTTTGCTTTTTCTATAAAAGGCCATTTTGCCAATTCATTTTATTTAAAAAAATGAAAACTTCTTTTCTACCATAGGAAGAGCTACCTTGGTGCTGGGATGCCCATCCATGAACATGATCTGCACTCTGCAGGGTGAGGACGGCACAATGTGCACCACCAGGTGCTTCCTCTCCAACAACTGAGAGATGGAACTCTCCTTCATTCCAACCCTTGTAATTTTGTCATTGATAGGGGTGTTTCTCACAGAGGAAGTACAACTTGCTGTGACTTCATGGAAAATTACCTGTTCCCAGGTAAAATTATTTTACCTTCTTTCCCCCTTAGATCTAATTTTAAAAGTACACTTTTAATTTATTCTCCCTTATCAGTACCCATAAAGATCTATTTTTTAAAGCAATATTGAGCTTAAGTTCTATACATAAGTCACTGGCAACTAATAAGTCAATATACTGATATAGTGATGAAAAGTAAGCTACACATTTTTGAGAAAAAAACCAGCAATGTCTGGGAAATGGTTTACCTGGTTATACTAATACTCCTTTGAATAAAAAAACTACATAAATGGCATATATAGGCTAAACTATAGTGGATTCAGTACCAGTCCAAATGTTGCTTCTTGGTAATAATTTGCAATATTGTGATATACAAAAAGGTAAAAATAGGCCACCCCGAAAGAGACTTATTTGGCATATTTTGAGATGCTTTCAGAGGGACAGCAGACACAGGAATAGCTCTGAAAAGCAGTCCATTTGTAGGGAATATTTGCATCTGCAGAGGAATCTTATGTCAGTGAAGTAAACAGCAGGTGCAAATAGGCTTTCTCTGAGACCCCCTTATCTGCCTTATCCAGATTTAGGAAAGATGAACTCCCAGGAAGAGGAGGCTAAAGTCTGATATTTAAAGAGATGATAGAGAAACTGTTACCAGAAGTGCTTCTATTCTCTCAGGTCTGCTGCCTGCCAGACTTCATCTGCATCAGAAGAAAGCCTTTGCTCACCACATGTTTCCTCCCCTCACCCTCCCACAACGTGTCCCCACTTCCCCCCAGGAGCCTGACAATCTACCCACCTCTGTATGGTATGAAACTTCACTCATCTGGCCCTTCTTTGAGTCTCATGTGGCCCCTGCACACGTAACGACATCTGCATGTCGTTTGCCCTGTTCATCTATTGTTGGATTATTTTATAGACCAAAGGTGGAAACTTCAGAGGGAAAGTTTGAACTTCCCTACAGACATAAGAAATGTATGTATTTGTTATTCCTAACAGGACACTTCAACCACACCTGAGTTTATGTTAATGAGGTGACTTTTAGAAAGTCCCATGGTGAGGGCTGGTAGCAGGGGAGCCAACCATATGATTAGAGGGCTGGAACTTTCTGCCCCACTCCCCAATCTCCAGGGAGGGGAGAGTAAATCACCAACAGCCAATGATTTAATCAACCAGGACTTTGTAATGAAACCTGCATTAAAAACCCCATCTAAAGGGGTTGAGGGAGCTTCTGGGTCAGCATTCATGTGCCAGGAGGATGGTGCACCCCAATTGTATGTTAGACAGAAGCTCCTGTGCTTGGGACTATTCTGGGCCTTACCCTATATACCTCTTCATCTGGCTGTTCATTTGTATCCTTTATAATATTCTTTGCAATAAATCAGTAATACTAATTATTAAGTATTAAGTATTAAGTAAAGGTTTCCTGAGTTCTGTGAGTTGCTACAGGAAATTACTGAACCTGAGAAAGGGTTGTGGGAACACTGTCTTGGAGCTGACCAGAAGTGTGGGTAACCTGGGGACCTGGTACTTGCTACTGGTTTCTGGAGTGGGGAGCAGTCTTGTGGGACTGGGCCCTCACCCTGTGAGATCTGTGCCAACCCCAGGCAGCTAATGTCAGAACTGAATTAAATTGTAGGACATGCAACTGGTGTCAGAGAATTGGTTGGGAAAAACACATATCTGGAAACTAGAAATGGTGTGACTGTGGGGGAAACAGGAATTTTTTCTTTCATAATTCATTTGGTTTTAATCAAAACACGGAAAAAACCCACATCCTCAATATACAATATGATCTACTCTTAGTCCAGTACTTTATAACTAATATTTCTAAGTAGCATCAGTAGACCAGTGGGCATGTAACTTTTTTTTGACTTGCATCACCTTTTATTACACAAAATAGATTTCAGCCACATTGCACATTCATTCTTGCTATAAATCTGGCTATAAAAAAATCCCTAGGGATTCAGTCTCATCGATTTCATGATTTTCCTTTCATTGATGTCATGCCTGTATTGTAGTCAGATTCCTCTCAAAGGACAAAAGCAGATGTGGCTGCCTTGGATCAGCTGCACACAGTGCACTCCGGGCCTGCCCGCTGGAGGCCCAGCTCCCACCATCACCTGGACCACGACTGCTAGGGACTGTCAAAGCGGCAGCATGCTATCGCCTTCTCCAGCCCTTCTCCAGCAGCACAACCAGTCCTCCCAGCTGGTCCTCTGAGGACCAGCCATCGTGGTGACATGGTGGCAATTTCCCCAGGCAGCTGATCATCCTAGGCTTCTCTTTGGGCAGGCCTAGGCCAGGGCCTTAGGGGATCTCTGAGTCCGTGGTATAAATCTGAATGAGATCAGACACAATATTGTCAATGATTGGTAAGGTCGTCACCAAACTCCTGCCACCACGGCTTCTCAGCCTCGACCTCAGCGGGCACCTCAACTCCGCAGACCTGCAGGGCCAGGTAGAGCACTGCCACGGTGATGTGCTGGGCCTGGAAGTGGAGGCACAGCCCCCCGTGGTAGGTGTCCTGCAGCAGGGCCCAGGCAGTGACGGCAACGGGGGTCCGCTGCCAGGTATGGCGGTTCAGCCAGTTCTTGAGGGAAACCAGGTAGTGGAGCAGGTACTTGTGTGGATGCTGGAAGGAGACTTGGAAGCGCAGAACTCTCAGCATGAGAAGCTGACACTGCACAATGCTGTCCCTAAGCTCCCAGAAGAGGGAGTCCAATTCCAGGGGCTCATCGCTTGGGTTTAAGTACCTGTTGGACACATTGATGATGTCACGAGTCCGCAGGTGCTGCTCTTCCACTTTGCCGGCCAAGTAAATGGAAGACATGGTAATCAGGTAAGGGTCACAGGCGTCCAGTCAGGTCTCGCAGAAGAATTTATGGTAAATGGTGCAAGCAGTGGCAATGGGAATGGACTGCACCCCTAGCTTGACACTTGCCTCCATGATGAACCTCGCCGCTTGGAAGTGCACCCTGGATTCGGGCGCCGGCTGCCTCTCTGGGCACCGCGCTGCGGACCCCACTCCGCCGCCCTCCCAGGCTTCCATGAAGCTCCGGGGCTTCCAGGACACCCCGCTGCCCCTGCGAAAGGAAAGGCGGCCCCAGGGTGTGGAGGCCAGCAGAGCGCGGGGAGGCGGGTGCTCGCGGCATGCGCCCCGCCCTCGTCCCGTCCCGCAGGGCCCGCACCCTGGTGGCATGTAACTTTTATTGAGTCATGAACATCTTTGAGAACCTCTCTAGAAAAATTTCCAAGCATAAATGCCATATTTAACTGCAGAATTGCCACCCACTGATGCCCATATAGACACACCTAAACCCAACTACCTCAGATGAAGAAGTGCTGCATTAGAAACAGAAGGAAAGTAAGCTCATTTGTACAGATGGCCCATCTCCACATCGTGTAATGAAATTTCAACACAGGAAATCAACAAAGGAAGTACAGACAGCAGGGGATCCAATCTTTTGGTTTCCCTGGGCCACAATGGAAGAAGAAGAATTATCTTGTGTGACACATGAAATACACTAACACTAATGATAGCTGATGAGCTGAAAAAAAACTTGCAAAACATTTTCATAATGTTTTAAGAAAGTTTACGAATTTGTGTTGGGTCGCATTCAAAGCTGCCCTGGGTTGTGGGTTGGACAAGCTTGACATAGAGCATTATATTTGGAAATATAAAATCATAACTTTCAAACAATGGGTCGATAGTTTAGGTTTTGAATCTTAAAGTTCCAGTTGTCTTCTGAAGCTCAATAGTCGACACTATTGTACAAAAATTCTTTCTCAAATTAGTGCACACAGAGTTGCCTGAAATGGGAAAAAAAAATCCTCATTAGCCTTTCCGCTCTGCAGTGTCTTCGTTTAACAGAAATTCTTTTAGTGATTTCCTCTCCCCTTTCAATAAAAACTAGAAGCCTCCCCAAAGCCCTGGCTAACCACCAGCTGTGTTCTCAGAAGAAGAAAATCTGTTGGTGAGAAGGGGAGGGAAGAAGACAGAAAAAAATAGCAAAATATATTGGTCTTCCCATAGAATAACAAACTCTGCTCCTTCTTACCTGTGTGCAGTGAGGAATGAATCCATAGACAAGGAGTCAATCATTGTGAAACAACGACGGCACCTGGGCTGGGGCCTGCAGGGCCGCGGGCACATCTGTGTTGAGTTGCTACCATTTGACGGAGACAGAGTGGCAATTCGGAGAACATAACCTGGTCATTTGGTCTTCTATCTATTTATAAAAAAGGAATTATTTCTCTTTCAATGCTCCATCCAGAAAATAGTTACTTCACATTTAAAATAAAATATACATTCTATCCTTCGGGAATTTTATAACTCTATGGTATTTTCTCTCCCTCCTGCTACTGGGTATTTTCCCGAAAAGATTTTAAACAGAATTTTATTTTATTTTACTTCATTTATTTATTCTATTTTGAGATGGAGTCTTGCCTGTCACCTAGGCTGTAGTCCACTGGCACAATCTCGGCTCACTGCAACCTCCCCCTCCCAGGTTGAAGTGATTTTCCTGCCTCAGCCTCCCAAGTAGCTGGCACTACAGGCATGTGCCACCCCACCTGGATAATTTTTGTATTTTTAGTAGAGATGGGGTTTCACCATGTTGCCCAGGCTGTTCTTGAACTCCTGACCTCAGGTGATCCACCCGCCTCAGCCTCCCAAAGTTCTGGGGTTATAGGCATGAGTCACAATGCCCAGCTAGAATTTTAAATAATAGCATGATCCCATCCTTTACATTTACAAAGCATCCTGAAATTATGTCTTTAGCTAATTACTAATATGCAACCTTGGTATGAGTAGATTCCAGTACTTGATATTTCTCCAAAGAAGATACACAAAAGCCAGCAAGTGCATGCAAAGATGCTTGATGTCACTAGTCATTAGGGAAGTGTAAATCAGAACCACTGCGAGATCCCATTTCACACCCAGTGGGATGGCTGTTATTAAAAAACAAGTGGTGGCTGGGCAGAGTGGCTCATGCCTGCAATACCAGCCCCTTTGGGAGGCCAAGGCAAGCAGATTGCTTGAGCTTGGGATTTGAGACCAGCCTGGGTCCATGGTGAAATGCTGTCTCTACAAAAAATTAGCTGGGTGTGGTGGTGTGGGCCTGTAGTCCCACCTACTTGGAGGGCTGAGGCAGGAGGATGGCTTGAGACCCAGATGTCAGGGCTGCAGTGAGCCAAGATTGCACCACTCCATTCCAGCTTGGGTGACAAAGTGATACACTGTCTCAAAAAATACCAACAACAAACAAAAACCAAACAGAGAAATAAAAAACAATAGGAAAAAAAGTGGTGGCATACCCCTGTAGTTCCAGCTACTCTGGAGGCTGAGGTGGGAGGATTGCTTGGGCTCAGGAAGTCGAGGCTGTGGTGAGCTATGATTGCACCACTGCACTCCAGCCTAGATGACCAAGTGACACCGTGTCTCAAAAACCAAAACAAACCAAAGAAAAGCTGGTTGACTTCAATCAATATAGAAAAAACCGGAATGATGAGTGTTGGTGAGGATGTAGAAAAACTGGAATCCAGGTGCATTGGTGGTGGGAATGTAAAATGATGCAGCTGCTATGGAAGACAACATGGCAATTCCCAAAAAAAACTAAAGATAGAGTGACCATATGATACAGCAATCCCACACTACACATATATCCAGAATTGAAAGCAGACTCAAACAGACACTTGCATACCAATGCTCATAGCTGCATTATTCACAATAGCCAAAGGACAGAAACAACCCAAGTGTCCACCGACAGATGAATGGATAAGCAAAATGTGGTCTATCCAGGCAATGGAATATTATTCAGCTTTAAAAAGAAGGGAAATTCTGACACATGCTTCAACGTAGATGGACGTTAAAAACATCATGTTAAGTGAAATAAGCCAGACATAAAGGGACAATGTCCTATTACTCCACTTATATGAGATACTCAGAAAAGGCAAAGTCATAGAGACAGAAAGTAGAGTCGTGGTAGCAGGCACTGGGTGTAGGAGGGAATGTGGAGTTACTGTTTAATGGGTACATAGTTTCTGTTTGGGCTGATGAAATAGTTTGAAGATGGTGATGGTTGCACAGAATTGTGAATGTAGCTAACAGCACTAAATTGTACACTTAAAAAAGGTTAAAATGGTAAATTTTATAATAAAGAAAATTAATTTCAGCAAAACATATTTAATAATTCACTTTTAAAAAATCAGTCCATGATTTTTAAGGCAGAAATCAAACTATGAGCTGGGAGATTGACCTGAAGAACTCCTGTATTCCCGCTGGTGCAGTCCTGAGTCAGGGCTCACAACTGCGGCAGCGCTTGCCTCTTTGCGCCTCCCCTCTCACTCAAGGAAACACAGATGTTCCTATTTCTTAGCCTTGGAAGAATGTGAGATTTCCGCATGTACACATAAAACCAGATGTTTAAAAAACATATCTCTTTTCTCCAACTATGTTTGGATTTTGCATTAAAATATTCAAATACTCCGGCACTACACTGGGAAAAAATCCTTAGGATGTGACGATTTGCTGTAGAACTGATTGCATTTCACCTGTTTTAATTTTGAAGATATTGGAGAAATATTTTTGAAGTACATGTTAACAGTGTTGAGAAATCTCACAACTCAACATGAGAGACAAGACATGGGGAAGAATGTACTCAAGTGTAGCTGAGGTTAAACAGAGAAAGTGATAATAGGAGGAAAGATCTGAAAGTTTGGCTAATTTAAGCTCCCATCCATCAGAGGACTGACTTATCCTTCAAATAGAAAAAAGTTGAAAATCTTGACTTTCAATTCCTGAGGGAGGGAGTAAATGACGCTAAAAACAACCCTATAAGGTATCAGAATGCTGACAAAGATATCAACTTAATTTCCATAAGTAACAATATTACCTAAATCTGATCCCAAAGGCCTAGAGCTGGCAAAGAGTGAATAAAGTCTACCTCTTAAAATCTGATACACATCAACATAGCAAAAGGCATAAGGAAGCAACTCTCACTCTAGCAAAGAGCATCTCTGACATTTAAATGACAAATGCCCTATTACTTTTCTCTCTAAAATAATTCTACAACTATCAAGAACTCCTTGCTTAAAGGAGTTCCTCCTGAAGTATTAAAGAAAACATCAATTATTTTTCAGAAAAAGAGCTTATGAAAATAATTTCCAAGATGTTTTTCAACCTATGGATAAAGACTGGATTTGTCTTTAACCTCCATATTAATTGGTGATGATCATAACATTGACTAAAAGATCCCTAACATGGGTTATTGGTAGTTACAGCTTCCATCCATTAGCAAGGCAGGCTGGAGTCTTCCTGTGCTCCTTCAGGGCGGCTCTCAGAGGACGAGGACTCACGCCAGGGAGGACGCCTGATGGTCTCTATCCCGGGAAGCTCACTTTACTAGAGTTTGAAATTGCAAACACATGCTTGGAAGATGAGGGAGAAACACTTAGAAAGATCCCAAAAACTTGACAGAAAAGCAGAATGGATCCCAGCCCCTCCAGGCATGGGCACTGCTAACCGGCACAGTCTCCTCTTGAAGCAGGCTCCCCCACTGCACACCCAGACTCCCCATCACACGCCTTACTTTTTTCAAAACTTTGTTTATGTTTAAAGATAGGGTCTTGCTCAGTCACTCAGGCTGGAGTGCAGTGGCCCGACCATGGCTCACTACAACCTCCTGGGCTGAAGTGCTCCTCCTTCTTTGGCCTCCCAAAGTGAATACCATATATTATGATAGGAGAACATTATAGTCACAAGATGTCAAATGCATTCTGGGAGACCTGAATTCTTGGGTTAGCAATAGTTTTGATCAGACTTTACCCATAGGTAATATCTTTTGTGAAGACTGTTGTCTTATGGACCATATTCCTAGGGAAATACATAGGTATTTAGGAGGAAACATTTACCAACTCACATAGGAGGATAACCTGATAATGAACCCCAGGCTTCTATACATACAGTTTGTCCATACATAGAGTCAGCATTGTTAACTGTTCAATAATCACCTCTTCATTGCCTATTCCCGTCGTGCAAGTGGATATCTTAGATGTCAAGAGCAATAATTTACCCCTTCGATCTATATTAATCTTGAATATGCCCCTAGCTCCAGCAAACATTAAATTTTCAAAACACCATTGTCATTTGTCTCCCCCAGAGGTGATACTCAAACATAAGGCCCCATCTGCAAAAACAACTAAAATATCTGCACTAGAGTTAGACGCTGACTACACGCAATCTAGCACCTGCCAGAAGCCTCGTGAAAACACCTGATATTTAAGAAAAGTAGTCCAGTGGACCTGCCAGCTGTTCCCTCTTCCACGCTGTCCAGGTCATGTCCCTGCTAAATCTAATCACCTAAAAGCACAGGAGCAGGGCCCACACAGGACCCGGCAGGGATGCCTCCCTTCTTTATGTTTGGACCATCTGCTAGGTGAGCTTACTTCCAGGGAAATTGTAAATATATCACACTATTCTTCTTCTTCTTCTTCTTTTTTTTTTTTTTTTTTTTTTTTTTTTTTTTTGAGACGATGTTTCGCTCTTGTCATCCAGGCTGGAGTGCAATGGTGCAATTTTGCCTCACTTCAAACTCTGCCCCCCAGTTTTAAGAGGTTCTCCTGTTGCAGCCTCTCCAGTAGCTGGGATTACAGGTGCCTGCCACCACACCCAGCTAATTTTTGTACTATTAGTACAGACGGGGTTTCACCATGTTGGCCAGGCTGGTCTCGAATTCCTGACCTCACGGGATCTGCCCGTCTCAGCCTCCCAAAGTGCTCAGATTACAGGTGTGAGCCATTGTGCACGGCCAATATATCACTCTTATCAGAAGATGAAAGTTACATATCTCAAATGTTATCTTTTTGTCTGTCATTCCTTCTGGGAAACTCAGTTCCCAATGACAGGCCTAGCTCTTCCTGTTTGTCTGGAACTATTGATGCCGTTTCCTCCTTTGTTCAGGTAAGTCAAATGGGTCTGACTGTCATGGCTTCCCCTTACTTAGAGCAAGTGGAAGTCTGGGTCCCACAACAGTGTAAATTTTCTCAGCTTCTAGGATGAAATTCGTATTTCATATCTTGTTCTAACTCTCTTTTCCTCTCCTGTATGCACGCAGCATGCACACCAAGCCATACTGGAGCATCCTGACTCATCAGGTAAGCGCCATGGCCCTGGGTCACTGCTCCTCGGTACTCTGACTGGGCTTCTTCCTTCTCTTTAATCTGGAAAAGATGATTTTTAAATCATTCCTTACATGAAGAGTGACTTCAGGCTTTAATGAAGAAAACAACATCAATGTTTATTAAAACCCAGGCAAAACCTAAAAACTGAGTCTAAGATGAATGGAAACTTAAAGTGACCATCAAAATATACTTATCTGATAAGAATTTGAACCAGGAAAGGCCAACTAAAGAGAAGTCTCTTTCAGTTGGGATCAATATATTTTAGAATCAATAGTGAAAGAAATTTTTTTTGGTTGGGAGTTTATGTTGAACAAAAAATAATAATTACTTTAAATTTAGTAAATTATAGTTTATAATTGTAACTGTGGGATAATCCTTACAATATACAAAGAATTAATAAACTGTTGTTTCTTTTCTTTCTTTTTTATTTTTTTTAGAAAGTTACAATAGTTTTCATTTCAGCTTGACTTTTATAGCAGGATGCCGAGGGTCAGGTTTTACAAAAATATATAAGGACCTAACCAATTTTCCAATGTGCCTCTCTTAAACTTTTCTTTTTATTTTTTTTCTGAGATGGAGTCTCACTCTGTTGCCCAGGCTGGAGTGCAGTGGTGCAATCTCGGCTCACTGCAACCTCCACCTCCCAGGTTCAAGAAATTCTCCTGCCTCAGCCTCCCAAGTAGATGGGATTACAGGCGTGCACCACCACATCTGACTAATTTTTGTATTTTTAGTAGAGATAGGGTTTTGCCATGTTTGCCAGGCTGGTCTCGAACTCCTGACCTTGAGTGATCCTCCTGCCTCAGCCTCCCAAAGTGCTGAGATTAGAGGCATGAGCCACTGCACCCGGCCCTCTTAAACTTTTCATACTGAAATCACTCTTACAGTGCCAAGGCAAAGAGTGTGCAAGACACTGATGATGAAGACTGGATAGATAGGGATAGAAACACTTCATCAGGGAGGGATGTTTGAGGAAGGCTTACTGTGCAAGAACTGGTTCTTCGAAGAATATTCTCGTTTTATGACAAGGCTGCTACTCAACCTTATAGCCATGGGGACTCTGAAAACAAAGGTTCTGGGAAATGGAAGCTGACTTTGAAAGCAGAGAGCAGGCATGATCTCTGCCTTACCTCTCCAACTATGTACTTCCCACTGATGACCTTCAAAGCAACACACAGCGGCCTTGTCATCCAAAGGAAAGATATATTTTGCCTCAATGGGCACATGACTTTTATTTGTGTATGTCTGAAATACAATGACCTGAAGAAGAAAAAAATCCATACTTCTGATGAGACCACATGGACTACATTTGCAGGTACAAGGACAAATTCAAATGATTTTGCGTATTTATTTGAATTTCCTTGAATTTGTATCATGCCCCTCAAATTCCCAACCCTGGTGTCACTTTTGCAATGGAGAGCCAATGTCATGTGATAAAATGCACCAGTCCCACGGTTAGGTGGTTCATTCATGTCCAACTGGAATAGAAGCCACCTGAAGTCTTACCAACACTGAATTAGCAGAGGCAATATAGCTGTTGTTAAGACAGCTGGAAAATCACCCCTTTCATGTTCTGAGCTTTGATGCCTCCTTCGTGCCATGTTGGCTGGAAACGATTCCAGAATAGTCCTTCTCTCCTATCGGCTCTCAGGACTTGGCATTTCCTCCTGGGGACATCTCTGTGGCTTTCCCCCTCTCTACACAGCCCTCATCTAGCTCCTCATTTCTGTGTGCCTTGGTTCTTCCAGAATCAAGTTTTCTCCACTACTCTCTGTTATCTCTATTATCTAATTAATCTTTCCAACAGACTGTTTTCATCACTCCCTCACTCAGGAAAAGGCAGGAGGCTTTGAATATTTGAAAATTAAGAAAAAAAAAACCCCAGACATATAATAAACAGTAAGATATTAAACATGTGACAATAATAAGGCAAAAATATTTAATTATTTGTAATCAATAATCCAGGGAAGAGACCAAATTGAAAAATTTAAAAAAAAATCTAACTTATTTGAAAACATTGTCCACACCTGGATTTTCTGCAAGCTTGGCTGTCCCTAGGGTGGGTAGGGTGCCAGGGAAAATTTTTCATGGAGTTCTTGTTAATATAAGAAATTTGAGTCTCCCCAAATCAGCAGGTCAGCATCCTCCTGGAGACAGAATCTTTTGCCATCCTGCAAATGAATACCTTGCTGGCCAGTGGGTAGGATTCCTGGAATCCCTGTCTGGCCAGCCACCCAAGATGAGGCGAAGGTGCATCCTGGAGTTTCTCAGTAATCTGGGCTACGCTGCCTGCAATGAATTGTTAGAGTGTGCCTGGTGGGGAGACACCAGGACTGGGGACCACCTAGCACTGACTGGGAGGATGTCAGACACTGTCCCCTTGACTGTGCATGGAACTCCTTCTCATCCTCTCTTGGATTTACTCAGTTTTACAAAACCCTCAAAGGCATGTATGCTTGCTCTGAGTTTGATGATCAGGACAACTATCTAATTGTACTTGGTGTAGACTAATGTTTCTTCCTACTCAGTAGCCTTCCTGCCTGTTCTAGTTAGCAGGTCCGCCTTTGCAAAGGAGTCCCCAGGAGGCCAAATATCACGCCTGTGTCAGCCACACTCTTTTTTGTATATCACACTGTGTGGCTGGGCACTTACAAAGGTCAATAATTTTAGACTATAATAAAAGTATTTTTACCAGGCCTTAGAACAGAAACTAATATAATGTAACAAATTTTGACATCTTAATTTTCTTCCATTAGATAAAACCATGATGTAACTAAGCTTAACATCTTTAATCTCTTCCAAGAAGGGTCAAAATGTATGAGCCATGCACATATAAGAATCTACATTCCAGCCTCTGCTTGGATACTCAAGCTCGGTCTACAGTCCGGCTGTTTCATCATAAAATGAGTGAGAAATTCACTGCTAAATTGAAAGTTATTTTGGGGCAAACTTCCCCAGGGAACAGGCCCCTTTGGGTTTGAAATATCAAATGGTACAAGTCATCTAATCACAAGTAAGGCATGGAGGACACATGCCTACCCTGTAACCTCGTTATAATTTGTTTTGCAGGTAAGGACAATCCCTAAGTTCTTTATATTTATTAGATGGAATAGCCACAACACTGATGGGCAGATATTATTATTTCCATTTTACTCATGAGGAAAGTGACACAAAGAAGTTAAGTTACTTTCCCAAACTCACAGCACTAGAAAGAATAAGCAAGAATTCAAAGCTAAGCCTTACAAATTCCAGATCCTTTGCTTTGTATAATCTACCATGCTGCACTATGGTGTACTGGTTAAGAATCTGGACGTTGGAATCAGAATGATTTGAGTCTGAGAGAATTAAGTACTGCATGTGGAAAACTCGGCTGAGGGCCTGACACTTAGGAAATGGTAACCATTATGTTAACAGATCCTAAGTGGTGCCAAAGGGATTGGCGGAAATGGAACATGTCCCATGAGCCCACACCTGTGTCCTTTCAAATTCTATGATGTTGCTCTGAGCTGCCTTGAGGATGTGCGTATGGGTAAGAGTGGGCCCAGGGGTGGAGGTCAGCTGTATCCAAACTGTTCTTCTCACCCGACACCCCATATCTCCAGTTTAAGGCGATCACTAAAATGGAACTAATTTTCCCCTACAGGGACCAGAACATCATGGAACTGTACTTGAATGTTCTTAATCTCCTAAAAGGCCTTTATCATTGTTCAATGCAATCTTCAGAGTCAGAAGCTGATGATGAGGCCAAATCTTAGCAAACCAATTCAATTTTATGAAACCAAAAACTTAACTTTCCAAGCTCTTACCACTGCATCTGGCCACCTGGAACCCCTGAAACGCTGCCTTCCATCCTGTGAAGGTGGATGATGAACCTGCTGCGAGCTCCTGGCTGTGGCCCCAGCACCCACATTAGATAACCCTCCTGTGATGCTTGTTTTCGCTTTGACCAGTTCTTACTCACTTGGTATTTAATGCTCTTTCTGAGCTTCAGAGCAGATAATTTAATAAGTTGGGGTTTACTCCTTCTCTTTCAACACCCGGAGTTATTATTATTATCATTATTTTTTGAGACAGGGTCTCATTCTATCACCCAGGTTGGAGTGCAGTGGTGTGGTCTTGGCTCATTGCAACCTCTGCCTCTTCCAACCTGCCCTCCTGTGACTTTGTCCATTCTAGTAATGGCAAGACATCCTCCCATCTCAACCTCTCAAGTAGTTGGGACTACAGGTCCACCCCACTGCGCTGAGCCAATTTTTGTAGAGATGGGGTTTCTCTATGTTCCCCAGGCTGGCCTTTAACTCCTGAATTCAAGCAATCTTAATGTCATGGCCTCCCTTCCAAAGTCCTGGGATTACAGGCATGAAACACCACACCTGCCCACCAACCTGGTATATATGATAGCAAAATGTGTATATTTTAGAAGCTAACAAATATTTGGGAGAACAGTAGAATTCATCTATCTTTGGGAAGAAAGTGCTTTGATCACTGTCTGGCAAAACATAACGGCGATATACATGTTTATTACATAGAAATTGATGTATATTCAAACATATATATTTTATGTATATCTACCATACATAAAAATGAAATCAAATGGAATCGAATGGAATCGAATCAAATGGATTCGAATGGCATTGAATGAAATCAAATGGAATACAGTGAAGTGGAGTGGAGTAGAATGGAGTGGAAAGGAATGGGGTGGAATAGAATTGAATGGAGAGGAGTGGAGTGGAGCAGAGTGGAAAGGAGTGGAATGGAATGGAATGGGAAAAAATGGAATACGATGGAGTGGAGAGGAATGGAGCGCAGTGGAATGGAGTGGAATGGAAAGGAGTGGAGTGGAATGGAATGGAGTGGAGTGGAATGTAGTGGAATGGAATGGAATGGATTGGAATGGAATGGAGTGGAGTGGAATGGAGTGGAATGGAATGGAATGCAATGGAGTGGAATGGAAAGGAATGGAATGGAATCGAATCACATGGAATTGAGTCGAATCAAATCAAATTGAATCTAATTGAATCGAATGGAAAAAGTGGAATCAAATGGAATCGAATGTAATCAAATCGAATGGATTCGAATTGCATCGAATGGAATTGAATGGAATGCGGAGAAGTGGAGTGGAGTGGAATGGAGTGGAATGGAAAGGGGTGGAATGGAATTGAATGGAGTGGAGGGGAGTGCTGTGGAGGGAACTGGAGTGGAATAGAATGGAATGGGAAGGAATGGAATTGAATGGAGTGGAGTGGAGTAGAGTGGAGTGCAGGGGAGTGGAGTGGAGAGTAGTAGAATGGATTGGAGTGGAATGGAGTGGAGTGAAATGGAATGGAATGGAATGAACTGGAATGGAATGGAATGGAATCGAATCACAAGGAACCAAATCAAATCGAATCAAGTGGAAAAAAATGGAATCAAATGGAAATGATCGAATGAATTCGAATGGCATCAAATGGAATCGAATGGAATGTGTTGAAGTGGAGTGGAATGGAGAGCAATGGAATGGAATGGAATGCAGTGGAATAGAATTGAATGGAGTGGAGTGGAGTGGACTGGAGTAGAATGGAAAGGAATGGGAAGGAATGGAATTGAACGGAGAGGAGTAGAGTGGAGTAGAGTGGAGTGGAATGGAATGGAAGGGAATTGCATGGAATTGAATTGAATCGAATTGGATGGAAAAAATGGAACCGAATGGAATTGAATGGAATCGAAACAAGTGCATTCAAATGGCTTCAAATGGAATCAAATGGAAGGTGGTGAATTGAAACAAAACGAATGGAAAAAATGGAACTGAATGGAAATGAAAGGACTAGAATTCAACAAATTCGAACGGCATCGAATGGAATCGAATGCAATGCGGGGAAGTAGAGTGGAGTACGAATGGAAGTGAATGCAATGTGGGGAAGTGGAATGGAGTGGAATAGAATGGGGTGGAATGGAATTGAATGGAGTGGAGTGAAGCGGACCAGAGTGAAATGGAATGGAATAGGAAGGAATGGAATGGAACAGAGTGGAGTGGAGTGGAATGGAGTGGAATGTAGAGCAGTGGAATGGAGTGGAGTGGATTGGAATGGACCATAGTGGAGTGGAATCAAATGGAATGGAGTGGAGTGGAATGGAATAGAAAGGAGTGGAGAGTAATGGAATGGAATTTATTGGAGTAAAGTGGAGTGGAGTGGAATGGAGTGGAGTGGAGTGGAATGGAATGGAATGGAATGGAATGGAACGGAATGGAGTGGAGTGGAATGGAATGGAATCAAATCTGATGGAATCGAATCACATGGAATTCAATCAAATCGAATGGAATCGAATGGAAAAAAGGGAATTGAATGGAATCAAAGGTAACTGAATTGAATGGATTCGAATGGCATCGAATGGAATTGACTGGAATGTGATGAAGTGGAGTGGAGTGGAATGGAGTGGAATGGAATGGGGTGGAATGGAATTGAATGGAGTGGAATGGAGTGGAGTGACATGGAGTGGATTGGAGTGGAGTGGAGTGGAATGGAATGAAATGGAATGGAGTGGAATGGAACAGAATGGAATGGAATGAAATCTAATCACATGGAATTGAATCAAATCGAATTAAATGGAAAAAATGGAACCAAAGGGAATCGAATCGAGTGGATTCCAACGGCATCGAATGGAATCAAATGGAAGGTGGTGAAGTGGAGTGGTGTTGAGTGGAATGGTGTGGAATGGAATTGAATGAATTGGCATGGAGTGGAATGGAGGGGACTGGAATGGAAAGGAATGGAAAGGGAAGAAATGGAATTGAATGGAGTGCAGTAGAGTGGAGTGCAGTGGAGTGGAGTGGAGTGGATTGCAGTGGAATAGAGTGGAGCGGAATGGAATGGAATGGAATGGAATGGCATGGAATGGGATGGAATGGAATGGAATCACATGGAATCGAATCAAATCAAATGGAATTGAATCAAATTGAATCAAATGGAAAAAATGGAATTGAATGGAATCTAATCGAATGGATTAAAATGGCATAGAATGGAATCGAATGAAATGCGGTGAAGTGGAGTGGAGTGGAATGGAGTAGAATGAAATGGAATGGGAAGGAAAGGAACTGAATGCAGTGGAGTGGAGTGGAGTGGCACGGAGTGGATTGGAGTGGAATGGAGTGGAGTGGAATGGAATGGAATGGAATGGAATGGAGTGGAATGGAATGGAATTGAATGGAGTGGAATGGAACGGAATGGAATGGAATGGAATCAAATCACATGGAATTGAATCAAATCGAATTGAATGGAAAAAATGGAACCAAATGGAATCGAACGGAATCGAATCAAGTACATTCGAAGGGCATCAAATGGAATCAAATGGAAGGCGGTGAAGTGGAGTGGTGTTGAGTGGAATGGTGTGGAGTGGAATTGAATGGAGTGGAGTGGAACGGAGATGACTGGAATGGAAAGGAATGGAATGGGAAAGAATGGAATTCAAAGGAGTGGAGTGGAGTGCAGTGGAGTGGATTGGAGTGGAATAGAGTGGAGATGAATGGAATGGAATGCAATCGACTTTGAATAGCCATGGAATGGAATGGAATCCGCAGGGAATCAAATCAAATAGAATGGAATTGAATCAGATAGAATCAAATGCAAAAATGGAATTGAATGGAATCTAATCAAATGGATTAAAATGGTGTAGAATGGAATCAAATGGAATGCAGAGAAGTGGAGTGGAGTGGAGTAGACTGGAGTGGAATGGAATGGAATGGGAAGGAATGGAATTCAATGGAGTGGAGTGGAGTGCAGTGGAGTGGAATGGAGTGGCATGGAGTGGATTGGAGTGGAATGGAGTGGAGTGGAATGGAATGGAATGGAATGGAAACGAATGGAATAGAATCAAATTGAATCGATTCAAATCAAATGGAAAAAATGGAATCGAATGGAATTGAAAAGATTCGAATGGCATCGAATGGAATCAAATGGAATGCCATGAAGTGGAATGGAGTGGAATGGAGTGGAATGGAAAGGAGTGGAAAGGAATTGAATGAAGTGGAGTGGAGTGCAGTTGAGTGGAGAGGAGTGGAGTGGAATGGACTGGAGTGGAGTGGATTGGAGTGGAATGGAGTGGAGTGGAATGGAATGGGATGTACTGGAAGGGAATGCAATAGAATGGAATTGCATGAGGTTGAATTGAATCGAATTGAATGGAAAAAAAAGGAGTCGAATGGAATTGAACGGAATCAAATCAAATGGATTCAAATGGCAGCGAATGGAATCGAATGGAATGCGATGAAGTGGAGTGTAGAGGAATGGAGTGCAACGGATTTTGGTGGAATGGAATTGAATGGACTGGAGTGGAATGTAGTGGACAGGAGTGGAATGGAATGTAATGGGAAGGAATGGAATTGAACGGAGTGGAGTACAGTGGAATGGAGAAAAGTAGTGTGGAAAGGAATGGAGTGGAATGTGATGGAGTGGAATGGAGTGGAATGGAATGGAATGGAACAGAGTGGAGTGGAGTGGAGTGAAATGGAGTGGAGTGGAGTGTAATGCAATGGAATGGAATGGAATGCAATAGAGAGGAGTGGAGTGGAGTGGATTGGAGTGCAGTGTAGTGTAGTATAGTATAGGGCAATGGAATGGAATGGAAAGGAATGGAGTTGAGTGGAGTGGTGTGGAGTGGAGAGGAGTGGAGTGGAATGGAGAGGAGTGGAGTGCAGTGAAGTGGACCAGATTAGAGTGGAATGGAATGCAGTGGAGTTGAATGGAATGTAATGAAGTGGAATTTAGTGGAATGAAGTGGAATGGAATGGAATGGAGTAGAGAGGAATGGAATGGAGTGTAGTGGAATGGAAGGGATTGTAGTGGATTGGAGTGGAACGGAATGGAATTGAGTGGTAGGGACTGGAATGGAATGGAATGGAATCAAATCAAAGGGAATCTAATCTAATCAAAATGAATCACATCGAATTGAATGGAAAAAATGGAATTGAATGGAATCGAAAGGAATCAAATCGAATGGAATAGAATAGCATAGAATGGAATCAAATGGAATGAGGTGAAGTGGAGTGGAGGGGAATGGATTGGAATGAAATGGGTTGGAAAGGAATCGAACGGACTGGAGTGGATTGAACTGGAGTGGAGTGGAATGGGACGGAGTGGAAAGTAGTGGAGTGGAGTGGATTGGTGTGGAATGCAGTGGAGTGGAGTGGAGCGGAGGGGATTGGAGTGGAATGGAGTGGAGTGGAATGGAATGGAATGGAATGGAATGAATTGGACCGGAATGCAATGGAATGGAATGGAATAGCATAAAATCGAATCAAAGCAAATTGAATCGATTTGAATCGAATTGTATGGAAAAAAATGGAATCAAATGGAATCCAATAGAATGGATTCGAATAGCATCGAATGGAATTGAATGGAATGCGGGGAAGTGGACTGGAGTGGAATGGAATGGGGTGGAATAGAATTGAATGGAGTGGACTGGAGTGGATTGGAGTGGAATGGAATGGAGTGGGAATGAATGGAATTGAATGGAGTGGAGTGGAGGTGAGTGCAGTGGAATGGAGAGGAATGGAGTGAAGTGGAGTGGAATGGACTAGAGTGGAATGGAATGGTGCAGACAGGAATGGAATGAAGTGGAGTGGAAGGGAATGGAATGGAATTGACTGGAATGGAGTGGAATGGAATGGAATAGAGTGGAATGAAATGGAAAGGAATGGAATGGAATGGAGTAGAATGGAATGGAATGGAATAGAGTGGAGTGGAGTCGAGTGGATTGGAATGGAATGGAACGGAATGAGTTGAAACGAAATTGAATTGTAGGGAATCGAATCAAATCAAATCAAATCAAATCACATCAAAACGAATAGAATGGAAAAAATGGAAGTGAATGGAATAGAATGGAATCGAATCAAATGAATTTGAATGGCATCAAATGGAGTCAAATGGAATGTGGTGAAGTGGAGTGGAGAGGAGTGGAATGGAGTAGAATGGAGTGGAATGGAGTGGAATGGAGTGGAGTGGAAGGGAGTGGAAAGGAGTGGAATGGCGTGGATAGGTATGAAATGGAATGCATTGGAATGGAGTGGAATGGAATGCAATGAATGGAATCGGATGGAATTGAAACGAATCAAATCAAATTGAATCGAATGGACCAAATGGAATCAAATGATATCAAACAAAATTGAATCAAACGGAATTGAATGGAATAGAATGAAATCAAATGGAAAGTGGTGAAGTGGAGTGTAGTGGAATGGAGTTTAATGGAATGGGTTGGAATGGAATTGAATGGACTGGAGTGGATTGGAGTGGAATGAAGTGGAGTGAGTGGAGTGGAATGGAGAGGAAAGTAGTTTAGTGGAGTGGATTGGAGTGGAATGGAGTGGAGTGGAATGGAATGGATTGGACTGAAATGGAATGGAATGGAATCAAATGGAATTGCATGGAATCAAATTGAACCAAATCTAATCAAATTTAATAGAATCAAAAGGGAAAAGTGGAATCAAAAGAAATCAAATTCAATGGATAGGAAAGGCATCGAATGGAATTGAATGGAATGCGATGAAGTGGAGTGGAGTAGAATGGAGTGGAATGGAATCGGATGAAATGGAATTGAATGGAGTGGAGTGGTGTGGAGTGGACGGAGTATAATGGAATGGGAAGAAATGGAATTGAATGGAGTGGACTTGAGTGGGGTGGAATGGAGAGGAATGGAGGGGAAACGAGTGGAATGGAGGGGAAAAGAGAGGAATGGAGGGGAAAGTACTGGAAAGGAGTGAAGTGGAGGGGAATGGAGTAAAGTGGAATTGAATGCAGTGGAGTGGAATGGAATGGAATGGGCAGGAATGGAATTCAAAGGGGTGAATTGGAATTGAGTGCTGTGGATTGGAGTAGACTGCATTGTAGTGGATTGGAGAGGAAAGAAGTGGAGTGGAATGGAATGGAATGCAATGGAGTGGAGTGGAATGGAATGGAGTGGAGTAGAATGGAATTTAATGGAGTGGAGTGGAATTGAGTGGAATGGAGAGTAATGGAGTGGAGTGGACTGGAGCGAAGTGGAGTGTAGTGCATTGGACTGTAGGGGATTGAAGTGGCTTGGAGTGCAATGGAGCGGAGTGGAATGGAATGGAATGGAATGGAGTGGAATGGAATCGAATCATATGGAACTGAATCAAATCGAATTGAATGAAATTGAATGGAAAAAATGGAATCCAATGGAATCAAATCGAATGGATTCGAATGACATTGAATGGAATCGAAATGAATGCAGTGAGGTGGAGTTGAGTGGAGTGGAGTGGAATGGAATGGGATGAATGGAATTGACTGGAGAGGAGTGGAATGGAATGGAATGGAAAGCAATGGAATTGAACAAAATGGAGTGTAGTAGAATGTAGTGGATTGGAGTGGAGTGCCGGGGAGTGCAGTGAAATGAAGAGGATTGTAGTTGAATGGAATGGAATGGTATGGAACGTACTGGAATGGAATGGATAAGAACGGAATGGAATGGAATCGCATGGAATTGAAAAGAATCAAATCGAATTGAATAGAATCAAATGGAAAAAATGGAGGCAAATGGAATCGAATGTCATAGAATCGAACGGTTTTGAATGTCAGTGAATGGAAACGAATGGAATGCGATGAAGTGGAGTGGAGTGGAGTGGAAAGGAGTGCAATGGAATAGGGTGGAACAGAATTTAATGGAACAGAGTGGATTGGAGTGGACTGGAGTGGAATGGAAAGGGAAGGAATGGGATTGAAAAGAGTGGCGTGCAGTGGAGTGGAGTGGCACGGAGTGGAGTGGAGTGGAGTGGAGTGGAATGGAGTGGAATGGAATGGAGTGGAATGGAGTGGATTGGAATGGAATGGAGTGCAGAGGAATGGAATGGAATGGTATAGAGTGGACAGGAATGGAGTGGAGTGGATTGGAATGGAATGGAATGTAAGGGAATGGAACTGAATGGACTGGAATGGAATGGAATAGAATGGAATCGCAGGGAATCAAATTGGATTGAATCGAATCGAATGGAAAAAATGAAATCAAATGAAATTGAATGGAATCGAATTGAATGTAAACAATGGAATCCAAAGGAGACAAATGGAATCGAATCAAATGGTTTTGAATGGCATCAAATGAAACGGCATAGAAGGCAGTGAATTGGAGTGGAGTGGAATAGAGAGGAATGAATTGGAATGGAGTGTAGTGGAATGGCGTGGATTCCAGTGGAGTGGAGTAGATTGGATTGGAATGGAATGGAATAGACTGGATTGGAGTGGTGCAGAGTGGAGTGGAATGGAGTGCAAAGGAATGGAGTGGAGTGAAGTCCAGTTGAGTGGAATGGAATGGAGTGGAGCAGAGTGGAATGCAAAAGAATGAAGTGGATTGTTATGGAATGGAATGGCGTGGAATGGCGTGGAATAGAATGAAATTAAATCGCATGGAATGATACCAAATCAAATCGAATCAAACGGAAAATTATGAATCCAATGGAATCGAAAGGATTCTAAAGGAATGGATTCGAAAGGCATTGAATGGAATGTAAAGGAATGCAGTGGAGTGGAGTGGAGTGGAATGTTTTAGAGTAAACTTGGGTGGATTGGAAATCTATGGAGAGGAGTGCAGTGAAGTGGATTGGAGTGGAATGGAGTGCAATGGACTGGAGTGGACTGGAATGGATTGGAGTGGAGTGGATTGGATCGGAGCGGAGTGCCGTGGAGTGGACTAGAGTGAGGTGGAGTGGAGTGCATTGGAGTGGAATGGAGTGGAGTGGGGTGCAATGGAATGGAATGGCATCAAATCGCATGGTAATGAATCAAATGGAATCAAATCGAATGGAAATAATGGAATCGAAGGCAAACGAATGGAATCGAATTGCACTGATTCTACTGACTTCGAACAAAATGAAATGAAACGCGCTGAAGTGGAGTGGAGTGGAATGTATTGGGTGGAATGGAATAGAATGGTGTGGAGTGGAGTGGAGTGACCCAGGAGTGGAATGGGAAGAAATGGAATTGAAGGGAGTGGAGTGGAGTGGAATGGGGCATAATGGAGTGGAATAGTGTGGAGTGGAGTAGAGTGGAATGGGTTGGAATGGAATGCAGAGGACAGGATTGGAGTGCGTTGGACTGGAGTGCAGTAGAGTTGAGTGGAGTGGAGTGGATTGAAATAGAGCGGAGCAGAGTGGGATGGAATTGAATCACATGGTATTGAATCAAATCGAATGGAATTAAATCGAATGTAAAAATGGAATCAAATGCAAACGAATGGAGTCAAACCACATTGGTTAAACTGACATCGAATAATATCAAAAGAAATGTGGTGAAGTGGAGTGGAGTGTAACGAAATGGAGTGGAATGAAATTGAATGGAGTGGGGTCGATTGGAGTCTACTGGAGTGGAATAGAATGGAATGGAAAGGAATGGAATAGAATGGAGTGAAGTGTAGTGCAGTGAAATGGAGTGGAAAGGAATGGAATGGAATGGAATGGAATCAAATGGAATCGAAGTGAATCGCATCTAATGAAATTGATCGGAAAAAATGGAATGGAGTAGAATCGAATAATATGGATTCAAAAGGCAACAAATAGAATTGAATGGAATGCGGTGAGTTGGAGGGCATTGGAATGGAGTTGAATGGAATGGCGTGTAATTGAATTGAATGGAGTGGAGTGGATTGGAGTGGACTGGAGTGGAATGGAACAGAATGGGCAGGAATGGAATTGAAAGGCGTGAATTGTAATTGAGTGCTGTGGATTGGAGTAGACTGCATTGTAGTGGATTGCAGTGGAAAGAAGTGGAGTGGAATGGAATGGAAGGCAATGGAGTGGAGGGGAATGGAATGGAGTGGAGTAGAATGGAATTTAATGGAGTGGAGTGGAATTGAGTGGAATGGAGAGTAATGGAGTGGAGTGGACTGGAGCGAAGTGGAGTGTAGTGCATTAGACTGTAGGGGATTGAAGTGGCTTGGAGTGCAATGGAGTGGAGTGGAATGGAATGTAATGGAATGGAATGGAATGGAATGGAATGGAATGGAGTGGAATGGAATCGAATCACATGGAACTGAATCAAATCGAATTGAATGAAATTGAATGGAAAAAATGGAATGAAATGGAATCAAATCGAATGGATTCGAATGACATTGAATGGAATCGAAAGGAATGCAGTGAGGTGTAGTTGAGTGGAGTGGAGTGGAATGGAATGGGATGAATGGAATTGACTGGAGAGGAGTGGAATGGAATGGAATGGAAAGGAATGGAATTGAACGAAATGGAGTGTAGTAGAATGTAGTGGATTGGAGTGGAGTGCAGAGGAGTGCAGTGGAATGAAGAGGAGTGTAGTTGAATGGAATGGAATGGTATGGAACGTACTGGAATGGAATGGATAAGAATGGAATGGAATGGAATCGCATAGAATTGAATAGAATGAAATCGAATTGAATAGAATCAAATGGAAAAAATGGAGGCAAATGGAATCGAATGTCATAGAATCGAACGGTTTTGAATGTCAGAGAATGGAAACGAATGGAATGCGATGATGTAGAGCGGAGTGGAGTGGAAAGGAGTGCAATGGAATAGGGTGGAAAAGAATTTAATGGAACAGAGTGGATTGGAGTGGACTGGAGTGGAATGGAATGGGAAGGAATGGGATTGAAAGGAGTGGCGTGCAGTGGAGTGGAGTGGCATGGAGTGGAGTGGAGTGGAATGGAGTGGAATGGAATGGAGTGGAATGGAGTGGATTGGAATGGAATGGAGTGCAGAGGAATGGAATGGAATGGTATAGAGTGGACAGGAATGGAGTGGAGTGGATTGGAATGGAATGGAATGTAAGGGAATGGAACTGAATGGACTGGAATGGAATGGAATAGAATGGAATCGCAGGGAATCAAATTGGATTGAATCGAATCGAATGGAAAAAATGAAAACAAATGAAATTGAATGGAATCGAATTGAATGTAAACAATGGAATCCAATGGAGTCAAATGGAATCGAATCAAATGGTTTTGAATGGCATCAAATGAAATGGCATGGAAGGCAGTGAATTGGAGTGGAGTGGAATAGAGAGGAATGAATTGGAATGGAGTGTAGTGGAATGGAGTGGATTCCAATGGATTGGAGTGGATTGGATTGGAATGGAATGGAATAGATTGGATTGGAGTGGTGCAGAGTGGAGTGGACTGGAGTGCAGAGGAATGGAGTGGAGTGAAGTCCAGTTGAGTGGAATGGAATGGAGTGGAGCAGAGTGGAATGCAAAAGAATGAAGTGGATTGTTATGGAATGGAATGGCGTGGAATGGCGTGGAATAGAATGGAATTGAATCGTATGGAATGATACCAAATCAAATCGAATCAAACGGAAAATTATGAATCCAATGGAATCGAAAGGATTCTAAAGGAATGGATTCGAAAGGCATTGAATGGAATGGAAAGGAATGCAATGGAGTGGAGTGGATTGGAATGTTTTAGAGTAAACTTGCGCTGGATTGGAAATCTATGGAGAGGAGTGCAGTGAAGTGGATTGGAGTGGAATGGAGTGCAATGGACTGGAGTGGACTGGAATGGATTGGAGTGGAGTGGAGTGGATCGGAGCAGAGTGCCGTGGAGTGGACTAGAGTGAGGTGGAGTGGAGTGCATTGGAGTGGAATGGAGTGGAGTGGGGTGCAACGGAATGGAATGGCATCAAATCGCATGGTAATGAATCAAATGGAATCAAATGGAATGGAAATAATGGAATCGAAGGCAAACGAATGGAATCGAATTGCACTGATTCTACTGACTTCGAACAAAATGAAATGAAACGCGGTGAAGTGGAGTGGAGTGGAATGTATTGGGTGGAATGGAATAGAATGGTGTGGAGTGGAGTGGAGTGCCCAGGAGTGGAATGGGAAGAAATGGAATTGAACGGAGTGGAGTGGAGTGGAATGGGGCATAATGGAGTGGAATAGTGTGGAGTGGAGTAGAGTGGAATAGGTTGGAATGGAATGCAGAGGACAGGATTGGAGTGCGGTGGACTGGAGTGGAGTAGAGTTGAGTGGAGTGGAGTGGATTGAAATAGAGTGGAGCAGAGTGGGATGGAATTGAATCACATGGAATTGAATCAAATCGAATGGAATTAAATCGAATGAAAAAATGAAATCAAATGTAAACGAATGGAGTCAAACCACATTGGTTAAACTGACATCGAATAATATCAAAAGAAATGTGGTGAAGTGGAGTGGAGTGTAACGAATGGAGTGGAATGAAATTGAATGGAGTGGGGTCGATTGGAGTCTACTGGAGTGGAATGGAATGGAATGGAAAGGAATGGAATAGAATGGAGTGAAGTGCAGTGCAGTGAAATGGAGTGGAAATGAATGGAATGGAATGGAATGGAATCAAATGGAATCGAAGTGAATCGAATCTAATGAAATTGATCAGAAAAAATGGAATGGAGTAGAATCGAATAATATGGATTCAAAAGGCAACAAATAGAATGAATGGAATGCGGTGAGTTGGAGGGCAATGGAATGGAGTTGAATGGAATGGGGTGTAATTGAATTGAATGGAGTGGAGTGGATTGGAGTGGACTGGAGTGGAATGGAACGGAATGGGCCGGAATGGAATTGAAAGGGGTGAATTGGAATTGAGTGCTGTGGATTGGAGTAGACTGCATTGTAGTGGATTGGAGTGGAAAGAAGTGGAGTGGAATGGAATGGAATGCAATGGAGTGGAGTGGAATGGAATGGAGTGGATTAGAATGGAATTTAATGGAGTGCAGTGGAATTGAGTGGAATGGAGAGTAATGGAGTGGAGTGGGCTGCAGCGAAGTGGAGTGTAGTGCATTGGACTGTAGGGGATTGAAGTGGCTTGGAGTGCAATGGAGTGGAGTGGAATGGAATGTAATGCAATGGAATTGAATGGAATGGAATGTAGTGGAATGGAATCGAATCACATGGAACTGAATCAAATCGAATTGAATGAAATTGAATGGAAAAAATGGAATCCAATGGAATCAAATCGAATGGATTCGAATGACATTGAATGGAATCGAAATGAATGCAGTGAGGTGGAGTTGAGTGGAGTGGAGTGGAATGGAATGGGATGAATGGAATTGACTGGAGAGGAGTGGAATGGAATGGAATGGAAAGCAATGGAATTGAACGAAATGGAGTGTAGTAGAATGTAGTGGATTGGAGTGGAGTGCCGGGGAGTGCAGTGAAATGAAGAGGATTGTAGTTGAATGGAATGGAATGGTATGGAACGTACTGGAATGGAATGGATAAGAACGGAATGGAATGGAATCGCATGGAATTGAAAAGAATCAAATCGAATTGAATAGAATCAAATGGAAAAAATGGAGGCAAATGGAATCGAATGTCATAGAATCGAACGGTTTTGAATGTCAGTGAATGGAAACGAATGGAATGCGATGAAGTGGAGCGGAGTGGAGTGGAAAGGAGTGCAATGGAATAGGGTGGAACAGAATTTAATGGAACAGAGTGGATTGGAGTGGACTGGAGTGGAATGGAAAGGGAAGGAATGGGATTGAAAGGAGTGGCGTGCAGTGGAGTGGAGTGGCATGGAGTGGAGTGGAGTGGAATGGAGTGGAATGGAATGGAGTGGAATGGAGTGGATTGGAATGGAATGGAGTGCAGAGGAATGGAATGGAATGGTATAGAGTGGACAGGAATGGAGTGGAGTGGATTGGAATGGAATGGAATGTAAGGGAATGGAACTGAATGGACTGGAATGGAATGGAATAGAATGGAATCGCAGGGAATCAAATTAGATTGAATCGAATCGAATGGAAAAAATGAAATCAAATGAAATTGAATGGAATCGAATAGAATGTAAACAATGGAATCCAATGGAATCCAATGGAATCGAATCAAATGGTTTTGAATGGCATCAAATAAAATGGCATGGAAGGCAGTGAATTGGAGTGGAGTGGAATAGAGAGGAACGAATTGGAATGGAGTGTAGTGGAATGGCGTGGATTCCAGTGGAGTGGAGTGGATTGGATTGGAATGGAATGGAATAGATTGGATTGGAGTGGTGCAGAGTGGAGTGGACTGGAGTGCAGAGGAATGGAGTGGAGTGAAGTCCAGTTGAGTGGAATGGAATGGAGTGGAGCAGAGTGGAATGCAAAAGAATGAAGTGGATTGGTATGGAATGGAATGGCGAGGAATGGCGTGGAATAGAAAGGAATGGAATCGCATGGAACGATACCAAATCAAATCGAATCAAACGGAAAATTATGAATCCAATGGAATCGAAAGGATTATAAAGGAATGGATTCGAAATGCATTGAATGGAATGGAAAGGAATGCAGTGAAGTGGAGTGGAGTGGAATGTTTTAGAGTGAACTGGGGTGGATTGGAACTCTATGGAGAGGAGTGGAGTGAAGTGGATTGGAGTGGAATGGAATGCGGTGAAGTGGAGTGGATTGGAATGTAGTGGAATGGAAAGTGGTGGAATGGAATTGAAAGGTGTTGAGTGGAGTGGAGTAGAAAGGACTGGAGTGGAATGGAAGGGAATGGGAAGGAATGGAATTGAACAGAGTGGAGTGGAGTAGGGTGGAATGGAGAGGAATGGAGTGGAAAGGAGTGGAATGGAGTGAAGTGGAGTGGAATGAACTAGAGTGGAGTGGAATGGAGTAGAGTGGAATTGAATAGAATGGAATCAAATCCAATCAACTCGAATGGAAAAAATGGAACTGAATGGAATAAAATGGAATCAAATCAAACGGATTGGAATGGCAGGAAATGGAATTGAATGGAATGGAATGGAGTGAAGTGGAATGGAGTGAAGTGGAATGGAGTGGAATGGAATGGGGTGTAATGGAATTGAAAGGAATGGAGTGTACTGGAATAGAATGGAATGGAATGGGAAGAATGGAATTGAATGCAGTGGAGTGGAGTGAAGAGCAGTGGAGTGGAGTGGAATGGAGTGGAGTGGATTGTAGAGGAATTTAGTGGAGTGGAATGGAATGGAATGGAAAGGAATTAAGTGGAAAGGAATGGATTGGAAAGGAACGGGATGAAAAGGAATCAAATGGAATCGAATCAAATTGAATCAAATAAAAAAATGGAATTGAATGGAATCGAATGGAATCGAATCGAATGGATTTGAATGGCATCGAATGGAATCGAGTGGAATGCGGTGAAGTGGAGTGGAGAGGAATGGGGTGGAAAGGAATGGAGTGAAGTGGAGTGGAGAGGAATGGAATGGAGTGGACTGGAATGGAATGGAATGGAATTGAGACAAATTGCACGGAATTGAATCGGATGGAATCAAATCAAATCAAATCAAATTGAATCAAAAGGAAAAGGAATCGAATGGAATCAAATGAAATGGATTCAAATGGCATCAAAAGGAATCAAATGAAATGCGGTGAAGTGGAGTGGAGTGGAATGGAGTGGAATGGAATGGGGAGGAATGGAATTGAATGGAGTGCAGTGGAGCGAAGTGGAGTGTATTGGAGTGGACTGGAGTGCAGTGAAGTGGAGTGGAGTGGATTGGAGTGGAATTGAGTGGAGTGGAGGGGAATGGAATGGAATGGAATGGAATTGCATGGAATCAAATCGAATCAAAATGAATTGAATCAAATCAAAAGGAAAAAAGGGAATCAAATGGAATTGAATTGAATGGAATAGAATGGCATCAAATGGATTCGAATGGAAAGCGTGGAAGTGGAGTGGAGTGGATTGGAGTGGAATGGAATGGAGTGGAGTGGAATGGAATGTAGTGGAGTGGAATGGGATGGAATGGAATGGAATGCAATGGGAGTCGAACAGCATGAAATCGAATTGCATGGAATCAAAATGAATCGAATCAAATCAAATCAAATCAAATGGAAAAAGTGGATTTGAATGGCATCAAATGGAGTCGAACGGAATGCGGTGAAGTGGAGGGGAGTGGAGTGGAATGGAGTGGAATGTAATTGGGTGGAATAAAATTGAATGAAGTGAAGTGGAGTGCAGTGGAGTGGACTGTAGTGAAATGGAATGGAATGGGAAGGAATGAAATTGAGCAGAGTGGAGTGGCGTGGAGTGGAGTGCAGTGGAGTGGAGTGGAATGGAGTGAAATGGAGTGGAACCGAATGGAATGCAATGAAATGGAATGGAATGGAATTGAATTGCATGTAATCAAATAGCTTGGAATCAAAATGAATCAAATCAAATGGAAAAAATGGAATCGAGTGTAATCAAATGCCATCAAATGGAATCAAATGGAATGCAGTGAAGAGGAGTGGAGTGGATTGGAGTGGAGTGGAGTGGACTGGAGTGGAATGGAATGGAATGGGAAGGAATGGAATAGAACGGAGTGGAGTGGAGTGGAGTGCAGTGGCATGCAGTGGAGTGGAGTGGATTAGAGTGGATTGGAGTGGAATGGCGTGGAGTGGAGTGGAATGGAATGAAATGGACTGGACTGGAATGGAATGGAATGGAATGGAATTGAATCACATTAAATCGAGTCGAATCACATCAAATCGAATGGAAACAATGGAATAGAATGGAATCAAATGGAATCAAATCGAATGGATTTGAAAGACATCGAACACATTTGAAAAGATTGCTGTAAAGTGGAGTGGAGTGGAATGGAGTGGAATGGAATGGGATGGAATGGAATTGAATGGAGTGGAGTCGAGTGGAGTGGAGTGGACTGGAGTGGAGTGGACTGGAGTGGAATGCAATGCAATGGGAAGGAATGGAATTGAACAGAGAGCAGTGGCATGTAGTGGAGTGGAATGGAATGGAATGGAGTGGAGTGGAAAGGAATGGAATGGAGTGGAATGGAATGGAAAGGAATGGAATGGAGTAGAGTGGAGAGGAATGGAATTGAATGGAGTCAAATCGCATGAAATCGTATCGAATCAAATTGAATTGAATCGAAACGAATAAAATGGAAAAAGTGGAATTGAATGGAATTGAATCGAATGGATTTGAATGGCACCCAATGAAATCGAATAGAATGTGGTGAAGTGGAGTGAAGTGGAACGGAATGGAATGGAATGGGGTGGAATGGAATTGAGAGGAGTGGAGTGGAGTGGATTGTAATGGAGTGGAGAGAAATAGAGTGGAATGGAATGGAATGGAATGGTACGGAATGGAATTGCATGGATTCGCATGGAATCTCATGGAAACAAATAAAATCGAATGGAATCAATCGAATGGATTCGAATGGAATCGAATAGAATCCAATGGAATGCAGTGAAGTGGAGTGCAGTTGAGTGGAATGGAGAGGAAGGTAATGGGATGGAAAGGAATGGAGTGGAGTGGAGAGGAGTGGAATGAAACGGATGAGAATGGAGATGAATGGAATGGAATGGAATAGAATGGAATGAAATAGCATGGAATCGAATAACATGGAATAGAATCAAATGGAATTGAAAGGAAAAAATGGAAACGAATGGATTTGAATGGAATCAAATTGAATGGATTCAAATGTCATCGAAAGGAATCGAATGGAATGTGGTGAAGTGGAGTGGATTGGAATGGGGTTGTATGGAATTGAATGGAGTGTAGTGGAATGGAGCAGAGTGTAGTGGACTGGAGTGGAATGGAATCGAATTGGAAGGAATGGAATTGAACAGAGTGGAGTGGAGTGGAAAGGAGTGGAGTGGAGTGGAGTTGAATGGAATGGAATGGAGTGGAATGGAATGGAATCCAATTGCATGGAATTCAATCGCATGGAATCAAAGCAAATCAAATCGAACCGAATGGAAAAAATGGAATAGAATGTAATCGAATGGAATAGAATTGAATGGACTTGAATGGCATCGAATGTAATCGAAAGGAATGCAGTGAAGTAGAGTGGAGTGGACTGGAATGTAGTGGAATGGAATGGGGTGGAATGGAATTGAATGGTGTGGAGCGGAGTAAAGTAGAGAGGACTCAAGTGGAATGGAATGGAATGGGAAGAAATGGAATTGAGCAGAGTGGAGTGGAGTGCAGTGGAGTGGAGTGGAATGGAGTGGAGCAGAATGGATTGGAGTGGAATGGAGTGGAGTGGAATCGATTGCAATGGAATGCAATGGACTTGAATGGAATGGAAAAGAATGGAATTGCATGGAATCAAATTGAATTGAATAGAAAAAATGGAATCAAATGGAATAGAAAGGAATTGAATCAAATGGAATCGAATGGCATCGAAGGGAATCAAATGAAATGCGGTGAAGTGGAGAGGAGTGGAGTGGAATGGAATGGAATGGAATGGAATGGAATGGAATGGAAAGGAGTAGAGTGGAATGGAATGTACTGGAGTGGAATAAAATTTAATGGAATGGAATGGAATCGAATAGCATGAAAATGAATAACATGGAATCAAAATGAATTAAATCGAAACGAATCAAATCGAATGGAAAATGTTGATTTGAATGGCATCAAATGGAATCGAATGGAATGTGGTGAAGTGGAGAGGAATGGACTGGAATGGAATGGGTGGAATGGAATTGAATGGAGTGGAGTGGAGTGGACTGTAGAGGAATGGAATGGGAAGGAAGGGAATTGAAAGGAGTGGAGTGGGGTGCAGTTGGTTGGAGTGGAGTGGAGAGGATTGGAGTGGAATGTGGTGGAGTGGAATGGGTTTCAATGGAATGCAGTGAACTTGAATGGAATGGAATGGAATGGAATCACATGGAATCAAATTGAATGAAATCAAAATGAATCGAATTGAATAGAATGGAAAAAATAGAATCGAATGGAATTAAATGTCACGAAAAGGAATTGAGTGGAGTGAGGTGAAGTGGAGTGGAGTGGAATGGAATTGAATGGAAAGGAGTGGAGTGGAATGATGTATTGAATTGGAATGGAATGGAATGGAATAGAATGGAATGAAATTGAATAGCATGAATTCGAATCCCATGGTAACAAATTGAATCGACTTGAATCGAATCAAATCGAATGGAAAAAGTAGAATCGAATTGCATCGAATGGAATGTGCTGAAGTGGAATGGAGTGGAATGTAGTGGAATGGAATGGGTTGGAATGGAAAGGAATGAGTGGAGTTGAGTGTAGTGTAGTGAGTGTAGTGGAGTGGACTGTAGTGGAATGGAATGCGATGAGGTGGAGGGCATTGGAACGGAGTTGAATGGAATGGGGTGTAATTGAATTGAATGGAGTGGAGTGGATTGGAGTGGACTGGAGTGGAATGGAACGGAATGGGCAGGAATGGAATTGAAAGGGGTGAATTGGAATTGAGTGCTGTGGATTGGAGTAGACTGCATTGTAGTGGATTGGAGTGGAAAGAAGTGGAGTGGAATGGAATGGAATGCAATGGATTCAAATTGCATAGAATGGAATCAAATGGAATGCGGTGAAGTGGAGTGGACATGAATGGAGTGGAATGGAATGGGTTGGAATGGAATTGAGTGGATTGGAGTGGAGTGTAGTGCATTGGACTGTAGGGGATTGAAGTGGCTTGGAGTGCAATAGAGTGGAGTGGAATGGAATGGAATGGAATGGAATCGAATCACATGGAACTGAATCAAATCGAATTGAATGAAATTGAATGGAAAAAATGGAATCAAATGGAATCAAATCGAATGGATTCGAATGACATTGAATGGAATCGAAAGGAATGCAGTGAGGTGGAGTTCAGTGGAGTGGAGTGGAATGGAATGGGATGAATGGAATTGATTGGAGAGGAGTGGAATGGAATGGAATGGAAAGGAATGGAATTGAACGAAATGGAGTGTAGTAAAAAGTAGTGGATTGGAGTGGAGTGCAGGGGTGTGCAGTGGAATGAAGAGGAGTGTAGTTGAATGGAATGGAATGGTATGGAACGTACTGGAATGGAATGGATAAGAATGGAATGGAATGGAATCGCATGGAATTGAATAGAATCAAATCGAATTGAATAGAATCAAATGGAAAAAATAGAGTCAAATGGAATCAAATGTCATAGAATCGCACGGTTTTGAATGTCAGTGAATGGAAACGAATGGAATGCGATGAAGTGGAGCGGAGTGGAGTTGAAAGGAGTGCAATGGAATAGGGTGGAAGAGAATTTAATGGAACAGAGTGGATTGGAGTGGACTGGAGTGGAATGGAAAGGGAAGGAATGGGATTGAAAGGAGAGGCGTGCAGTGGAGTGGAGTGGCATGGAGTGGAGTGGAGTCGAATGGAGTGGAATGGAGTGGATTGGAATGGAATGGAGTGCAGAGGAATGGAATGGAATGGTATAGAGTGGACAGGAATGGAGTGGAGTGGATTGGAATGGAATGGAATGTAAGGGAATGGAACTGAATGGACTGGAATGGAATGGAATAGAATGGAATCGCAGGGAATCAAATTGGATTGAATCGAATCGAATGGATAAAATGAAATCAAATGAAATTGAATGGAATCGAATTGAATGTAAACAATGGAATCCAAAGGAGTCAAATGGAATTGAATCAAATGGTTTTGAATGGCATCAAATGAAATGGCATGGAAGGCAGTGAATTGGAGTGGAATGGAATAGAGAGGAACGAATTGGAATGGAGGGTAGTGGAATGGAGTGGATTCCAGTGGAGTGGAGTGGATTGGATTGGAATGGAATGGAATAGATTGGATTGGAGTGGTGCAGAGTGGAGTGGACTGGAGTGCAGAGGAATGGAGTGGAGTGAAGTCCAGTTGAGTGGAATGGAATGGAGTGGAGCAGAGTGGAATGCAAAAGAATGAAATGGATTGGTATGGAATGGAATGGCGTGGAATGGCGTGGAATAGAATGGAATGGAATCGCATGGAATGATATCAAATCAAATCAAATCGAACGGAAAATAATGAATCCAATGGAAGCGAAAGGATTCTAAAGGAATGGATTCGAAATGCATTGAATGGAATGGAAAGGAATGCAGTGAAGTGGAGTGGAGTGGAATGTTTTAGAGTGAACTGGGGTGGATTGGAACTTTATGGAGAGGAGTGGAGTGAAGCGAACTTGGAGCGGAATGGAGTGCAATGGACTGGAGTGGAGTGGAATGGATTAGAGTGGAGTGGAGTGGATCGGAGTGGAGTGCCGTCCAGTGAACTAAAATGAGTTGGAATGAATTGCATTCAAGTGATATGAAGTGAATTGATTTGGGATGAATTGAATTGAAAGCAACTAAATCGCATGGTAATGAGTGAAATGGAATCAAATGGAATGGAAATAATGGAATCGAAGGCAAACGAATGGAATCGAATTGCACTGATTCTACTGACTTCGAACAAAATGAAATGAAACGCGGTGAAGTGTAGTGGAGTGGAATGTATTGGGTGGAATGGAATTGAATGGTGTGGAGTGGAGTGGAGTGCCCAGGAGTGGAATGGGAAGAAATGGAATTGAACGGAGAGGAGTGGAGTGGAATGGGGCATAATGGAGTGGAATAGTGTAGAGTAGAGTAGAGTGGAATGGGTTGGAGTGGAATGCAGAGGACAGGAGTGGAGTGTGGTTGACTGGAGTGGAGTGGAGTTGAGTGGAGGGGATTGGATTGAAATAGAGGGGAGCAGAGTTGAATGGAATTGAGTCACATGGTAATGAATCACATCGAATGGCTTTAAATCGAATGAAAAAATGGAATCAAATGCAAACGAATGGAGTCAAACCACATTGGTTAAACTGACATCGAATAATATCAAATGAAATGTGGTGAAGTGGAGTGCAGTGTAACGAAATGGGGTTTAATGAAATTGAATGGATTGGAGTGGATTGGAGTCTACTGGAGTGGAATGGAATGGAATGGAAAGGAATGGAATAGAATGGAGTGAAGTGCAGTGCAGTGAAATGGAGTGGAAAGGAATGGAATGGAATGGAATGGAATGGAATGGAATGGAATCAAATGGAATCGAAGTGAATCGAATCTAATGAAATTGATCGGAAAAAATGGAATGGAGTAGAATCGAATAAGATGGATTCAACAGGCAACAAATAGAATTGAATGGAATGCGGTGAGTTGGAGGGCATTGGAATGGAGTTGAATGGAATGGGGTGTAATTGAATTGAATGGAGTAGAGTGGATTGGAGTGGACTGGAGTGGAATGGAGCGGAATGGGCAGGAATGGAATTGAAAGGGGTGAATTGGAATTGAGTGCTGCGGATTGGGGTAGACTGCATTGTAGTAGATTGGAGTGGAAAGAAGTGGAGTGGAATGGAATGGAATGCAATGGAGTGGAGTGGAATGGAATGGAGTGGAGTAGAATGGAATTTAATGGAGTGGAGTGGAATTGAGTGGAATGGAGAGTAATGGAGTGGAGTGGACTGGAGCGAAGTGGAGTGTAGTGCATTGGACTGTAGGGGATTGAAGTGGCTTGGAGTGCAATGGAGTGGAGTGGAATGGAATGTAATGGAATGGAATGGAATGGAATGGAACGTAGTGGAATGGAATCGAATCACATGGAACTGAATCAAATCGAATTGAATGAAATTGAATGGAAAAAATGGAATCAAATGGAATCAAATCGAATGGATTCGAATGACATTGAATGGAATCGAAAGGAATGCAGTGAGGTGGAGTTGAGTGGAATGGAGTGGAATGGAATGGGATGAATGGAATTGACTGGAGAGGTGTGGAATGGAATGGAATGGAAAGTCATGGAATTGAAAAAAATGGAGTGTAGTAGAATGTAGTGGATTGGAGTGGAGTGCAGGGGAGTGCAGTGGAATGAAGTGGAGTGTAGTTGAATGGAATGGAATGGTATGGAACGTACAGGAATGGAATGGATAAGAATGGAATGGAATGGAATCGCATGGAATTGAATAGAATCAAATCGAATTGAATAGAATCAAATGGAAAAATGGAGGCAAATGGAATCGAATGTCATAGAATCGAACGGTTTTGAATGTCAGTGAATGGAAACGAATGGAATGCGATGAAGTGGAGCGGAGTGGAGTGGAAAGGAGTGCAATGGAATAGGGTGGAACAGAATTTAATGGAACAGATTGGATTGGAGTGGACTGGAGTGGAATGGAATGGGAAGGAATGGGATTGAAAGGAGTGGCGTACAGTGGAGTGGAGTGGCATGGAGTGGAGTGGAGTGGAATGGAGTGGAATGGAATGGAGTGGAATGGAGTGGATTGGAATGGAATGGAGTGCAGAGGAATGGAATGGGATGGTATAGAGTGGACAGGAATGGAGTGGAGTGGATTGGAATGGAATGGAATGTAAGGGAATGGAACTGAATGGACTGGAATGGAATGGAATAGAATGGAATCGCAGGGAATCAAATTGGATTGAATCAAATCGAATGAAAAAAATGAAATCAAATGAAATTGAAAAGAATCGAATTGAATGGAAACAATGGAATCGAATGGAGTCAAATGGAATCGAATCAAATCGTTTTGAATGGCGTCAAATGAAATGGCATGGAAGGCAGTGAATTGGAGTGGAGTGGAATAGAGAGGAATGAATTGGAATGGAGTGTAGTGGAATAGAGTGGATTCCAGTGGAGTGGAGTGGATTGGATTGGAATGGAATGGAATAGATTGGATTGGAGTGGTGCAGAGTGGAGTGGACTGGAGTGCAGAGGAATGGAGTAGAGAGAAGTCCAGTTGAATGGAATGGAATGGAGTGGAGCAGAATTGATTGCAAAAGAATGAAGTGGATTGGTATGGAATGGAATGGCGTGCAATGGCGTGGAGTAGAATGGAATGGAATCACATGGAATGATATCAAATCAAATCGAATCGAACGGAAAATTATGAATCCAATGGAATCGAAAGGATTCTAAAGGAATGGATTCGAAAGACATTGAATGGAATGGAAAGGAATGCAGTGGAGTGGAGTGGAGTGGAATGTTTTAGAGTGAACTGAGGTGGATTGGAACTCTATGGAGAGGAGTGGAGTGAAGTGGATTGGAGTGGAATGGAGTGCAATGGACTGGAGTGGAGTGGAATGGATTGGAGTGGAGTGGAGTGGATCGGAGAGGAGTGCCGTGGAGTGGACTAGAGTGGGGTGGAGTGGAGTGCATTGGAGTGGAATGGAGTGGAGTGGGCTGGAATGGAATGGAATGGAATCAAATCGCATGGTAATGAATGAAATGGAATCAAATAGAATGGAAATAATGGAATCGAAGGCAAACGAATGGAATCGAATTGCACTGATTCTACTGACTTCGAACAAAATAAAATGAAACGCGGTGAAGTGGAGTGGAGTGGAATGTATTGGGTGGAATGGAATTGAATGGTGTGGAGTGGAGTGGAGTGCTCAGGAGTGGAATGGGAAGAAATGGAATTGAACGAAGTGGAGGGGAGTGGAATGGGGCATAATGGAGTGCAATAGTGTGGAGTGGAGTAGAGTGGAATGGGTTGGAGTTGAATGCAGAGGACAGGAGTGGAGTGCGGTGGACTGAGGTGGAGTGAAGTTGAGTGGAGTGGATTGGATTGAAATAGAGCGGAGCAGAGTGGAATGGAATTGAATTACATGGTATTGAATCAAATCGAATGGAATTAAATCGAATGAAAAAATGGAATCAAATGCAAACGAATGGAGTCAAACCACATTGGTTAAACTGACATCGAATAATATCAAATGAAATGCGGTGAAGTGGAGTGGAGTGTAACGAAATGGGGTGGAATGTAATTGAATGGAGTGGAGTGTTTGGAGTCTACTGGAGTGGAATGGAACGGAATGGAAAGGAATGGAATGGAATGGAGTGAAGTGCAGTGCAGTGAAATGGAGTGGAAAGGAATGGAATGGAATCAAATGGAGTCGAAGTGAATCGAATCTAACGAAATTGATCGGAGAAAATTGAATGGAGTAGAATCGAATAAGATGGATTTAAAAGACAACAAATAGAATTGAATGGAATGCGGTGAGGTGGAGGGCACTGGAACGGAGTTGAATGGAATGGGGTGTAATTGAATTGAATGGAGTGGAGTGGATTGGAGTGGACTGGAGTGGAATGGAACGGAATGGGCACGAATGGAATTGAAATGGGTGAATTGGAATTGAGTGCTGTGGATTGGAATAGACTGCAATGTAGTGGATTGGAGTGGAAAGAAGTGGAGTGGAATGGAATGGAATGCAATGGAGTGGAGTGGAATGGAATGGAGTGTAGTAGAATGGAATTTAATGGAGTGGAGTGGAATTGAGTGGAATGGAGAGTAATGGAGTGGAGTGGACTGGAGCAAAGCGGAGTGTAGTGCATTGGACTGTAGGGGATTGAAGTGGCTTGGAGTGCAATGGAGTGGAGTGGAATGGAATGGAATGGAATGGAATGGAGTGGAATGGAATCAAATCACATGGAACTGAATCAAATCAAATTGAATGAAATTGAATGGAAAAAATGGAATCAAATGGAATCAAATCGAATGGATTCGAATGACATTGAATGGAATCGAAAGGAATGCAGTGAGGTGGAGTTGAGTGGAATGGAGTGGAATGGAATGGGATAAATGGAATTGACTGGAGAGGAGTGGAATGGAATGGAATGGAAAGGAATGGATTTGATGAAAATGGAGTGTAGTAGAATGTAGTGGATTGGAGTGGAGTGCAGGGGAGTGCAGTGGAATGAAGAGGAGTGTAGTTGAATGGAATGGAATGGTATGGAACGTACTGGAATGGAATGGATAAGAATGGAATGGAATGGAATCGCATGGAATTGAATAAAATCAAATCGAATTGAATAGAATCAAATGGAAAAAATGGAGTGAAATGGAATCGAATGTCATAGAATCGAACGGTTTAGAATGTCAGTGAATGGAAACGAATGGAATGCGATGAATTGGAGCGGAGTGGAGTGGAAAGGAGTGCAATGGAATAGGGTGGAACAGAATTTAATGGAAGAGAGTAGATTGGAGTGTACTGGAGTGGAATGGAATGGGAAGGAATGGGATTGAAAGGAGTGGCGTGCAGTGGAGTGGAGTGGCATGGAGTGGAGTGGAGTGGAATGGAGTGGAATGGAATGGAGTGGAATGGAGTGGATTGGAATGGAATGGAGTGCAGAGGAATGGAATGGGATGGTATAGAGTGGACAGGAATGGAGTGGAGTGGATTGGAATGGAATGGAATGTAAGGGAATGGAACTGAATGGACTGGAATGGAATGGAATAGAATGGAATCGCAGGGAATCAAATTGGATTGAATCGAATCGAATGGAAAAAATGAAAACAAATGAAATTTTATAGAATCGAATTGAATGTAAACAATGGAATCCAATGGAGTCAAATGGAATCGAATCAAATGGTTTTGAATGGCATCAAATGAAACGGCATGGAAGGCAGTGAATTGGAGTGGAGTGGAATAGAGAGGAATGAATTGGAATGGAGTGTAGTGGAATGGAGTGGATTCTAGTGGAGTGGAGTGGATTGGATTGGAATGGAATGGAATAGATTGGATTGGAGTGGTGCAGAGTGGAGTGGACTGGAGTGCAGAGGAATGGAGTGGAGTGAAGTCGAGTTGAGTGGAATGGAATGGAGTGTAGCAGAGTGGAATTCAAATGAATGAAGTGGATTGGTATGGAATGGAATGGCGTGGAATGGAGTGGAATAGAATGGAATGGAATCGCATAGAATGATATCAAATCAAATCGAATCGAACGGAAAATTATGAATCCAATGGAGTCGGAAGGATTATAAAGGAATGGATTCGAAAGACATTGAATGGAATGGAAAGGAATGCAGTGAAGTGGAGTGGAGTGGAATGTTTTAGAGTGAACTGGGGTGGATTGGAACTCTATGGAGAGGAGTGGAGTGAAGTGGATTGGAGTGGAATGGAGTGCAATGGACTGGAGTGGATTGGAATGGATTGGAGTGGAGTGGAGTGGATCGGAGTGGAGTGCCGTGGAGGGGACTAGAGTGGGGTGGAGTGGAGTGCATTGGAGTGGAATGGAGTGGCGTGGGGTGGAATGGAATGGAATGGGATCAAATCGCATGGTAATGAATGAAATGGAATCAAATGGAATGGAAATAATGGAATCGAAGGCAAACGAATGGAATCGAATTGCACAGATTCTACTGACTTCGAACAAAATGAAATGAAATGCGGTGAAGTGGAGTGGAGTGGAATGTATTGGTTGGAATGGAATTGAATGGTGTGGAGTGGAGTGGAGTTCCCAGGAGTGGAATGGGAAGAAATGGAATTGAACGGAGTGGAGTGGAGTGGAATGGGGCATAATGGAGTGGAATAGTGTGGAGTGGAGTAGAGTGGAATGGGTTGGAGTGGAATGCAGAGGACAGGAGTGGAGTGCGGTGGACTGGAGTGGAGTGAAGTTGAGTGGAGTGGATTGGATTGAAATAGAGCGGAGCAGAGTGGAATGGAATTGAATCACATGGTATTAAATCAAATCGAATGGAATTAAATCGAATGAAAAAATGGAATCAAATGCAAACGAATGGAGTCAAAACACATTGGTTAAACTCACAACGAATAATATCAAATGAAATGCGGTGAAGTGGAGTGGAGTGTAACGAAATGGGGTGGAAGGAAATTGAATAGAGTGGAGTGGATTGGAGTCTACTGGAGTGGAATGGAACGGAATGGAAAGGAATGGAATAGAATGGAGTGAAGTGCAGTGCAGTGAAATGGAGTGGAAAGGAATGGAATGGAATCAAATGGAATCGAAGTGAATCGAATCTAATGAAATTGATCGGAAAAAATGGAATGGAGTAGAATCGAATAAGATGGATTCAAAGGCAACAAATAGAATTGAATGGAATGCGGTGAGGTTGAGGGCATTGGAATGGAGTTGAATGGAATGGGGTGTAATTGAATTGAATGGAGTGGAGTGGATTGTAGTGGACTGGAGTGGAAAGGAACGGAATGGGAAGGAATGGAATTGAAAGGGGTGAATTGGAATTGAGTGCTGTGGATTGGAGTAGACTGCATTGTAATGGATTGGAGTGGAAAGAAGTGGAGTGGAATGGAATGGAATGCAATGGAGTGGAGCGGAATGGAATGGAGTGGAGTAGAATGGAATTTAATGGAGTGGAGTGGAATTGAGTGGAATGGAGAGTAATGGAGTGGAGTGGACTGGAGCGAAGTGGAGTGTAGTGCCTTGGACTATAGGGGATTGAAGTGGCTTGGAGTGCAATGGAGTGGAGTGGAATCGAATGTAATGGAATGGAATGGAACGTAGTGGAATGGAATCGAATCACATGGAACTGAATCAAATCGAATTGAATGAAATTGAACGGAAAAAATGAAATCCAATGGAATCAAATCGAATGGATTCGAATGACATTGAATGGAATCGAAAGGAATGCAGTGAGGTGGAGTTGAGTGGAGTGGAGTGGAATGGAATGGGATGAATGGAATTGACTGGAGATGAGTGGAATGGAATGGAATGGAAAGCAATGGAATTGAACGAAATGGATTGTAGTAGAATGTAGTGGATTGGAGTGGAGTGCAGGGGAGTGCAGTGGAATGAAGAGGAGTGTAGTTGAATGGAATGGAATGGTATGGAACGTACTGGAATGGAATGGATAAGAATGGAATGGAATGGAATCGCATGGAATTGAAAAGAATCAAATCGAATTGAATAGAATCAAATGGAAAAAATGGAGGCAAATGGAATCGAATGTCACAGAATCGAACGGTTTTGAATGTCAGTGAATGGAAACGAATGGAATGCGATGAAGTGGAGCGGAGTGGAGTGGAAAGGAGTGCAATGGAATAGGGTGGAAGAGAATTTAATGGAACAGATTGGATTGGAGTGGACTGGAGTGGAATGGAAAGGGAAGGAATGGGATTGAAAGGAGTGGCGTGCAGTGGAGTGGAGTGGCATGGAGTGGAGTGGAGTGGAATGGAGTGGAATGGAATGGAGTGGAATGGAGTGGATTGGAATGGAATGGAGTGCAGAGGAATGGAATGGAATGGTATAGAGTGGACAGGAATAGAGTGGAGTGGATTGGAATGGAATGGAATGTAAGGGAATGGAACTGAATGGACTGGAATGGAATGGAATAGAATGGAATCGCAGGGAATCAAATTGGATTGAATCGAATCGAATGGAAAAAATGAAATCAAATGAAATTGAATGGAATCGAATTGAATGTAAACAATGGAATCCAATGGAGTCAAATGGAATCGAATCAAATGGTTTTGAATGGCATCAAATGAAATGGCATGGAAGGCAGTGAATTGGAGTGGAGTGGAATAGAGAGGAATGAATTGGAATGGAGTGTAGTGGAATGGCGTGGATTCCAGTGGAGTGGAGTGGATTGGATTGGAATGGAATGGAATAGATTGGATTGGAGTGGTGCAGAGTGGAGTGGACTGGAGTGCAGAGGAATGGAGTGGAGTGAAGTCCAGTTGAGTGGAATGGAATGGAGTGGAGCAGAGTGGAATGCAAAAGAATGAAGTGGATTGTTATGGAATGGAATGGCGTGGAATGGCGTGGAATAGAATGGAATGGAATCGCATGGAATGATACCAAATCAAATCGAATCAAACGGAAAATTATGAATCCAATGGAATCGAAAGGATTCTAAAGGAATGGATTCGAAAGGCATTGAATGGAATGGAAAGGAATGCAGTGGAGTGGAGTGGAGTGGAATATTTTAGAGTGAACTTGGGTGGATTGGAACTCTATGGAGAGGAGTGGAGTGAAGTGGATTGGAGTGGAATGGAGTGCAATGGACTGGAGTGGAGTGGAATGGATTGGAGTGGAGTGGAGTGGATCGGAGTGGAGTGCCGTGGAGTGGACTAGAGTGAGGTGGAGTAGAGTGCATTGGAGTGGAATGGAGTGGAGTGGGGTGCAATGGAATGGAATGGCATCAAATCGCATGGTAATGAATCAAATGGAATCAAATGGAATGGAAATAATGGAATCGAAGGCAAACGAATGGAATCGAATTGCACTGATTCTACTGACTTCGAACAAAATGAAATGAAACGCGGTGAAGTGGAGTGGAGTGGAATGTATTGGGTGGAATGGAATAGAATGGTGTGGAGTGGAGTGGAGTGCCCAGGAGTGGAATGGGAAGAAATGGAATTGAAGGGAGTGGATTGGAGTGGAATGGGGCATAATGGAGTGGAATAGTGTGGAGTGGAGTAGAGTGGAATGGGTTGGAGTAGAATGCAGAGGACAGGATTGGAGTGCGTTGGACTGGAGTGGGGTAGAGTTGAGTGGAGTGGAGTGGATTGAAATAGAGCGGAGCAGAGTGGGATGGAATTGAATCACATGGTATTGAATCAAATCGAATGGAATTAAATCGAATGAAAAAAATGGAATCAAATGTAAACGAATGGAGTCAAACCACATTGGTTAAACTGACATCGAATAATATCAAAAGAAATGTGGTGAAGTGGAGTGGAGTGTAACGAAATGGAGTGGAATGAAATTGAATGGAGTGGGGTCGATTGGAGTCTACTGGAGTGGAATGCAATGGAATGGAAAGGAATGGAATAGAATGGAGTGAAGTGCAGTGCAGTGAAATGGAGTGGAAAGGAATGGAATGGAATGGAATGGAATCAAATGGAATCGAAGTGAATCGAATCTAATGAAATTGATCGGAAAAAATCGAATGGAGTAGAATCGAATAATATGGATTCAAAAGGCAACAAATAGAATGAATGGAATGCGGTGAGTTGGAGGGCATTGGAATGGAGTTGAATGGAATGAGGTGTAATTGAATTGAATGGAGTGGAGTGGATTGGAGTGGACTGGAGTGGAATGGAACGGAATGGGCAGGAATGGAATTGAAAGGGGTGAATTGGAATTGAGTGCTGTGGATTGGAGTAGACTGCATTCTAGTGGATTGGAGTGGAAAGAAGTGGAGTGGAATGGAATGGAATGCAATGGAGTGGAGTGGAATGGAATGGAGTGGATTAGAATGGAATTTAATGGAGTGGAGTGGAATTGAGAGGAATGGAGAGTAATGGATTGGAGTGGGCTGCAGCGAAGTGGAGTGTAGTGCATTGGACTGTAGGGGATTGAAGTGGCTTGGAGTGCAATGGAGTGGAGTGGAATGGAATGTAATGGAATGGAATTGAATGGAATGGAATGGAGTGGAATAGAATTGAATCACATGGGACTGAATCAAATCGAATTGAATGAAAATGAATGGAAAAAAAAGAATCAAATGGAATCAAATCGAATGGATTCGAATGATATTGAATGGAATTGAAAGGAATGCAGTGAGGTGGAGTTGAGTGGAATGGAGTGGAATGGAATGGGATGAATGGAATTGACTGGAGAGGAGTGGAATGGAATGGAATGGAAAGTCATGGAATTGAAAAAAATGGAGTGTAGTAGAATGTAGTGGATTGGAGTGGAGTGCAGGGGAGTGCAGTGGAATGAAGTGGAGTGTAGTTGAATGGAATGGAGGGGTATGGAACGTACTGGAATGGAATGGATAAGAATGGAATGGAATGGAATCGCATGGAATTGAATAGAATCAAATCGAATTGAATAGAATCAAATGGAAAAAATGGAGTCAAATGGAATCGAATGTCATAGAATCGAACGGTTTTGAATGTCAGTGAATGGAAACGAATGGAATGCGATGAAGTGGAGCGGAGTGGAGTGGAAAGGAGTGCAATGGAATAGGGTGGAAGAGAATTTAATGGAACAGATTGGATTGGAGTGGACTGGAGTTGAATGGAATGGGAAGGAATGGGATTGAATGGAGTGGAGTGGATTGTAGTGGACTGGAGTGGAATGGAACGGAATGGGCAGGAATGGAATTGAAAGGGGTGAATTGGAATTGAGTGCTGTGGACTGGAGAAGACTGCATTGTAGCGGATTGGAGTGGAAAGAAGTGGAGTGGAATGGAATGGAATGCAATGGAGTGGAGCGGAATGGAATGGAGTGGAGTAGAATGGAATTTAATGGAGTGGAGTGGAATTGAGTGGAATGGAGAGTAATGGAGTGGAGTGGACTGGAGCGAAGTGGAGTGTAGTGCCTTGGACTGTAGGGGATTGAAGTGGCTTGGAGTGCAATGGAGTGGAGTGGAATGGAATGTAATGGAATGGAATGGAATGGAGTGGAATGGAATCGAATCACATGGAACTGAATCAAATCGAATTGAATGAAATTGAATGGAAAAAATGGAATGAAATGGAATCAAATCGAATGGATTCGAATGACATTGAATGGAATCGAAAGGAATGCAGTGAGGTGGAGTTGAGTGGAGTGGAGTGGAATGGAATGGGATGAATGGAATTGACTGGAGAGGAGTGGAATGGAATGGAATGGAAAGGAATGGAATTGAACGAAATGGAGTGTAGTAGAATGTAGTGGATTGGAGTGGAGTGCAGGGGAGTGCAGTGGAATGAAGAGGAGTGTAGTTGAATGGAATGGAATGGTATGGAACGTACTGGAATGGAATGGATAAGAATGGAATGGAATGGAATCGCATGGAATTGAATAGAATGAAATCGAATTGAATAGAATCAAAAGGAAAAAATGGAGGCAAATGGAATCGAATGTCATAGAATCGAACGGTTTTGAATGTCAGTGAAAGGAAACGAATGGAATGCGATGAAGTGGAGCGGAGCGGAGTGGAAAGGAGTGCAATGGAATAGGGTGGAACAGAATTTAATGGAACAGAGTGGATTGGAGTGGACTGGAGTGGAATGGAAAGGGAAGGAATGGGATTGAAAGGAGTGGCGTGCAGTGGAGTGGAGTGGCATGGAGTGGAGTGGAGTGGAATGGAGTGGAATGGAATGGAGTGGAATGGAGTGGATTGGAATGGAATGGAGTGCAGAGGAATGGAATGGAATGGTATAGAGTGGACAGGAATGGAGTGGAGTGGATTGGAATGGAATGGAATGTAAGGGAATGGAACTGAATGGACTGGAATGGAATGGAGTAGAATGGAATCACAGGGAATCAAATTGGATTGAATCGAATCGAATGGAGAAAATGAAATCAAATGAAATTGAATGGAATCGAATTGAATGTAAACAATGGAATCCAATGGAGTCAAATGGAATCGAATCAAATGGTTTTGAATGGCATCAAATGAAATGGCATGGAAGGCAGTGAATTGGAGTGGAGTGGAATAGAGAGGAATGAATTGGAATGGAGTGTAGTGGAATGGAGTGGATTGGATTGGAATGGAATGGAATAGATTGGATTGGAGTGGTGCAGAGTGGAGTGGACTGGAGTGCAGAGGAATGGAGTGGAGTGAAGTCCAGTTGAGTGGAATGGAATGGAGTGGAGCAGAGTGGAATTCAAAAGAATGAAGTGGATTGGTATGGAATGGAATGGCGTGGAATGGCGTGGAATAGAATGGAATGGAATCGCATGGAATGATATGAAATCAAATCGAATTGAACGGAAAATTATGAATCCAATGGAATCGAAAGGATTCTAAAGGAATGGATTCGAAAGGCATTGAATGGAATGGAAAGGAATGCAGTGAAGTGGAGTGGAGTGGAGTGGAATGTTTTAGAGTGAACTGGGGTGGATTGGAACTCTATGGCGGGGAGTGGAGTGAAGTGGATTGGAGTGGAATGGAGCGCAATGGACTGGAGTGGAGTGGAATGGATTGGAGTGGATTGGAGTGCATCGGAGTGGAGTGCTGTGGAGTGGACTAGAGTGGGGTGGAGTGGAGTGCATTGGAGTGGAATGGAACGCAGTGGGGTGGAATGGAATGGAATGGAATCAAATCGCATGGTAATGAATCAGCTGGAATCAAATCGAATGGAAATAATGGAATCGAAGGGAAACGAATGGAATCGAATTGCACTGATTCTACTGACTTCGAGGAAAATGAAATGAAATGCGGTGAAGTGGAATGGAGGGAATGTATTAGGGTGGAATGGAATTGAATGGTGTGGAGTGGAGTGGAGTGCCCAGGAGTGGAATGGGAAGAAATGGAATTGAACGGAGTGGAGTGGAGTGGAATGGGGGATAATGGAGTGGAGTAGAGTGGAGTGGAGTAGAGTGGAATGGGTTGGAGTGTAATGCAGAGTACAGGAGTGGAGTGCGGTGGACTGGAGTGGAGTGGAGTTGAGTGGAGTGGATTGGATTGAAATAGAGCGGAGCAGAGTGGAATGGAATTGAATCACATGGTATTGAATCAAATCGAATGGAATTAAATCGAATCAAAAAATGGAATCAAAAGCAAACGAATGGAGTCAAACCTCATTGGTTAAACTGACATCGAAAAATATCAAATGAAATGTGGTGAAGTGGAGTGGAGTGTAATGAAATGGGGTGGAATGAAATTGAATGGAGTGGAGTGTATTGGAGTCTACTGGAGTGGAATGGAACGGAATGCAAAGGAATGGAATAGAATGCAGTGAAGTGCAGTGCAGTGAAGTGGAGTGGAAAGGAATGGAATGGAATGGAATGGAATGGAATGGAATGGAATGGAATGGAACGGAATCAAATGGTATCGAAGTGAATCGAATCTAATGAAATTGATCGGAAAAAATGGAATGGAGTAGAATCGAATAAGATGGATTCAAAGGCAACAAATAGAATTGAATGGAATGCGGTGAGGTGGAGGGCATTGGAATGGAGTTGAATGGAATGGGGTATAATTGAATTGAATGGAGTGGAGTGGATTGTAGTGGACTGGAGTGGAATGGAACGGAATGGGCAGGAATGGAATTGAAAGGGGTGAATTGGAATTGAGTGCTGTGGATTGGAGTAGACTGCATTCTAGTGGATTGGAGTGGAAAGAAGTGGAGTGGAATGGAATGGAATGCAATGGAGTGGAGTGGAATGGAATGGAGTGTAGTAGAATGGAATTTAATGGAGTGGAGTGGAATTGAGTGGAATGGAGAGTAATGGAGTGGAGTGGACTGGAGCAAAGCGGAGTGTAGTGCATTGGACTGTAGGGGATTGAAGTGGCTTGGAGTGCAATGGAGTGGAGTGGAATGGAATGGAATGGAATGGAATGGAGTGGAATGGAATCAAATCACATGGAACTGAATCAAATCAAATTGAATGAAATTGAATGGAAAAAATGGAATCAAATGGAATCAAATCGAATGGATTCGAATGACATTGAATGGAATCGAAAGGAATGCAGTGAGGTGGAGTTGAGTGGAATGGAGTGGAATGGAATGGGATGAATGGAATTGACTGGAGAGGAGTGGAATGGAATGGAATGGAAAGTCATGGAATTGAAAAAAATGGAGTGTAGTAGAATGTAGTGGATTGGAGTGGAGTGCAGGGGAGTGCAGTGGAATGAAGTGGAGTGTAGTTGAATGGAATGGAATGGTATGGAACGTACAGGAATGGAATGGATAAGAATGGAATGGAATGGAATCGCATGGAATTGAATAGAATCAAATCGAATTGAATAGAATCAAATGGAAAAATGGAGTCAAATGGAATCGAATGGCATAGAATGGAACGGTTTTGAATGTCAGTGAATGGAAACGAATGGAATGCGATGAAGTGGAGCGGAGTGGAGTGGAAAGGAGTGCAATGGAATAGGGTGGAACAGAATTTAATGGTACAGAGTGGATTGGAGTGTACTGGAGTGGAATGGAATGGGAAGGAATGGGATTGAAAGGAGTGGCGTGCAGTGGAGTGGAGTGGCATGGAGTGGAGTGGAGTGGAATGGAGTGGAATGGAATGGAGTGGAATGGAGTGGATTGGAATGGAATGGAGTGCAGAGGAATGGAATGGAATGGTATAGAGTGGACAGGAATGGAGTGGAGTGGATTGGAATGGAATGGAATGTAAGGGAATGGAACTGAATGGACTGGAATGGAATGGAATAGAATGGAATCGCAGGGAATCAAATTGGATTGAATCGAATCGAATGGAAAAAATGAAATCAAATGAAATTGAATGGAATCGAATTGAATGTAAACAATGGAATCCAAAGGAGTCAAATGGAATTGAATCAAATGGTTTTGAATGGCATCAAATGAAATGGCATGGAAGGCAGTGAATTGGAGTGGAATGGAATAGAGAGGAACGAATTGGAATGGAGGGTAGTGGAATGGAGTGGATTCCAGTGGAGTGGAGTGGATTGGATTGGAATGGAATGGAATAGATTGGATTGGAGTGGTGCAGAGTGGAATTC